>NC_000018.10:18179120-18504759 GCF_000001405.40 Homo sapiens
ACATATAAAAAGCACACAGCAGCGTTCTGAGAAACTGCTTTCTGATGTTTGCATTCAAGTCAAAAGTTGAACACTCCCTTTCATAGAGCAGTCCTGAAACACTCCTTTTGTAGTATCTGGAACTGGACTTTTGGAGCGCTTTCTGGGCTAAGGTGAAAAAGGAAATATCTTCCCATAAAAACTGGACAGAAGCATTCTCAGAAACTTGTTTATGCTGTATCTACTCAACTAACAAAGTTGAACCTTTCTTTTGATAGAGCAGTTTTGAAATGCTCTTTTTGTGGAATCTGCAAGTGGATATTTGGCTAGTTTGGAGGATTTCGTTGGAAGCGGGAATTCATACAAATTGCAGACTGCAGCGTTCTGAGAAACATCTTTGTGATGTTTGTATTCAGGACACAGAGTTGAACATTCCCTATCATAGAGCAGGTTGGAATCACTCCTTTTGTAGTATCTGGAAGTGGACATTTGGAGCGCTTTCAGGCCTATTTTGGAAAGGGAAATATCTTCCCGTAACAACTATGCAGAAGCATTCTCAGTAAACTTGTTTGTGATGTGTGCCCTCTACTGACAGAGTTGAACCTTTCTTTTCATAGAGCAGTTTCGAAACACTCTTTTTGTAGAATCTGCAAGAGGATATTTGCATAGCTTTGAGGATTTCGTGGGAAACGGGATTGTTTTCAGGTAAAATCTAGACAGAAGCATTCTCAGAAACTTCTTTGGGATGTTTGCATTCAAGTCACAGAGTAGAACATTCCCTTTGGTAGAGCAGGTTTGAAACACTCTTTTTATAGTATCTGGAAGTGGACATTTGGAGCGCTTTCAGGCCTATGTTGGAAAGGGAAATATACTTCCCGTAACAACTAGGCAGAAGCATTCTCAGAAACTTATTTGAGATGTGTGTACTCAACTAAGAGAATTGAACCACCGTTTTGAAGGAGCAGTTTTGAAACACTCTTTTTCTGGAATCTGCAAGAGTATATTTGCCTAGCCTTGAGGATTTCGTTGGAAACGGGATTGTCTTCAGAGAAAATCTAGACAGAAGCATTCTCAGAAACTTCTTTGGGATGTTTGCATTCAAGTCACAGAGTAGAACATTCCCTTTGGTAGAGCAGGTTTGAAACACTCTTTTTGTAGTATCTGGAAATGGACATTTGGAGCGCTTTCAGGCCTACGTTGGAAAAGGAAATATCTTCCCATAACAACTAGACAGAAGCATTCTCAGAAACTAGTTTCTGATGTGTGTCCTCAACTAACACAGTTGAACATTTCTTTAGACAGAACAGTTTTGAAACACTCTTTTTGTGGAATCTGCAAGTGGCTATTTGGCTAGATTTGAGGATTTCGTTGGAAACGGGATTACATATAAAAAGCAGTCAGCAGCATTCTCAGAAAGTTCTTTGTGATGATTGCATTCAAGTCACAGAATTGAACATTCCCTTTCACAGAGCAGGTTTGAAACACTCTTTTTGTAGTGTGTGTAAGTGGACATTTGGAGCACTTACCGGCCTAAGGTGAAAAAGGAAATATCTTCCCATAAAAACTAGACAGAAGCATTCTCAGAAACTTACTCGTGATGTGTGTCCTCAACTAAAGGAGTAGAACCTTTCTTTTCATAGAGAAGTTTTGAAACGCTCTTTTTGTGGAATCTGCAAGTGGATATTTGGCTAGTTTTGAGGATTTCGTTGGAAGCGGGGAATTCATACAAATTGCAGACTGCAGCGTTCTGAGAAACATCTTTGTGATGTTTGTATTCAGGACACAGAGTTGAACATTCCCTATCATAGAGCAGGTTTGAATCACTCCTTTTGTAGTATCTGGAAGTGGACATTTGGAGCGCTTTCAGGCCTATGTTGGAAAAGGAAATATCTTCCCATAACAACTAGACAGAAGCATTCTCAGAAACTTATTTGAGATGTGTGTACTCAACTAAGAGAATTGAACCACCGTTTTGAAGGAGCAGTTTTGAAACACTCTTTTTCTGGAATCTGCAAGTGGATATTTGGCTAGCTTTGGGGATTTCGCTGGAAGCGGGAATACATATAAAAAGCACACAGCAGCGTTCTGAGAAACTGCTTTCTGATGTTTGCATTCAAGTCAAAAGTTGAACACTCCCTTTCATAGAGCAGTCTTGAAACACCCCTTTTGTAGTATCTGGAACTGGACATTTGGAGCGCTTTCAGGGCTAAGGTGAAAAAGGAAATATCTTCCCATAAAAACTGGACAGAAGCATTCTCAGAAACTTGTTTATGCTGTATCTACTCAACTAACAAAGTTGAACCTTTCTTTTGATAGAGCAGTTTTGAAATGGTCTTTTTGTGGAATCTGCAAGTGGATATTTGGCTAGGTTTGAGGATTTCGTTGGAAGCGGGAATTCATACAAATTGCAGACTGCAGCGTTCTGAGAAACATCTTTGTGATGTTTGTATTCAGGACACAGAGATGAACATTCCCTATCATAGAGCAGGTTGGAATCACTCCTTTTGTAGTATCTGGAAGTGGACATTTGGAGCGCTTTCAGGCCTATGTTGAAAAAGGAAATATCTTCCCATAACAACTAGACACAAGCATTCTCAGAAACTTGTTTGTGATGTGTGCCCTCTACTGACAGAGTTGAACCTTTCTTTTCATAGAGCAGTTTTGAAACACTCTTTTTGTAGAATCTGCAAGAGGATATTTGCATAGCTTTGAGGATTTCGTGGGAAACGGGATTGTCTTCAGGTAAAATCTAGACAGAAGCATTCTCAGAAACTTCTTTGGGATGTTTGCATTCAAGTCACAGAGTAGAACATTCCCTTTGGTAGAGCAGGTTTGAAACACTCTTTTTGTAGTATCTGGAAGTGGACATTTGGAGCGCTTTCAGGCCCATGTTGGAAAGGGAAATATCTTCCCGTAACAACTAGGCAGAAGCATTCTCAGAAACTTATTTGAGATGTGTGTACTCAACTAAGAGAATTGAACCACCGTTTTGAAGGAGCAGTTTTGAAACACTCTTTTTCTGGAATCTGCAAGAGTATATTTGCCTAGCCTTGAGGATTTCGTTGGAAACGGGATTGTCTTTAGATCAAATCTAGACAGAAGCATTCTCAGAAACTTCTTTGGGATGTTTGCATTCAAGTCACAGAGTAGAACATTCCCTTTGGTAGAGCAGGTTTGAAACACTCTTTTTTTAGTATATGGAAGTGGACATTTGGAGCGCTTTCAGGCCTACGTTGGAAAAGGAAATATCTTCCCATAAGAACTAGACAGAAGCATTCTCAGAAACTAGTTTCTGATGTGTGTCCTCAACTAACACAGTTGTACATTTCTTTAGACAGAACAGTTTTGAAACACTCTTTTTGTGGAATCTGCAAGTGGATATTGGGCTAGATTTGAGGATTTCGTTGGAAACGGGATTACATATAAAAAGCAGTCAGCAGCATTCTCAGAAAGTACTTTGTGATGATTGCATTCAAGTCACAGAATTGAACATTCCCTTTCACAGAGCAGGTTTGAAACACTCTTTTTGTAGTGTGTGTAAGTGGACATTTGGAGCACTTTCCGGCCTAAGGTGAAAAAGGAAATATCTTCCCATAAAAACTAGACAGAAGCATTCTCAGAAACTTACTCGTGATGTGTGTCCTCAACTAAAGGAGTAGAACCTTTCTTTTCATAGAGAAGTTTTGAAACGCTCTTTTTGTGGAATCTGCAAGTGGATATTTGGCTAGTTTTGAGGATTTCGTTGGAAGCGGGAATTCATACAAATTGCAGACTGCAGCGTTCTGAGAAACATCTTTGTGATGTTTGTATTCAGGACACAGAGTTGAACATTCCCTATCATAGAGCAGGTTTGAATCACTCCTTTTGTAGTATCTGGAAGTGGACATTTGGAGCGCTTTCAGGCCTATGTTGGAAAAGGAAATATCTTCCCATAACAACTAGACAGAAGCATTCTCAGAAACTTATTTGAGATGTGTGTACTCAACTAAGAGAATTGAACCACCGTTTTGAAGGAGCAGTTTTGAAACACTCTTTTTCTGGAATCTGCAAGTGGATATTTGGCTAGCTTTGGGGATTTCGCTGGAAGCGGGAATACATATAAAAAGCACACAGCAGCGTTCTGAGAAACTGCTTTCTGATGTTTGCATTCAAGTCAAAAGTTGAACACTCCCTTTCATAGAGCAGTCCTGAAACACTCCTTTTGTAGTATCTGGAACTGGAATTTTGGAGCGCTTTCAGGGCTAAGGTGAAAAAGGAAATATCTTCCCATAAAAACTGGACAGAAGCATTCTCAGAAACTTACTCGTGATGTGTGTCCTCAACTAAAGGAGTAGACCCTTTCTATTCATAGAGAAGTTTTGAAACGCTCTTTTTGTGGAATCTCCAAGTGGATATTTGGCTAGTTTTGAGGATTTCGTTGGAAGCGGGAATTCATACAAATTGCAGACTGCAGCGCTCTGAGAAACATCTTTGTGATGTTTGTATTCAGGACACAGAGATGAACATTCCCTATCATAGAGCAGGTTGGAATCACTCCTTTTGTAGTATCTGGAAGTGGACATTTGGAGCGCTTTCAGGCCTATGTTGAAAAAGGAAATATCTTCCCATAACAACTAGACACAAGCATTCTCAGAAACTTGTTTGTGATGTGTGCCCTCTACTGACAGAGTTGAACCTTTCTTTTCATAGAGCAGTTTTGAAACACTCTTTTTGTAGAATCTGCAAGAGGATATTTGCATAGCTTTGAGGATTTCGTGGGAAACGGGATTGTCTTCAGGTAAAATCTAGACAGAAGCATTCTCAGAAACTTCTTTGGGATGTTTGCATTCAAGTCACAGAGTAGAACATTCCCTTTGGTAGAGCAGGTTTGAAACACTCTTTTTGTAGTATCTGGAAGTGGACATTTGGAGCGCTTTCAGGCCCATGTTGGAAAGGGAAATATCTTCCCGTAACAACTAGGCAGAAGCATTCTCAGAAACTTATTTGAGATGTGTGGACTCAACTAAGAGAATTGAACCACCGTTTTGAAGGAGCAGTTTTGAAACACTCTTTGTCTGGAATCTGCAAGAGTATATTTGCCTAGCCTTGAGGATTTCGTTGGAAACGGGATTGTCTTCAGATATAATCTAGACAGAAGCATTCTCAGAAACTTCTTTGGGATGTTTGCATTCAAGTCACAGAGTAGAACATTCCCTTTGGTAGAGCAGGTTTGAAACACTCTTTTTTTAGTATATGGAAGTGGACATTTGGAGCGCTTTCAGGCCTACGTTGGAAAAGGAAATATCTTCCCATAACAACTAGACAGAAGCATTCTCAGAAACTAGTTTCTGATGTGTGTCCTCAACTAACACAGTTGAACATTTCTTTAGACAGAACAGTTTTGAAACACTCTTTTTGTGGAATCTGCAAGTGGCTATTTGGCTAGATTTGAGGATTTCGTTGGAAACGGGATTACATATAAAAAGCAGTCAGCAGCATTCTCAGAAAGTTCTTTGTGATGATTGCATTCAAGTCACAGAATTGAACATTCCCTTTCACAGAGCAGGTTTGAAACACTCTTTTTGTAGTGTGTGTAAGTGGACATTTGGAGCACTTACCGGCCTAAGGTGAAAAAGGAAATATCTTCCCATAAAAACTAGACAGAAGCATTCTCAGAAACTTACTCGTGATGTGTGTCCTCAACTAAAGGAGTAGAACCTTTCTTTTCATAGAGAAGTTTTGAAACGCTCTTTTTGTGGAATCTGCAAGTGGATATTTGGCTAGTTTTGAGGATTTCGTTGGAAGCGGGAATTCATACAAATTGCAGACTGCAGCGTTCTGAGAAACATCTTTGTGATGTTTGTATTCAGGACACAGAGTTGAACATTCCCTATCATAGAGCAGGTTTGAATCACTCCTTTTGTAGTATCTGGAAGTGGACATTTGGAGCGCTTTCAGGCCCTATGTTGGAAAAGGAAATATCTTCCCATAACAAATAGACAGGAAGCATTCTCAGAAACTTATTTGAGATGTGTGTACTCAACTAAGAGAATTGAACCACCGTTTTTAAGGAGCAGTTTTGAAACACTCTTTTTCTGGAATCTGCAAGTGGATATTTGGCTAGCTTTGGGGATTTCGCTGGAAGCGGGAATACATATAAAAAGCACACAGCAGCGTTCTGAGAAACTTCTTTCTGATGTTCGCATTCAAGTCAAAAGTTGAACACTCCCTTTCGTAGAGCAGTCTTGAAACTCCCCTTTTGTGGTATCTGGAAGTGGACATTTGGAGTGCTTTCAGGGCTAAGGTGAAAAAGGAAATATCTTCCCATAAAAACTGGACAGAAGCATTCTCAGAAACTTGTTTATGCTGTATCTACTCAACTAACAAAGTTGAACCTTTCTTTTGATAGAGCAGTTTTGAAATGCTCTTTTTGTGGAATCTGCAAGTGGATATTTGGCTAGTTTTGAGGATTTCGTTGGAAGCGGGAATTCATACAAATTGCAGACTGCAGCGTTCTGAGAAACATCTTTGTGATGTTTGTATTCAGGACACAGAGTTGAACATTCCCTATCATAGAGCAGGTTGGAATCACTCCTTTTGTAGTATCTGGAAGTGGACATTTGGAGCGCTTTCAGGCCTATTTTGGAAAGGGAAATATCTTCCCGTAACAACTATGCAGAAGCATTCTCAGAAACTTGTTTGTGATGTTGTGCCCTCTACTGACAGAGTTGAACCTTTCTTTTCATAGAGCACTTTTGAAACACTCTTTTTGTAGAATCTGCAAGAGGATATTTGCATAGCTTTGAGGATTTCGTGGGAAACGGGATTGTCTTCAGGTAAAATCTAGACAGAAGCATTCTCAGAAACTTCTTTGGGATGTTTGCATTCAAGTCACAGAGTAGAACATTCCCTTTGGTAGAGCAGGTTTGAAACCCTCTTTTTGTAGTATCTGGAAGTGGACATTTGGAGCGCTTTCAGGCCCATGTTGGAAAGGGAAATATCTTCCCGTAACAACTAGGCAGAAGCATTCTCAGAAACTTATTTGAGATGTGTGTACTCAACTAAGAGAATTGAACCACCGTTTTGAAGGAGCAGTTTTGAAACACTCTTTTTCTGGAATCTGCAAGAGTATATTTGCCTAGCCTTGAGAATTTCGTTGGAAACGGGATTGTCTTCAGATAAAATCTAGACAGAAGCATTCTCAGAAACTTCTTTGGGATGTTTGCATTCAAGTCACAGAGTAGAACATTCCCTTTGGTAGAGCAGGTTTGAAACACTCTTTTTTTAGTATATGGAAGTGGACATTTGGAGCGCTTTCAGGCCTACGTTGGAAAAGGAAATATCTTCCCATAACAACTAGACAGAAGCATTCTCAGAAACTAGTTTCTGATGTGTGTCCTCAACTAACACAGTTGTACATTTCTTTACACAGAACAGTTTTGAAACACTCTTTTTGTGGAATCTGCAAGTGGATATTGGGCTAGATTTGAGGATTTCGTTGGAAACGGGATTACATATAAAAAGCAGTCAGCAGCATTCTCAGAAAGTTCTTTGTGATGATTGCATTCAAGTCACAGAATTGAACATTACCTTTCACAGAGCAGGTTTGAAACACTCTTTTTGTAGTGTGTGTAAGTGGACATTTGGAGCGCTTTCCGGCCTAAGGTGAAAAAGGACATATCTTCCCATAAAAACTAGACAGAAGCATTCTCAGAAACTTACTCGTGATGTGTGTCCTCAACTAAAGGAGTAGAACCTTTCTTTTCATAGAGAAGTTTTGAAACGCTCTTTTTGTGGAATCTGCAAGTGGATATTTGGCTAGTTTGGAGGATTTCGTTGGAAGCGGGAATTCATACAAATTGCAGACTGCAGCGTTCTGAGAAACATCTTTGTGATGTTTGTATTCAGGACACAGAGTTGAACATTCCCTATCATAGAGCAGGTTTGAATCACTCCTTTTGTAGTATCTGGAAGTGGACATTTGGAGCGCTTTCAGGCCTATGTTGGAAAAGGAAATATCTTCCCATAACAACTAGACAGAAGCATTCCCAGAAACTTATTTGAGATGTGTGTACTCAACTAAGAGAATTGAACCACCGTTTTGAAGGAGCAGTTTGGAAACACTCTTTTTCTGGAATCTGCAAGTGGATATTTGGCTAGCTATGGGGATTTCGCTGGAAGCGGGAATACATATAAAAAGCACACAGCAGCGTTCTGAGAAACTGCTTTCTGATGTTTGCATTCAAGTCAAAAGTTGAACACTCCCTTTCATAGAGCAGTCTTGAAACACCCCTTTTGTAGTATCTGGAACTGGAAATTTGGAGCGCTTTCAGGGCTAAGGTGAAAAAGGAAATATCTTCCCATAAAAACTGGACAGAAGCATTCTCAGAAACTTGTTTATGCTGTATCTGCTCAACTAACAAAGTTGAACCTTTCTTTTGATAGAGCAGTTTTGAAATGCTCTTTTTGTGGAATCTGCAAGTGGATATTTGGCTAGTTTTGAGGATTTCGTTGGAAGCGGGAATTCATACAAATTGCAGACTGCAGCGTTCTGAGAAACATCTTTGTGATGTTTGTATTCAGGACACAGAGTTGAACATTCCCTATCATAGAGCAGGTTGGGATCACTCCTTTTGTAGTATCTGGAAGTGGACATTTGGAGCGCTTTCAGGCCTATGTTGAAAAAGGAAAAATCTTCCCATAACAACTAGACAGAAGCATTCTCAGAAACTTGTTGGTGATGTGTTTCCTCTACTGACAGAAGTTGAACCTTTCTTTTCATAGAGCAGTTTCGAAACACTCTTTTTGTAGAATCTGCAAGAGGATATTTGCATAGCTCTGAGGATTTCGTGGGAAACGGGATTGTCTTCAGGTAAAACCTAGACAGAAGCATTCTCAGAAACTTCTTCGGGATGTTTGCATTCAAGTCACAGAGTAGAACATTCCCTTTGGTAGAGCAGGTTTGAAACACTCTTTTTGTCGTATCTGGAAGTGGACATTTGTTGCGCTTTCAGGCCTATGTTGGAAAGGGAAATATCTTCCCGTAACAACTAGGCAGAAGCATTCTCAGAAACTTATTTGAGATGTGTGTACTCAACTAAGAGAATTGAACCACCGTTTTGAAGGAGCAGTTTGGAAACACTCTTTTTCTGGAATCTGCAAGAGGATATTTGCCTAGCTTTGAGGATTTCGTTGGAAAAGGGATTGTCTTCAGATCAAATCTAGACAGAAGCATTCTCAGAAACTTCTTTGGGATGTTTGCATTCAAGTCACAGAGTAGAACATTCCTTTGGTAGAGCAGGTTTGAAACACTCTTTTTTTAGTATATGGAAGTGGACATTTGGAGCGCTTTCAGGCCTACGTTGGAAAAGGAAATATCTTCCCATAACAACTAGACAGAAGCATTCTCAGAAACTAGTTTCTGATGTGTGTCCTCAACTAACACAGTTGAACATTTCTTTAGACAGAACAGTTTTGAAACACTCTTTTTGTGGAATCTGCAAGTGGATATTTGGCTACATTTGAGGATTTCGTTGGAAACGGGATTACATATAAAAAGCAGACAGCAGCATTCTCAGAAACTTCTTTGTGATGATTGCATTCAAGTCACAGAATTGAACATTCCTTTTCACAGAGCAGGTTTGAAACACTCTTTTTCTAGTGTGTGTAAGTGGACATTTGGAGCGCTTTCCGGCCTAAGGTGAACAAGGAAATATCTTCCCATAAAAACTAGACAGAAGCATTCCCAGAAACTAGTTTCTGATGTGTGTCCTCAACTATCACAGTTGAACTTTTCTTTAGACAGAACAGTTTGGAAACACTCTTTTGTGGAATCTGCAAGTGGATATTTGGCTAGATTTGAGGATTTCGTTGGAAAAGGGATTACATATAAAAAGCAGACAGCAGCATTCTCAGAAACTTCTTTGTGATGATTGTATTCAGGACACAGAGTTGAATATTCCCTATCATAGAGCAGGTTGGAATCACTCCTTTTGTAGTATCTGGAAGTGGACATTTGGAGCGCTTTCAGGCCTATCTTGAAAAAGGAAATATCTTCCCATAACAACTAGGCAGAAGCATTCTCAGAAACTTGTTTGTGATGTGTGCCCTCTACTGACACAGTTGAACCTTTCTTTTCATAGAGCAGTTTCGAAACACTCTTTTTGTAGAATCTGCAAGAGGATATTTGCATAGATTTGAGGATTTCGTGGGAAACGGGATTGTCTTCAGGTAAAATCTAGACAGAAGCATTCTCAGAAACTTCTTTGGGATGTTTGAATTCAAGTCACAGAGTAGAACATTCCCTTTGGTAGAGCAGGTTTGAAACACTCTTTTTGTAGTGTGTGTAAGTGGACATTTGGAGCGCTTTCAGGCCTACGTTGGAAAAGGAAATATCTTCCCATAACAACTAGTCAGAAGCATTCTCAGAAACTAGTTTCTGATGTGTGTCCTCAACTAACACAGTTGAACATTTCTTTAGACAGAACAGTTTTGAAACACTCTTTTTGTGGAATCTGCAAGTGGATATTTGGCTAGATTAGAGGATTTCGTTGGAAACGGGATTACATATAAAAAGCAGACAGCGGCATTCTCAGAAAGTTCTTTGTGATGATTGCATTCAAGTCACAGAATTGAACATTCCCTTTCACAGAGCAGGTTTGAAACACTCTTTTTGTAGTGTGTGTAAGTGGACATTTGGAGCACTTACCGGCCTAAGGTGAAAAAGGAAATAATCTTCCCATAAAAACTAGACAGAAGCATTCTCAGAAACTTACTCGTGATGTGTGTCCTCAACTAAAGGAGTAGAACCTTTCTTTTCATAGAGAAGTTTTGAAACGCTCTTTTTGTGGAATCTGCAAGTGGATATTTGGCTAGTTTTGAGGATTTCGTTGGAAGCGGGAATTCATACAAATTGCAGACTGCAGCGTTCTGAGAAACATCTTTGTGATGTTTGTATTCAGGACACAGAGTTGAACATTCCCTATCATAGAGCAGGTTTGAATCACTCCTTTTCTAGTATCTGGAAGTGGACATTTGGAGCGCTTTCAGGCCTATGTTGGAAAAGGAAATATCTTCCCATAACAAATAGACAGAAGCATTCTCAGAAACTTATTTGAGATGTGTGTACTCAACTAAGAGAATTGAACCACCGTTTTGAAGGAGCAGTTTTGAAACACTCTTTTTCTGGAATCTGCAAGTGGATATTTGGCTAGCTTTGGGGATTTCGCTGGAAGCGGGAATACATATAAAAAGCACACAGCAGCGTTCTGAGAAACTGCTTTCTGATGTTTGCATTCAAGTCAAAAGTTGAACACTCCCTTTCATAGAGCAGTCCTGAAACACTCCTTTTGTAGTATCTGGAACTGGACTTTTGGAGCGCTTTCAGGGCTAAGGTGAAAAAGGAAATATCTTCCCATAAAAACTGGACAGAAGCATTCTCAGAAACTTGTTTATGCTGTATCTACTCAACTAACAAAGTTGAACCTTTCTTTTGATAGAGCAGTTTTGAAATGCTCTTTTTGTGGAATCTGCAAGTGGATATTTGGCTAGTTTTGAGGATTTCGTTGGAAGCGGGAATTCATACAAATTGCAGACTGCAGCGTTCTGAGAAACATCTTTGTGATGTTTGTATTCAGGACACAGAGTTGAACATTCCCTATCATAGAGCAGGTTTGAATCACTCCTTTTGTAGTATCTGGAAGTGGACATTTGGAGCGCTTTCAGGCCTATGTTGGAAAAGGAAATATCTTCCCATAACAACTAGACAGAAGCATTCCCAGAAACTTATTTGAGATGTGTGTACTCAACTAAGAGAATTGAACCACCGTTTTGAAGGAGCAGTTTGGAAACACTCTTTTTCTGGAATCTGCAAGTGGATATTTGGCTAGCTTTGGGGATTTCGCTGGAAGCGGGAATACATATAAAAAGCACACAGCAGCGTTCTGAGAAACTGCTTTCTGATGTTTGCATTCAAGTCAAAAGTTGAACACTCCCTTTCATAGAGCAGTCTTGAAACACCCCTTTTGTAGTATCTGGAACTGGAAATTTGGAGCGCTTTCAGGGCTAAGGTGAAAAAGGAAATATCTTCCCATAAAAACTGGACAGAAGCATTCTCAGAAACTTGTTTATGCTGTATCTGCTCAACTAACAAAGTTGAACCTTTCTTTTGATAGAGCAGTTTTGAAATGCTCTTTTTGTGGAATCTGCAAGTGGATATTTGGCTAGTTTTGAGGATTTCGTTGGAAGCGGGAATTCGTACAAATTGCAGACTGCAGCGTTCTGAGAAACATCTTTGTGATGTTTGTATTCAGGACACAGAGTTGAACATTCCCTATCATAGAGCAGGTTGGGATCACTCCTTTTGTAGTATCTGGAAGTGGACATTTGGAGCGCTTTCAGGCCTATGTTGAAAAAGGAAAAATCTTCCCATAACAACTAGACAGAAGCATTCTCAGAAACTTGTTGGTGATGTGTTTCCTCTACTGACAGAGTTGAACCTTTCTTTTCATACAGCAGTTTCGAAACACTCTTTTTGTAGAATCTGCAAGAGGATATTTGCATAGCTCTGAGGATTTCGTGGGAAACGGGATTGTCTTCAGGTAAAATCTAGACAGAAGCATTCTCAGAAACTTCTTCGGGATGTTTGCATTCAAGTCACAGAGTAGAACATTCCCTTTGGTAGAGCAGGTTTGAAACACTCTTTTTGTCGTATCTGGAAGTGGACATTTGTTGCGCTTTCAGGCCTATGTTGGAAAGGGAAATATCTTCCCGTAACAACTAGGCAGAAGCATTCTCAGAAACTTATTTGAGATGTGTGTACTCAACTAAGAGAATTGAACCACCGTTTTGAAGGAGCAGTTTGGAAACACTCTTTTTCTGGAATCTGCAAGAGGATATTTGCCTAGCTTTGAGGATTTCGTTGGAAAAGGGATTGTCTTCAGATCAAATCTAGACAGAAGCATTCTCAGAAACTTCTTTGGGATGTTTGCATTCAAGTCACAGAGTAGAACATTCCTTTGGTAGAGCAGGTATGAAACACTCTTTTTTTAGTATATGGAAGTGGACATTTGGAGCGCTTTCAGGCCTACGTTGGAAAAGGAAATATCTTCCCATAACAACTAGACAGAAGCATTCTCAGAAACTAGTTTCTGATGTGTGTCCTCAACTAACACAGTTGAACATTTCTTTAGACAGAACAGTTTTGAAACACTCTTTTTGTGGAATCTGCAAGTGGATATTTGGCTAGATTTGAGGATTTCGTTGGAAACGGGATTACATATAAAAAGCAGACAGCAGCATTCTCAGAAACTTCTTTGTGATGATTGCATTCAAGTCACAGAATTGAACATTCCCTTTCACAGAGCAGGTTTGAAACACTCTTTTTGTAGTGTGTGTAAGTGGACATTTGGAGCGCTTTCCGGCCTAAGGTGAACAAGGAAATATCTTCCCATAAAAACTAGACAGAAGCATTCTCAGAAACTTACTCGTGATGTGTGTCCTCAACTAAAGGAGTAGAACCTTTCTTTTCATAGAGAAGTTTTGAAACGCTCTTTTTGTGGAATCTGCAAGTGGATATTTGGCTAGTTTGGAGGATTTCGTTGGAAGCGGGAATTCATACAAGATGCAGACTGCAGCGTTCTGAGAAACATCTTTGTGATGTTTGTATTCAGGACACAGAGTTGAACATTCCCTATCATAGAGCAGGTTTGAATCACTCCTTTTGTAGTATCTGGAAGTGGACATTTGGAGCGCTTTCAGGCCTATGTTGGAAAAGGAAATATCTTCCCATAGCAACTAGACAGAAGCATTCTCAGAAACTTATTTGAGATGTGTGTACTCAACTAAGAGAATTGAACCACCGTTTTGAAGGAGCAGTTTTGAAACTCTCTTTTTCTGGAATCTGCAAGTGGATATTTGGCTAGCTTTGGGGATTTCGCTGGAAGCGGGAATACATATAAAAAGCACACAGCAGCGTTCTGAGAAACTGCTTTCTGATGTTTGCATTCAAGTCAAAAGTTGAACACTCCCTTTCATAGAGCAGTCTTGAAACACCCCTTTTGTAGTATCTGGAACTGGACTTTTGGAGCGATTTCAGGGCTAAGGTGAAAAAGGAAATATCTTCCCATAAAAACTGGACAGAAGCATTCTCAGAAACTTGTTTATGCTGTATCTACTCAACTAACAAAGTTGAACCTTTCTTTTGATAGAGCAGTTTTGAAATGGTCTTTTTGTGGAATCTGCAAGTGGATATTTGGCTAGTTTTGAGGATTTCGTTGGAAGCGGGAATTCATACAAATTGCAGACTGCAGCGTTCTGAGAAACATCTTTGTGATGTTTGTATTCAGGACACAGAGTTGAACATTCCCTATCATAGAGCAGGTTGGAATCACTCCTTTTGTAGTATCTGGAAGTGGACATTTGGAGCGCTTTCAGGCCTATTTTGGAAAGGGAAATATCTTCCCGTAACAACTATGCAGAAGCATTCTCAGAAACTTGTTTGTGATGTGTGCCCTCTACTGACAGAGTTGAACCTTTCTTTTCATAGAGCAGTTTTGAAACACTCTTTTTGTAGAATCTGCAAGAGGATATTTGCATAGCTTTGAGGATTTCGTGGGAAACCGGATTGTCTTCAGGTAAAATCTAGACAGAAGCATTCTCAGAAACTTCTTTGGGATGTTTGCATTCAAGTCACAGAGTAGAACATTCCCTTTGGTAGAGCAGGTTTGAAACACTCTTTTTGTAGTATCTGGAAGTGGACATTTGGAGCGCTTTCAGGCCCATGTTGGAAAGGGAAATATCTTCCCGTAACAACTAGGCAGAAGCATTCTCAGAAACTTATTTGAGATGTGTGTACTCAACTAAGAGAATTGAACCAACGTTTTGAAGGAGCAGTTTTGAAACACTCTTTTTTCTGGAATCTGCAAAAGGATATTTGCCTAGCTTTGAGGATTTCGTTGGAAACGGGATTGTCTTCAGATAAAATCTAGACAGAAGCATTCTCAGAAACTTCTTTGGGATGTTTGCATTCAAGTCACAGAGTAGAACATTCCCTTTGGTAGAGCAGGTTTGAAACACTCTTTTTTTAGTATATGGAAGTGGACATTTGGAGCGCTTTCAGGCCTACGTTGGAAAAGGAAATATCTTCCCATAACAACTAGACAGAAGCATTCTCAGAAACTAGTTTCTGATGTGTGTCCTCAACTAACACAGTTGAACTTTTCTTTAGACAGAACAGTTTTGAAACACTCTTTTTGTGGAATCTGCAAGTGGCTATTTGGCTAGATTTGAGGATTTCGTTGGAAACGGGATTACATATAAAAAGCAGACAGCAGCATTCTCAGAAAGTTCTTTGTGATGACTGCATTCAAGTCACAGAATTGAACATTCCCTTTCACAGAGCAGGTTTGAAACCCTCTTTTTGTAGTGTGTGTAAGTGGACATTTGGAGCGCTTTCCGGCCTAAGGTGAAAAAGGAAATATCTTCCCATAAAAACTAGACAGAAGCATTCTCAGAAACTTACTCGTGATGTGTGTCCTCAACTAAAGGAGTAGAACCTTTCTATTCATAGAGAAGTTTTCAAACGCTCTTTTTGTGGAATCTCCAAGTGGATATTTGGCTAGTTTTGAGGATTTCGTTGGAAGCGGGAATTCATACAAATTGCAGACTGCAGCGTTCTGAGAAACATCTTTGTGATGTTTGTATTCAGGACACAGAGATGAACATTCCCTATCATAGAGCAGGTTGGAATCACTCCTTTTGTAGTATCTGGAAGTGGACATTTGGAGCGCTTTCAGGCCCTATGTTGAAAAAGGAAATATCTTCCCATAACAACTAGACACAAGCATTCTCAGAAACTTGTTTGTGATGTGTGCCCTCTACTGACAGAGTTGAACCTTTCTTTTCATAGAGCAGTTTTGAAACACTCTTTTTGTAGAATCCGCAAGAGGATATTTGCATAGCTTTGAGGATTTCGTGGGAAACGGGATTGTCTTCAGGTAAAATCTAGACAGAAGCATTCTCAGAAACTTCTTTGGGATGTTTGCATTCAAGTCACAGAGTAGAACATTCCCTTTGGTAGAGCAGGTTTGAAACACTCTTTTTGTAGTATCTGGAAGTGGACATTTTGAGCGCTTTCAGGCCCATGTTGGAAAGGGAAATATCTTCCCGTAACAACTAGGCAGAAGCATTCTCAGAAACTTATTTGAGATGTGTGTACTCAACTAAGAGAATTGAACCACCGTTTTGAAGGAGCAGTTTTGAAACACTCTTTTTCTGGAATCTGCAAGAGGATATTTGCCTAGCCTTGAGGATTTCGTTGGAAACGGGATTGTCTTCAGAGAAAATCTAGACAGAAGCATTCTCAGAAACTTCTTTGGGATGCTTGCATTCAAGTCACAGAGTAGAACATTCCCTTTGGTAGAGCAGGTTTGAAACACTCTTTTTTTAGTATCTGGAAGTGGACATTTGGAGCGCTTTCAGGCCTACGTTGGAAAAGGAAATATCTTCCCATAACAACTAGACAGAAGCATTCTCAGAAACTAGTTTCTGATGTGTGTCCTCAACTAACACAGTTGAACATTTCTTTAGACAGAACAGTTTTGAAACACTCTTTTTGTGGAATCTGCAAGTGGCTATTTGGCTAGATTTGAGGATTTCGTTGGAAACGGGATTACATATAAAAAGCAGTCAGCAGCATTCTCAGAAAGTTCTTTGTGATGATTGCATTCAAGTCACAGAATTGAACATTCCCTTTCACAGAGCAGGTTTGAAACACTCTTTTTGTAGTGTGTGTAAGTGGACATTTGGAGCACTTACCGGCCTAAGGTGAAAAAGGAAATATCTTCCCATAAAAACTAGACAGAAGCATTCTCAGAAACTTACTCGTGATGTGTGTCCTCAACTAAAGGAGTAGAACCTTTCTTTTCATAGAGAAGTTTTGAAACGCTCTTTTTGTGGAATCTGCAAGTGGATATTTGGCTAGTTTTGAGGATTTCGTTGGAAGCGGGAATTCATACAAATTGCAGACTGCAGCGTTCTGAGAAACATCTTTGTGATGTTTGTATTCAGGACACAGAGTTGAACATTCCCTATCATAGAGCAGGTTGGAATCACTCCTTTTGTAGTATCTGGAAGTGGACATTTGGAGCGCTTTCAGGCCTATGTTGGAAAAGGAAATATCTTCCCATAACAACTAGACAGAAGCATTCTCAGAAACTTATTTGAGATGTGTGTACTCAACTAAGAGAATTGAACCACCGTTTTGAAGGAGCAGTTTTGAAACACTCTTTTTCTGGAATCTGCAAGAGGATATTTGCCTAGCTTTGAGGATTTCGTTGGAAACGGGATTGTCTTCAGATCAAATCTAGACAGAAGCATTCTCAGAAACTTCTTTGGGATGTTTGCATTCAAGTCACAGAGTAGAACATTCCCTTTGGTAGAGCAGGTTTGAAACACTCTTTTTTTAGTATATGGAAGTGGACATTTGGAGCGCTTTCAGGCCTACGTTGGAAAAGGAAATATCTTCCCATAACAATTAGACAGAAGCATTCTCAGAAACTAGTTTCTGATGTGTGTCCTCAACTAACACAGTTGCACATTTCTTTAGACAGAACAGTTTTGAAACTCTCTTTTTGTGGAATCTGCAAGTGGCTATTTGGCTAGATTTGAGGATTTCGTTGGAAACGGGATTACATATAAAAAGCAGACAGCAGCATTCTCAGAACGTTCTTTGTGATGATTGCATTCAAGTCACAGAATTGAACATTCCCTTTCACAGAGCAGGTTTGAAACACTCTTTTTGTAGTGTGTGTAAGTGGACATTTGGAGCACTTTCCGGCCTAAGGTGAAAAAGGAAATATCTTCCCATAAAAACTAGACAGAAGCATTCTCAGAAACTTACTCGTGGTGTGTGTCCTCAACTAAAGGAGTAGAACCTTTCTTTTCATAGAGAAGTTTTGAAACGCTCTTTTTGTGGAATCTGCAAGTGGATATTTGGCTAGTTTTGAGGATTTCGTTGGAAGCGGGAATTCATACAAATTGCAGACTGCAGCGTTCTGAGAAACATCTGTGTGATGTTTGTATTCAGGACACAGAGTTGAACATTCCTTATCATAGAGCAGGTTTGAATCACTCCTTTTGTAGTATCTGGAAGTGGACATTTGGAGCGCTTTCAGGCCTATGTTGGAAAAGGAAATATCTTCCCATAACAACTAGACAGAAGCATTCTCAGAAACTTATTTGAGATGTGTGTACTCAACTAAGAGAATTGAACCACCGTTTTGAAGGAGCAGTTTTGAAACACTCTTTTTCTGGAATCTGCAAGTGGATATTTGGCTAGCTTTGGGGATTTCGCTGGAAGCGGGAATACATATAAAAAGCACACAGCAGCGTTCTGAGAAACTGCTTTCTGATGTTTGCATTCAAGTCAAAAGTTGAACACTCCCTTTCATAGAGCAGTCCTGAAACACTCCTTTTGTAGTATCTGGAACTGGACTTTTGGAGCGCTTTCAGGGCTAAGGTGAAAAAGGAAATATCTTCCCATAAAAACTGGACAGAAGCATTCTCAGAAACTTACTCGTATTGTGTGTCCTCAACTAAAGGAGTAGAACCTTTCTTTTCATAGAGAAGTTTTGAAACGCTCTTTTTGTGGAATCTGCAAGTGGATATTTGGCTAGTTTTGAGGATTTCGTTGGAAGCGGGAATTCATACAAATTGCAGACTGCAGCGTTCTGAGAAACGTCTTTGTGATGTTTGTATTCAGGACACAGAGTTGAACATTCCCTATCATAGAGAAGGCTGGAATCACTCCTTTTGTAGTATCTGGAAGTCGACATTTGGAGCGCTTTCAGGCCTATGTTGAAAAAGGAAATATCTTCCCATAACAACTAGACAGAAGCATCCTCAGAAACTTATTTGAGATGTGTGTACTCAACTATGAGAATTGAACCACCGTTTTGAAGGAGCAGTTTTGAAACACTCTTTTTCTGGAATCTGCAAGTGGATATTTGGCTAGCTTTGGGGATTTCGCTGGAAGCGGGAATACATATAAAAAGCACACAGCAGCGTTCTGAGAAACTGCTTTCTGATGTTTGCATTCAAGTCAAAAGTTGAACACCCCCTTTCATAGAGCAGTCTTGAAACACCCCTTTTGTAGTATCTGGAACTGGACATTTGGAGCGCTTTCAGGGCTAAGGTGAAAAAGGAAATATCTTCCCATAAAAACTGGACAGAAGCATTCTCAGAAACTTGGTTATGCTGTATCTACTCAACTAACAAAGTTGAAACTTTCTTTTGATAGAGCAGTTTTGAAATGGTCTTTTTGTGGAATCTGCAAGTGGATATTTGGCTAGTTTTGAGGATTTCGTTGGAAGCGGGAATTCATACAAATTGCAGACTGCAGCGTTCTGAGAAACATCTTTGTGATGTTTGTATTCAGGACACAGAGTTGAACATTCCCTATCATAGAGCAGGTTGGAATCACTCCTTTTGTAGTATCTGGAAGTGGACATTTGGAGCGCTTTCAGGCCTATTTTGGAAAGGGAAATATCTTCCCGTAACAACTATGCAGAAGCATTCTCAGAAACTTGTTTGTGATGTGTGCCCTCTACTGACAGAGTTGAACCTTTCTTTTCATAGAGCAGTTTTGAAACACTCTTTTTGTAGAATCTGCAAGAGGATATTTGCATAGCTTTGAGGATTTCGTGGGAAACGGGATTGTCTTCAGGTAAAATCTAGACAGAAGCATTCTCAGAAACTTCTTTGGGATGTTTGCATTCAAGTCACAGAGTAGAACATTCCCTTTGGTAGAGCAGGTTTGAAACACTCTTTTTGTAGTATCTGGAAGTGGACATTTGGAGCGCTTTCAGGCCCATGTTGGAAAGGGAAATATCTTCCCGTAACAACTAGGCAGAAGCATTCTCAGAAACTTATTTGAGATGTGTGTACTCAACTAAGAGAATTGAACCACCGTTTTGAAGGAGCAGTTTTGAAACACTCTTTTTCTGGAATCTGCAAGAGTATATTTGCCTAGCCTTGAGGATTTCGTTGGAAACGGGATTGTCTTCAGAGAAAATCTAGACAGAAGCATTCTCAGAAACTTCTTTGGGATGTTTGCATTCAAGTCACAGAGTAGAACATTCCCTTTGGTAGAGCAGGTTTGAAACACTCTTTTTGTAGTATCTGGAAGTGGACATTTGGAGCGCTTTCAGGCCTACGTTGGAAAAGGAAATATCTTCCCATAACAACTAGACAGAAGCATTCTCAGAAACTAGTTTCTGATGTGTGTCCTCAACTAACACAGTTGAACATTTCTTTAGACAGAACAGTTTTGAAACACTCTTTTTGTGGAATCTGCAAGTGGCTATTTGGCTAGATTTGAGGATTTCGTTGGAAACGGGATTACATATAAAAAGCAGTCAGCGGCATTCTCAGAAAGTTCTTTGTGATGATTGCATTCAAGTCACAGAATTGAACATTCCCTTTCACAGAGCAGGTTTGAAACACTCTTTTTGTAGTGTGTGTAAGTGGACATTTGGAGCACTTACCGGCCTAAGGTGAAAAAGGAAATATCTTCCCATAAAAACTAGACAGAAGCATTCTCAGAAACTTACTCGTGATGTGTGTCCTCAACTAAAGGAGTAGAACCTTTCTTTTCATAGAGAAGTTTTGAAACGCTCTTTTTGTGGAATCTGCAAGTGGATATTTGGCTAGTTTGGAGGATTTCGTTGGAAGCGGGAATTCATACAAATTGCAGACTGCAGCGTTCTGAGAAACATCTTTGTGATGTTTGTATTCAGGACACAGAGTTGAACATTCCCTATCATAGAGCAGGTTTGAATCACTCCTTTTGTAGTATCTGGAAGTGGACATTTGGAGCACTTTCAGGCCTATGTTGGAAAAGGAAATATCTTCCCATAACAACTAGACAGAAGCATTCTCAGAAACTTATTTGAGATGTGTGTACTCAACTAAGAGAATTGAACCACCGTTTTGAAGGAGCAGTTTTGAAACACTCTTTTTCTGGAATCTGCAAGTGGATATTTGGCTAGCTTTGGGGATTTCGCTGGAAGCGGGAATACATATAAAAAGCACACAGCAGCGTTCTGAGAAACTGCTTTCTGATGTTTGCATTCAAGTCAAAAGTTGAACACTCCCTTTCATAGAGCAGTCCTGAAACACTCCTTTTGTAGTATCTGGAACTGGACTTTTGGAGCGCTTTCAGGGCTAAGGTGAAAAAGGAAATATCTTCCCATAAAAACTGGACAGAAGCATTCTCAGAAACTTGTTTATGCTGTATCAACTCAACTAACAAAGTTGAACCTTTCTTTTGATAGAGCAGTTTTGAAATGCTCTTTTTGCGGAATCTGCAAGTGGATATTTGGCTAGTTTTGAGGATTTCGTTGGAAGCGGGAATTCATACAAATTGCAGACTGCAGCGTTCTGAGAAACATCTTTGTGATGTTTGTATTCAGGACACAGAGATGAACATTCCCTATCATAGAGCAGGTTGGAATCACTCCTTTTGTAGTATCTGGAAGTGGACATTTGGAGCGCTTTCAGGCCTATGTTGAAAAAGGAAATATCTTCCCATAACAACTAGACACAAGCATTCTCAGAAACTTGTTTGTGATGTGTGCCCTCTACTGACAGAGTTGAACCTTTCTTTTCATAGAGCAGTTTTGAAACACTCTTTTTGTAGAATCCGCAAGAGGATATTTGCATAGCTTTGAGGATTTCGTGGGAAACGGGATTGTCTTCAGGTAAAATCTAGACAGAAGTATTCTCAGAAACTTCTTTGGGATGTTTGCATTCAAGTCACAGAGTAGAACATTCCCTTTGGCAGAGCAGGTTTGAAACCCTCTTTTTGTAGTATCTGGAAGTGGACATTTGGAGCGCTTTCAGGCCCATGTTGCAAAGGGAAATATCTTCCCGTAACAACTAGGCAGAAGCATTCTCAGAAACTTATTTGAGATGTGTGTACTCAACTAAGAGAATTGAACCACCGTTTTGAAGGAGCAGTTTTAAAACCCTCTTTTTCTGGAATCTGCAAGAGTATATTTGCCTAGCCTTGAGGATTTCGTTGGAAACGGGATTGTCTTCAGATAAAATCTAGACAGAAGCATTCTCAGAAACTTCTTTGGGATGTTTGCATTCAAGTCACAGAGTAGAACATTCCCTTTGGTAGAGCAGGTTTGAAACACTCTTTTTTTAGTATATGGAAGTGGACATTTGGAGCGCTTTCAGGCCTACGTTGGAAAAGGAAATATCTTCCCATAACAACTAGACAGAAAGCATTCTCAGAAACTAGTTTCTGATGTGTGTCCTCAACTAACACAGTTGTACATTTCTTTATACAGAACAGTTTTGAAACACTCTTTTTGTGGAATCTGCAAGTGGATATTGGGCTAGATTTGAGGATTTCGTTGGAAACGGGATTACATATAAAAAGCAGTCAGCAGCATTCTCAGAAAGTTCTTTGTGATGATTGCTTTCAAGTCACAGAATTGAACATTCCCTTTCATAGAGCAGGTTTGAAACACTCTTTTTGTAGTGTGTGTAAGTGGACATTTGGAGCGCTTTCCGGCCTAAGGTGAAAAAGGACATATCTTCCCATAAAAACTAGACAGAAGCATTCTCAGAAACTTACTCGTGATGTGTGTCCTCAACTAAAGGAGTAGAACCTTTCTATTCATAGAGAAGTTTTGAAACGCTCTTTTTGTGGAATCTCCAAGTGGATATTTGGCTAGTTTTGAGGATTTCGTTGGAAGCGGGAATTCATACAAATTGCAGACTGCAGCGTTCTGAGAAACATCTTTGAAATGTTTGTATTCAAGACACAGAGATGAACATTCCCTATCATAGAGCATGTTGGAATCACTCCTTTTGTAGTATCTGGAAGTGGACATTTGGAGCGCTTTCAGGCCTATGTTGAAAAAGGAAATATCTTCCCATAACAACTAGACACAAGCATTCTCAGAAACTTGTTTGTGATGTGTGCCCTCTACTGACAGAGTTGAACCTTTCTTTTCATAGAGCAGTTTTGAAACACTCTTTTATAGAATCCGCAAGAGGATATTTGCATAGCTTTGAGGATTTCGTGGGAAACGGGATTGTCTTCAGGTAAAATCTAGACAGAAGCATTCTCAGAAACTTCTTTGGGATGTTTGCATTCAAGTCACAGAGTAGAACATTCCCTTTGGTAGAGCAGGTTTGAAACACTCTTTTTGTAGTATCTGGAAGTGGACATTTGGAGCGCTTTCAGGCCCATGTTGGAAAGGGAAATATCTTCCCGTAACAACTAGGCAGAAGCATTCTCAGAAACTTATTTGAGATGTGTGTACTCAACTAAGAGAATTGAACCACCGTTTTGAAGGAGCAGTTTTGAAACACTCTTTTTCTGGAATCTGCAAGAGTATATTTGCCTAGCCTTGAGGATTTCGTTGGAAACGGGATTGTCTTCAGAGAAAATCTAGACAGAAGCATTCTCAGAAACTTCTTTGGGATGTTTGCATTCAAGTCACAGAGTAGAACATTCCCTTTGGTAGAGCAGGTTTGAAACACTCTTTTTTTAGTATATGGAAGTGGACATTTGGAGCGCTTTCAGGCCTACGTTGGAAAAGGAAATATCTTCCCATAACAACTAGACAGAAGCATTCTCAGAAACTAGTTTCTGATGTGTGTCCTCAACTAACACAAGTTGAACATTTCTTTAGACAGAACAGTTTTGAAACACTCTTTTTGTGGAATCTGCAAGTGGCTATTTGGCTAGATTTGAGGATTTCGTTGGAAACGGGATTACATATAAAAAGCAGTCAGCAGCATTCTCAGAAAGTTCTTTGTGATGATTGCATTCAAGTCACAGAATTGAACATTCCCTTTCACAGAGCAGGTTTGAAACACTCTTTTTGTAGTGTGTGTAAGTGGACATTTGGAGCACTTACCGGCCTAAGGTGAAAAAGGAAATATCTTCCCATAAAAACTAGACAGAAGCATTCTCAGAAACTTACTCGTGATGTGTGTCCTCAACTAAAGGAGTAGAACCTTTCTTTTCATAGAGAAGTTTTGAAACGCTCTTTTTGTGGAATCTGCAAGTGGATATTTGGCTAGTTTTGAGGATTTCGTTGGAAGCGGGAATTCATACAAATTGCAGACTGCAGCGTTCTGAGAAACATCTTTGTGATGTTTGTATTCAGGACACAGAGTTGAACATTCCCTATCATAGAGCAGGTTTGAATCACTCCTTTTGTAGTATCTGGAAGTGGACATTTGGAGCGCTTTCAGGCCTATGTTGGAAAAGGAAATATCTTCCCATAACAACTAGACAGAAGCATTCTCAGAAACTTATTTGAGATGTGTGTACTCAACTAAGAGAATTGAACCACCGTTTTGAAGGAGCAGTTTTGAAACTCTCTTTTTCTGGAATCTGCAAGTGGATATTTGGCTAGCTTTGGGGATTTCGCTGGAAGCGGGAATACATATAAAAAGCACACAGCAGCGTTCTGAGAAACTGCTTTCTGATGTTTGCATTCAAGTCAAAAGTTGAACACTCCCTTTCATAGAGCAGTCTTGAAACACCCCTTTTGTAGTATCTGGAACTGGACTTTTGGAGCGATTTCAGGGCTAAGGTGAAAAAGGAAATATCTTCCCATAAAAACTGGACAGAAGCATTCTCAGAAACTTGGTTATGCTGTATCTACTCAACTAACAAAGTTGAACCTTTCTTTTGATAGAGCAGTTTTGAAATGGTCTTTTTGTGGAATCTGCAAGTGGATATTTGGCTAGTTTTGAGGATTTCGTTGGAAGCGGGAATTCATACAAATTGCAGACTGCAGCGTTCTGAGAAACATCTTTGTGATGTTTGTATTCAGGACACAGAGTTGAACATTCCCTATCATAGAGCAGGTTGGAATCACTCCTTTTGTAGTATCTGGAAGTGGACATTTGGAGCGCTTTCAGGCCTATTTTGGAAAGGGAAATATCTTCCCGTAACAACTATGCAGAAGCATTCTCAGAAACTTGTTTGTGATGTGTGCCCTCTACTGACAGAGTTGAACCTTTCTTTTCATAGAGCAGTTTTGAAACACTCTTTTTGTAGAATCTGCAAGAGGATATTTGCATAGCTTTGAGGATTTCGTGGGAAACGGGATTGTCTTCAGGTAAAATCTAGACAGAAGCATTCTCAGAAACTTCTTTGGGATGTTTGCATTCAAGTCACAGAGTAGAACATTCCCTTTGGTAGAGCAGGTTTGAAACACTCTTTTTGTAGTATCTGGAAGTGGACATTTGGAGCGCTTTCAGGCCCATGTTGGAAAGGGAAATATCTTCCCGTAACAACTAGGCAGAAGCATTCTCAGAAACTTATTTGAGATGTGTGTACTCAACTAAGAGAATTGAACCACCGTTTTGAAGGAGCAGTTTTGAAACACTCTTTTTCTGGAATCTGCAAGAGTATATTTGCCTAGCCTTGAGGATTTCGTTGGAAACGGGATTGTCTTCAGAGAAAATCTAGACAGAAGCATTCTCAGAAACTTCTTTGGGATGCTTGCATTCAAGTCACAGAGTAGAACATTCCCTTTGGTAGAGCAGGTTTGAAACACTCTTTTTGTAGTATCTGGAAGTGGACATTTGGAGCGCTTTCAGGCCTACGTTGGAAAAGGAAATATCTTCCCATAACAACTAGACAGAAGCATTCTCAGAAACTAGTTTCTGATGTGTGTCCTCAACTAACACAGTTGAACATTTCTTTAGACAGAACAGTTTTGAAACACTCTTTTTGTGGAATCTGCAAGTGGCTATTTGGCTAGATTTGAGGATTTCGTTGGAAACGGGATTACATATAAAAAGCAGTCAGCGGCATTCTCAGAAAGTTCTTTGTGATGATTGCATTCAAGTCACAGAATTGAACATTCCCTTTCACAGAGCAGGTTTGAAACACTCTTTTTGTAGTGTGTGTAAGTGGACATTTGGAGCACTTACCGGCCTAAGGTGAAAAAGGAAATATCTTCCCATAAAAACTAGACAGAAGCATTCTCAGAAACTTACTCGTGATGTGTGTCCTCAACTAAAGGAGTAGAACCTTTCTTTTCATAGAGAAGTTTTGAAACGCTCTTTTTGTGGAATCTGCAAGTGGATATTTGGCTAGTTTTGAGGATTTCGTTGGAAGCGGGAATTCATACAAATTGCAGACTGCAGCGTTCTGAGAAACATCTTTGTGATGTTTGTATTCAGGACACAGAGTTGAACATTCCCTATCATAGAGTAGGTTGGAATCACTCCTTTTGTAGTATCTGGAAGTGGACATTTGGAGCGCTTTCAGGCCTATGTTGGAAAAGGAAATATCTTCCCATAACAACTAGACAGAAGCATTCTCAGAAACTTATTTGAGATGTGTGTACTCAACTAAGAGAATTGAACCACCGTTTTGAAGGAGCAGTTTGGAAACACTCTTTTTCTGGAATCTGCAAGTGGATATTTGGCTAGCTTTGGGGATTTCGCTGGAAGCGGGAATACATATAAAAAGCACACAGCAGCGTTCTGAGAAACTGCTTTCTGATGTTTGCATTCAAGTCAAAAGTTGAACACTCCCTTTCATAGAGCAGTCTTGAAACACCCCTTTTGTAGTATCTGGAACTGGACATTTGGAGCGCTTTCAGGGCTAAGTTGAAAAAGGAAATATCTTCCCATAAAAACTGGACAGAAGCATTCTCAGAAACTTGTTTATGCTATATCTACTCAACTAACAAAGTTGAACCTTTCTTTTGATAGAGCAGTTTTGAAATGCTCTTTTTGTGGAATCTGCAAGTGGATATTTGGCTAGCTTTGAGGATTTCGTTGGAAGCGGGAATTCATACAAATTGCAGACTGCAGCGTTCTGAGAAACATCTTTGTGATGTTTGTATTCAGGACACAGAGTTGAACATTCCCTATCATAGAGCAGGTTGGAATCACTCCTTTTGTAGTATCTGGAAGTGGACATTTGGAGCGCTTTCAGGCCTATGTTGAAAAAGGAAATATCTTCCCATAACAAGTAGACACAAGCATTCTCAGAAACTTGTTTGTGATGTGTGCCCTCTACTGACAGAGTTGAACCTTTCTTTTCATAGAGCAGTTTCGAAACACTCTTTTTGTAGAATCTGCAAGAGGATATTTGCATAGCTTTGAGGATTTCGTGGGAAACGGGATTGTCTTCAGGTAAAATCTAGACAGAAGCATTCTCAGAAAATTCTTCGGGATGTTTGCATTCAAGTCACAGAGTAGAACATTCCCTTTGGTAGAGCAGGTTTGAAACACTCTTTTTGTAGTATCTGGAAGTGGACATTTGGAGCGCTTTCAGGCCTATGTTGGAAAGGGAAATATCTTCCCGTAACAACTAGGCAGAAGCATTCTCAGAAACTTATTTGAGATGTGTGTACTCAACTAAGAGAATTGAACCACCGTTTTGAAGGAGCAGTTTTGAAACACTCTTTTTCTGGAATCTGCAAGAGGATATTTGCATAGATTTGAGGATTTCGTTGGCAACGGGATTGTCTTCAGATCCAATCTAGACAGAAGCATTCTCAGAAACTTCTTTGGGATGTTTGCATTCAAGTCACAGAGTAGAACATTCCCTTTGGTAGAGCAGGTTTGAAACACTCTTTTTTTAGTATATGGAAGTGGACATTTGGAGCGCTTTCAGGCCTACGTTGGAAAAGGAAATATCTTCCCATAACAACTAGACAGAAGCATTCTCAGAAACTAGTTTCTGATGTGTGTCCTCAACTAACACAGTTGAACATTTCTTTAGACAGAACAGTTTTGAAACACTCTCTTTGTGGAATCTGCAAGTGGATATTTGGCTAGATTTGAGGATTTCGTTGGAAACGGGATTACATATAAAAAGCAGACAGCAGCATTCTCAGAAACTTCTTTGTGATGATTGCATTCAAGTCACAGAATTGAACATTCCCTTTCACAGAGCAGGTTTGAAACACTCTTTTTGTAGTGTGTGTAAGTGGACATTTGGAGCGCTTTCCGGCCTAAGGTGAAAAAGGACATATCTTCCCATAAAAACTAGACAGAAGCATTCTCAGAAACTTACTCGTGATGTGTGTCCTCAACTAAAGGAGTAGAACCTTTCTTTTCATAGAGAAGTTTTGAAACGCTCTTTTTGTGGAATCTGCAAGTGGATATTTGGCTAGTTTTGAGGATTTCGTTGGAAGCGGGAATTCATACAAATTGCAGACTGCAGCGTTCTGAGAAACATCTTTGTGATGTTTGTATTCAGGACACAGAGTTGAACATTCCCTATCATAGAGCAGGTTTGAATCACTCCTTTTGTAGTATCTGGAAGTGTCCATTTGGAGCCCTTTCAGGCCTATGTTGGAAAAGGAAATATCTTCCCATAACAAATAGACAGAAGCATTCTCAGAAACTTATTTGAGATGTGTGTACTCAACTAAGAGAATTGAACCACCGTTTTGAAGGAGCAGTTTTGAAACACTCTTTTTCTGGAATCTGCAAGTGGATATTTGGCTAGCTTTGGGGATTTCGCTGGAAGCGGGAATACATATAAAAAGCACACAGCAGCGTTCTGAGAAACTGCTTTCTGATGTTTGCATTCAAGTCAAAAGTTGAACACTCCCTTTCATAGAGCAGTCTTGAAACACCCCTTTTGTAGTATCTGGAACTGGACTTTTGGAGCGATTTCAGGGCTAAGGTGAAAAAGGAAATATCTTCCCATAAAAACTGGACAGAAGCATTCTCAGAAACTTGGTTATGCTGTATCTACTCAACTAACAAAGTTGAACCTTTCTTTTGATAGAGCAGTTTTGAAATGGTCTTTTTGTGGAATCTGCAAGTGGATATTTGGCTAGTTTTGAGGATTTCGTTGGAAGCGGGAATTCATACAAATTGCAGACTGCAGCGTTCTGAGAAACATCTTTGTGATGTTTGTATTCAGGACACAGAGTTGAACATTCCCTATCATAGAGCAGGTTGGAATCACTCCTTTTGTAGTATCTGGAAGTGGACATTTGGAGCGCTTTCAGGCCTATTTTGGAAAGGGAAATATCTTCCCGTAACAACTATGCAGAAGCATTCTCAGAAACTTGTTTGTGATGTGTGCCCTCTACTGACAGAGTTGAACCTTTCTTTTCATAGAGCAGTTTTGAAACACTCTTTTTGTAGAATCTGCAAGAGGATATTTGCATAGCTTTGAGGATTTCGTGGGAAACGGGATTGTCTTCAGGTAAAATCTAGACAGAAGCATTCTCAGAAACTTCTTTGGGATGTTTGCATTCAAGTCACAGAGTAGAACATTCCCTTTGGTAGAGCAGGTTTGAAACACTCTTTTTGTAGTATCTGGAAGTGGACATTTGGAGCGCTTTCAGGCCCATGTTGGAAAGGGAAATATCTTCCCGTAACAACTAGGCAGAAGCATTCTCAGAAACTTATTTGAGATGTGTGTACTCAACTAAGAGAATTGAACCACCGTTTTGAAGGAGCAGTTTTGAAACACTCTTTTTCTGGAATCTGCAAGAGTATATTTGCCTAGCCTTGAGGATTTCGTTGGAAACGGGATTGTCTTCAGAGAAAATCTAGACAGAAGCATTCTCAGAAACTTCTTTGGGATGTTTGCATTCAAGTCACAGAGTAGAACATTCCCTTTGGTAGAGCAGGTTTGAAACACTCTTTTTTTAGTATATGGAAGTGGACATTTGGATCGCTTTCAGGCCTACGTTGGAAAAGGAAATATCTTCCCATAACAACTAGACAGAAGCATTCTCAGAAACTAGTTTCTGATGTGTGTCCTCAACTAACACAGTTGAACATTTCTTTAGACAGAACAGTTTTGAAACACTCTTTTTGTGGAATCTGCAAGTGGCTATTTGGCTAGATTTGAGGATTTCGTTGGAAACGGGATTACATATAAAAAGCAGTCAGCAGCATTCTCAGAAAGTTCTTTGTGATGATTGCATTCAAGTCACAGAATTGAACATTCCCTTTCACAGAGCAGGTTTGAAACACTCTTTTTGTAGTGTGTGTAAGTGGACATTTGGAGCACTTACCGGCCTAAGGTGAAAAAGGAAATATCTTCCCATAAAAACTAGACAGAAGCATTCTCAGAAACTTACTCGTGATGTGTGTCCTCAACTAAAGGAGTAGAACCTTTCTTTTCATAGAGAAGTTTTGAAACGCTCTTTTTGTGGAATCTGCAAGTGGATATTTGGCTAGTTTTGAGGATTTCGTTGGAAGCGGGAATTCATACAAATTGCAGACTGCAGCGTTCTGAGAAACATCTTTGTGATGTTTGTATTCAGGACACAGAGTTGAACATTCCCTATCATAGAGCAGGTTGGAATCACTCCTTTTGTAGTATCTGGAAGTGGACATTTGGAGCGCTTTCAGGCCTATGTTGAAAAAGGAAATATCTTTCCATAACAACTAGACACAAGCATTCTCAGAAACTTATTTGAGATGTGTGTACTCAACTAAGAGAATTGAACCACCGTTTTGAAGGAGCAGTTTTGAAACACTCTTTTTCTGGAATCTGCAAGTGGATATTTGGCTAGCTTTGGGGATTTCGCTGGAGGCGGGAATACATATAAAAAGCACACAGCAGCGTTCTGAGAAACTGCTTTCTGATGTTTGCATTCAAGTCAAAAGTTGAACACTCCCTTTCATAGAGCAGTCCTGAAACACTCCTTTTGTAGTATCTGGAACTGGACTTTTGGAGCGCTTTCAGGGCTAAGGTGAAAAAGGAAATATCTTCCCATAAAAACTGGACAGAAGCATTCTCAGAAACTTTTTTATGCTGTATCTACTCAACTAACAAAGTTGAACCTTTCTTTTGATAGAGCAGTTTTGAAATGCTCTTTTTGTGGAATCTGCAAGTGGATATTTGGCTAGTTTTGAGGATTTCGTTGGAAGCGGGAATTCATACAAATTGCAGACTGCAGCGTTCTGAGAAACATCTTTGTGATGTTTGTATTCAGGACAGAGAGTTGAACATTCCCTATCATAGAGCAGGTTGGAATCACTCCTTTTGTAGTATCTGGAAGTGGACATTTGGAGCGCTTTCAGGCCTATGTTGAAAAAGGAAATATCTTCCCATAACAACTAGACACAAGCATTCTCAGAAACTTGTTTGTGATGTGTGCCCTCTACTGACAGAGTTGAACCTTTCTTTTCATAGAGCAGTTTTGAAACACTCTTTTTGTAGAATCTGCAAGAGGATATTAGCATAGCTTTGAGGATTTCGTGGGAAACGGGATTGTCTTCAGGTAAAATCTAGACAGAAGCATTCTCAGAAACTTCTTTGGGATGTTTGCATTCAAGTCACAGAGCAGAACATTCCCTTTGGTAGAGCAGGTTTGAAACACTCTTTTTGTAGTATCTGGAAGTGGACATTTGGAGCGCTTTCAGGCCTATGTTGGAAAGGGAAATATCTTCCCGTAACAACTAGGCAGAAGCATTCTCAGAAACTTATTTGAGATGTGTGTACTCAACTAAGAGAATTGAACCACCGTTTTGAAGGAGCAGTTTTGAAACACTCTTTTTCTGGAATCTGCAAGAGGATATTTGCCTAGCTTTGAGGATTTCGTTGGAAACGAGATTGTCTTCAGATCAAATCTAGACAGAAGCATTCTCAGAAACTTCTTTGGGATGTTTGCATTCAAGTCACAGAGTAGAACATTCCCTTTGGTAGAGCAGGTTTGAAACACTCTTTTTTTAGTATATGGAAGTGGACATTTGGAGCGCTTTCAGGCCTACGTTGGAAAAGGAAATATCTTCCCATAACAACTAGACAGAAGCATTCTCAGAAACTAGTTTCTGATGTGTGTCCTCAACTAACACAGTTGAACTTTTCTTTAGACAGAACAGTTTTGAAACACTCTTTTTGTGGAATCTGCAAGTGGATATTTGGCTAGATTTGAGGATTTCGTTGGAAACGGGATTACATATAAAAAGCAGACAGCAGCATTCTCACAAAGTTCTTTGTGATGATTGCATTCAAGTCACAGAATTGAACATTCCCTTTCACAGAGCAGGTTTGAAACACTCTTTTTGTAGTGTGTGTAAGTGGACATTTGGAGCGCTTTCCGGCCTAAGGTGGAAAAGGAAATATCTTCCCATAAAAACTAGACAGAAGCATTCTCAGAAACTTACTCGTGATGTGTGTCCTCAACTAAAGGAGTAGAACCTTTCTATTCATAGAGAAGTTTTGAAACGCTCTTTTTGTGGAATCTCCAAGTGGATATTTGGCTAGTTTTGAGGATTTCGTTGGAAGCGGGAATTCATACAAATTGCAGACTGCAGCGTTCTGAGAAACATCTTTGTGATGTTTGTATTCAGGACACAGAGATGAACATTCCCTATCATAGAGCAGGTTGGAATCACTCCTTTTGTAGTATCTGGAAGTGGACATTTGGAGCGCTTTCAGGCCTATGTTGAAAAAGGAAATATCTTCCCATAACAACTAGACACAAGCATTCTCAGAAACTTATTTGAGATGTGTGTACTCAACTAAGAGAATTGAACCACCGTTTTGAAGGAGCAGTTTTGAAACTCTCTTTTTCTGGAATCTGCAAGTGGATATTTGGCTAGCTTTGGGGATTTCGCTGGAAGCGGGAATACATATAAAAAGCACACAGCAGCGTTCTGAGAAACTGCTTTCTGATGTTTGCATTCAAGTCAAAAGTTGAACACTCCCTTTCATAGAGCAGTCCTGAAACACCCCTTTTGTAGTATCTGGAACTGGACTTTTGGAGCGATTTCAGGGCTAAGGTGAAAAAGGAAATATCTTCCCATAAAAACTGGACAGAAGCATTCTCAGAAACTTGTTTATGCTGTATCTACTCAACTAACAAAGTTGAACCTTTCTTTTGATAGAGCAGTTTTGAAATGGTCTTTTTGTGGAATCTGCAAGTGGATATTTGGCTAGTTTTGAGGATTTCGTTGGAAGCGGGAATTCATACAAATTGCAGACTGCAGCGTTCTGAGAAACATCTTTGTGATGTTTGTATTCAGGACACAGAGTTGAACATTCCCTATCATAGAGCAGGTTGGAATCACTCCTTTTGTAGTATCTGGAAGTGGACATTTGGAGCGCTTTCAGGCCTATTTTGGAAAGGGAAATATCTTCCCGTAACAACTATGCAGAAGCATTCTCAGAAACTTGTTTGTGATGTGTGCCCTCTACTGACAGAGTTGAACCTTTCTTTTCATAGAGCAGTTTTGAAACACTCTTTTTGTAGAATCTGCAAGAGGATATTTGCATAGCTTTGAGGATTTCGTGGGAAACGGGATTGTCTTCAGGTAAAATCTAGACAGAAGCATTCTCAGAAACTTCTTTGGGATGTTTGCATTCAAGTCACAGAGTAGAACATTCCCTTTGGTAGAGCAGGTTTGAAACACTCTTTTTGTAGTATCTGGAAGTGGACATTTGGAGCGCTTTCAGGCCCATGTTGGAAAGGGAAATATCTTCCCGTAACAACTAGGCAGAAGCATTCTCAGAAACTTATTTGAGATGTGTGTACTCAACTAAGAGAATTTAACCACCGTTTTGAAGGAGCAGTTTTGAAACACTCTTTTTCTGGAATCTGCAAGAGTATATTTGCCTAGCCTTGAGGATTTCGTTGGAAACGGGATTGTCTTCAGAGAAAATCTAGACAGAAGCATTCTCAGAAACTTCTTTGGGATGTTTGCATTCAAGTCACAGAGTAGAACATTCCCTTTGGTAGAGCAGGTTTGAAACACTCTTTTTTTAGTATATGGAAGTGGACATTTGGATCGCTTTCAGGCCTACGTTGGAAAAGGAAATATCTTCCCATAACAACTAGACAGAAGCATTCTCAGAAACTAGTTTCTGATGTGTGTCCTCAACTAACACAGTTGAACATTTCTTTAGACAGAACAGTTTTGAAACACTCTTTTTGTGGAATCTGCAAGTGGCTATTTGGCTGGATTTGAGGATTTCGTTGGAAACGGGATTACATATAAAAAGCAGTCAGCAGCATTCTCAGAAACTTCTTTGTGATGATTGCATTCAAGTCACAGTATTGAACATTCCCTTTCACAGAGCAGGTTTGAAACACTCTTTGTATAGTGTGTGTAAGTGGACATTTGGAGCACTTTCCGGCCTAAGGTGAAAAAGGAAATATCTTCCCATAAAAACTAGACAGAAGCATTCTCAGAAACTTACTCGTGATGTGTGTCCTCAACTAAAGAAGTAGAACCTTTCTTTTCATAGATAAGTTTTGAAACGCTCTTTTTGTGGAATCTGCAAGTGGATATTTGGCTAGTTTTGAGGATTTCGTTGGAAGCGGGAATTCATACAAATTGCAGACTGCAGCATTCTCAGAAACTTATTTGAGATGTGTGTACTCAACTAAGAGAATTGAACCACCGTTTTGAAGGAGCAGTTTTGAAACACTCTTTTTCTGGAATCTGCAAGTGGATATTTGGCTAGCTTTGGGGATTTCGCTGGAAGCGGGAATACATATAAAAAGCACACAGCAGCGTTCTGAGAAACTGCTTTCTGATGTTTGCATTCAAGTCAAAAGTTGAACACTCCCTTTCATAGAGCAGTCTTGAAACACCCCTTTTGTAGTATCTGGAACTGGACTTTTGGAGCGATTTCAGGGCTAAGGTGAAAAAGGAAATATCTTCCCATAAAAACTGGACAGAAGCATTCTCAGAAACTTGGTTATGCTGTATCTACTCAACTAACAAAGTTGAACCTTTCTTTTGATAGAGCAGTTTTGAAATGGTCTTTTTGTGGAATCTGCAAGTGGATATTTGGCTAGTTTTGAGGATTTCGTTGGAAGCGGGAATTCATACAAATTGCAGACTGCAGCGTTCTGAGAAACATCTTTGTGATGTTTGTATTCAGGACACAGAGTTGAACATTCCCTATCATAGAGCAGGTTGGAATCACTCCTTTTGTAGTATCTGGAAGTGGACATTTGGAGCGCTTTCAGGCCTATTTTGGAAAGGGAAATATCTTCCCGTAACAACTATGCAGAAGCATTCTCAGAAACTTGTTTGTGATGTGTGCCCTCTACTGACAGAGTTGAACCTTTCTTTTCATAGAGCAGTTTTGAAACACTCTTTTTGTAGAATCTGCAAGAGGATATTTGCATAGCTTTGAGGATTTCGTGGGAAACGGGATTGTCTTCAGGTAAAAATCTAGACAGAAGCATTCTCAGAAACTTCTTTGGGATGTTTGCATTCAAGTCACAGAGTAGAACATTCCCTTTGGTAGAGCAGGTTTGAAACACTCTTTTTATAGTATCTGGAAGTGGACATTTGGAGCGCTTTCAGGCCTATGTTGGAAAGGGAAATATACTTCCCGTAACAACTAGGCAGAAGCATTCTCAGAAACTTATTTGAGATGTGTGTACTCAACTAAGAGAATTGAACCACCGTTTTGAAGGAGCAGTTTTGAAACACTCTTTTTCTGGAATCTGCAAGAGTATATTTGCCTAGCCTTGAGGATTTCGTTGGAAACGGGATTGTCTTCAGATAAAATCTAGACAGAAGCATTCTCAGAAACTTCTTTGGGATGTTTGCATTCAAGTCACAGAGTAGAACATTCCCTTTGGTAGAGCAGGTTTGAAACACTCTTTTTTTAGTATATGGAAGTGGACATTTGGAGCGCTTTCAGGCCTACGTTGGAAAAGGAAATATCTTCCCATAACAACTAGACAGAAGCATTCTCAGAAACTAGTTTCTGATGTGTGTCCTCAACTAACACAGTTGAACTTTTCTTTAGACAGAACAGTTTTGAAACACTCTTTTTGTGGAATCTGCAAGTGGCTATTTGGCTAGATTTGAGGATTTCGTTGGAAACGGGATTACATATAAAAAGCAGACAGCAGCATTCTCAGAAAGTTCTTTGTGATGATTGCATTCAAGTCACAGAATTGAACATTCCCTTTCACAGAGCAGGTTTGAAACACTCTTTTTGTAGTGTGTGTAAGTGGACATTTGGAGCACTTACCGGCCTAAGGTGAAAAAGGAAATATCTTCCCATAAAAACTAGACAGAAGCATTCTCAGAAACTTACTCGTGATGTGTGTCCTCAACTAAAGGAGTAGAACCTTTCTTTTCATAGAGAAGTTTTGAAACGCTCTTTTTGTGGAATCTGCAAGTGGATATTTGGCTAGTTTTGAGGATTTCGTTGGAAGCGGGAATTCATACAAATTGCAGACTGCAGCGTTCTGAGAAACATCTTTGTGATGTTTGTATTCAGGACACAGAGTTGAACATTCCCTATCATAGAGCAGGTTGGAATCACTCCTTTTGTAGTATCTGGAAGTGGACATTTGGAGCGCTTTCAGGCCTATGTTGGAAAAGGAAATATCTTCCCATAACAACTAGACAGAAGCATTCTCAGAAACTTATTTGAGATGTGTGTACTCAACTAAGAGAATTGAACCACCGTTTTGAAGGAGCAGTTTTGAAACACTCTTTTTCTGGAATCTGCAAGTGGATATTTGGCTAGCTTTGGGGATTTCGCTGGAAGCGGGAATACATATAAAAAGCACACAGCAGCGTTCTGAGAAACTGCTTTCTGATGTTTGCATTCAAGTCAAAAGTTGAACACTCCCTTTCATAGAGCAGTCTTGAAACACCCCTTTTGTAGTATCTGGAACTGGACTTTTGGAGCGATTTCAGGGCTAAGGTGAAAAAGGAAATATCTTACCATAAAAACTGGACAGAAGCATTCTCAGAAACTTGGTTATGCTGTATCTACTCAACTAACAAAGTTGAACCTTTCTTTTGATAGAGCAGTTTTGAAATGGTCTTTTTGTGGAATCTGCAAGTGGATATTTGGCTAGTTTTGAGGATTTCGTTGGAAGCGGGAATTCATACAAATTGCAGACTGCAGCGTTCTGAGAAACATCTTTGTGATGTTTGTATTCAGGACACAGAGTTGAACATTCCCTATCATAGAGCAGGTTGGAATCACTCCTTTTGTAGTATCTGGAAGTGGACATTTGGAGCGCTTTCAGGCCTATTTTGGAAAGGGAAATATCTTCCCGTAACAACTATGCAGAAGCATTCTCAGAAACTTGTTTGTGATGTGTGCCCTCTACTGACAGAGTTGAACCTTTCTTTTCATAGAGCAGTTTTGAAACACTCTTTTTGTAGAATCTGCAAGAGGATATTTGCATAGCTTTGAGGATTTCGTGGGAAACGGGATTGTCTTCAGGTAAAATCTAGACAGAAGCATTCTCAGAAACTTCTTTGGGATGTTTGCATTCAAGTCACAGAGTAGAACATTCCCTTTGGTAGAGCAGGTTTGAAACACTCTTTTTGTAGTATCTGGAAGTGGACATTTGGAGCGCTTTCAGGCCCATGTTGGAAAGGGAAATATCTTCCCGTAACAACTAGGCAGAAGCATTCTCAGAAACTTATTTGAGATGTGTGTACTCAACTAAGAGAATTGAACCACCGTTTTGAAGGAGCAGTTTTGAAACACTCTTTTTCTGGAATCTGCAAGAGTATATTTGCCTAGCCTTGAGGATTTCGTTGGAAACGGGATTGTCTTCAGAGAAAATCTAGACAGAAGCATTCTCAGAAACTTCTTTGGGATGTTTGCATTCAAGTCACAGAGTAGAACATTCCCTTTGGTAGAGCAGGTTTGAAACACTCTTTTTTTAGTATATGGAAGTGGACATTTTGATCGCTTTCAGGCCTACGTTGGAAAAGGAAATATCTTCCCATAACAACTAGACAGAAGCATTCTCAGAAACTAGTTTCTGATGTGTGTCCTCAACTAACACAGTTGAACATTTCTTTAGACAGAACAGTTTTGAAACACTCTTTTTGTGGAATCTGCAAGTGGCTATTTGGCTAGATTTGAGGATTTCGTTGGAAACGGGATTACATATAAAAAGCAGTCAGCAGCATTCTCAGAAAGTTCTTTGTGATGATTGCATTCAAGTCACAGAATTGAACATTCCCTTTCACAGAGCAGGTTTGAAACACTCTTTTTGTAGTGTGTGTAAGTGGACATTTGGAGCACTTACCGGCCTAAGGTGAAAAAGGAAATATCTTCCCATAAAAACTAGACAGAAGCATTCTCAGAAACTTACTCGTGATGTGTGTCCTCAACTAAAGGAGTAGAACCTTTCTTTTCATAGAGAAGTTTTGAAACGCTCTTTTTGTGGAATCTGCAAGTGGATATTTGGCTAGTTTTGAGGATTTCGTTGGAAGCGGGAATTCATACAAATTGCAGACTGCAGCGTTCTGAGAAACATCTTTGTGATGTTTGTATTCAGGACACAGAGTTGAACATTCCCTATCATAGAGCAGGTTTGAATCACTCCTTTTGTAGTATCTGGAAGTGGACATTTGGAGTGCTTTCAGGCCTATGTTGGAAAAGGAAATATCTTCCCATAACAACTAGACAGAAGCATTCTCAGAAACTTATTTGAGATGTGTGTACTCAACTAAGAGAATTGAACCACCGTTTTGAAGGAGCAGTTTTGAAACACTCTTTTTCTGGAATCTGCAAGTGGATATTTGGCTAGCTTGGGGATTTCGCTGGAAGCGGGAATACATATAAAAAGCACACAGCAGCGTTCTGAGAAACTGCTTTCTGATGTTTGCATTCAAGTCAAAAGTTGAACACTCCCTTTCATAGAGCAGTCTTGAAACACCCCTTTTGTAGTATCTGGAACTGGACTTTTGGAGCGATTTCAGGGCTAAGGTGAAAAAGGAAATATCTTCCCATAAAAACTGGACAGAAGCATTCTCAGAAACTTGTTTATGCTGTATCTACTCAACTAACAAAGTTGAACCTTTCTTTTGATAGAGCAGGTTTTGAAATGGTCTTTTTGTGGAATCTGCAAGTGGATATTTGGCTAGTTTTGAGGATTTCATTGGAAGCGGGAATTCATACAAATTGCAGACTGCAGCGTTCTGAGAAACATCTTTGTGATGTTTGTATTCAGGACACAGAGTTGAACATTCCCTATCATAGAGCAGGTTGGAATCACTCCTTTTGTAGTATCTGGAAGTGGACATTTGGAGCGCTTTCAGGCCTATTTTGGAAAGGGAAATATCTTCCCGTAACAACTATGCAGAAGCATTCTCAGAAACTTGTTTGTGATGTGTGCCCTCTACTGACAGAGTTGAACCTTTCTTTTCATAGAGCAGTTTTGAAACACTCTTTTTGTAGAATCTGCAAGAGGATATTTGCATAGCTTTGAGGATTTCGTGGGAAACGGGATTGTCTTCAGGTAAAATCTAGACAGAAGCATTCTCAGAAACTTCTTTGGGATGTTTGCATTCAAGTCACAGAGTAGAACATTCCCTTTGGTAGAGCAGGTTTGAAACACTCTTTTTGTAGTATCTGGAAGTGGACATTTGGAGCGCTTTCATGCCCATGTTGGAAAGGGAAATATCTTCCCGTAACAACTAGGCAGAAGCATTCTCAGAAACTTATTTGAGATGTGTGTACTCAACTAAGAGAATTGAACCACCGTTTTGAAGGAGCAGTTTTGAAACACTCTTTTTCTGGAATCTGCAAGAGTATATTTGCCTAGCCTTGAGGATTTCGTTGGAAACGGGATTGTCTTCAGAGAAAATCTAGACAGAAGCATTCTCAGAAACTTCTTTGGGATGTTTGCATTCAAGTCACAGAGTAGAACATTCCCTTTGGTAGAGCAGGTTTGAAACACTCTTTTTTTAGTATATGGAAGTGGACATTTGGAGCGCTTTCAGGCCTACGTTGGAAAAGGAAATATCTTCCCATAACAACTAGACAGAAGCATTCTCAGAAACTAGTTTCTGATGTGTGTCCTCAACTAACACAGTTGTACATTTCTTTAGACAGAACAGTTTTGAAACACTCTTTTTGTGGAATCTGCAAGTGGATATTGGGCTAGATTTGAGGATTTCGTTGGAAACGGGATTACATATAAATAGCAGTCAGCAGCATTCTCAGAAAGTTCTTTGTGATGATTGCATTCAAGTCACAGAATTGAACATTCCCTTTCATAGAGCAGGTTTGAAACACTCTTTTTGTAGTGTGTGTAAGTGGACATTTGGAGCGCTTTCCAGCCTAAGGTGAAAAAGGACATATCTTCCCATAAAAACTAGACAGAAGCATTCTCAGAAACTTACTCGTGATGTGTGTCCTCAACTAAAGGAGTAGAACCTTTCTATTGATAGAGAAGTTTTGAAACGCTCTTTTTGTGGAATCTCCAAGTGGATATTTGGCTAGTTTTGAGGATTTCGTTGGAAGCGGGAATTCATACAAATTGCAGACTGCAGCATTCTCAGAAACTTATTTGAGATGTGTGTACTCAACTAAGAGAATTGAACCACCGTTTTGAAGGAGCAGTTTTGAAACACTCTTTTTCTGGAATCTGCAAGTGGATATTTGGCTAGCTTTGGGGATTTCGCTGGAGGCGGGAATACATATAAAAAGCACACAGCAGCGTTCTGAGAAACTGCTTTCTGATGTTTGCATTCAAGTCAAAAGTTGAACACTCCCTTTCATAGAGCAGTCCTGAAACACTCCTTTTGTAGTATCTGGAACTGGACTTTTGGAGCGCTTTCAGGGCTAAGGTGAAAAAGGAAATATCTTCCCATAAAAACTGGACAGAAGCATTCTCAGAAACTTGTTTATGCTGTATCTACTCTACTAAAAAAGTTGAACCTTTCTTTTGATAGAGCAGTTTTGAAATGCTCTTTTTGTGGAATCTGCAAGTGGATATTTGGCTAGATTTGAGGATTTCGTTGGAAGCTGGAATACATACAAATTGCAGACTGCAGCGTTCTGAGAAACATCTTTGTGATGTTTGTATTCAGGACAGAGAGTTGAACATTCCCTATCATAGAGCAGGTTGGAATCACTCCTTTTGTAGTATCTGGAAGTGGACATTTGGAGCGCTTTCAGGCCTATGTTGAAAAAGGAAATATCTTCCCATAACAACTAGACACAAGCATTCTCAGAAACTTGTTTGTGATGTGTGCCCTCTACTGACAGAGTTGAACCTCTCTTTTCATAGAGCAGTTTTGAAACACTCTTTTTGTAGAATCTGCAAGAGGATATTTGCATAGCTTTGAGGATTTCGTGGGAAACGGGATTGTCTTCAGGTAAAATCTAGACAGAAGCATTCTCAGAAACTTCTTTGGGATGTTTGCATTCAAGTCACAGAGTAGAACATTCCCTTTGGTAGAGCAGGTTTGAAACACTCTTTTTGTAGTATCTGGAAGTGGACATTTGGAGCGCTTTCAGGCCTATGTTGGAAAGGGAAATATCTTCCCGTAACAACTAGGCAGAAGCATTCTCAGAAACTTATTTGAGATGTGTGTACTCAACTAAGAGAATTGAACCACCGTTTTGAAGGAGCAGTTTTGAAACACTCTTTTTCTGGAATCTGCAAGAGGATATTTGCCTAGCCTTGAGGATTTCGTTGGAAACGGGATTGTCTTCAGATCAAATCTAGACAGAAGCATTCTCAGAAACTTCTTTGGGATGTTTGCATTCAAGTCACAGAGTAGAACATTCCCTTTGGTAGAGCAGGTTTGAAACACTCTTTTTTTAGTATATGGAAGTGGACATTTGGAGCGCTTTCAGGCCTACGTTGGAAAAGGAAATATCTTCCCATAACAACTAGACAGAAGCATTCTCAGAAACTAGTTTCTGATGTGTGTCCTCAACTAACACAGTTGAACATTTCTTTAGACAGAACAGTTTTGAAACACTCTTTTTGTGGTATCTGCAAGTGGCTATTTGGCCAGATTTGAGGATTTCGTTGGAAACGGGATTACATATAAAAAGCAGACAGCAGCATTCTCAGAAACTTCTTTGTGATGATTGCATTCAAGTCACAGTATTGAACATTCCCTTTCACAGAGCAGGTTTGAAACACTCTTTGTATAGTGTGTGTAAGTGGACATTTGGAGCACTTTCCGGCCTAAGGTGAAAAAGGAAATATCTTCCCATAAAAACTAGACAGAAGTATTCTCAGAAACTTACTCGTGATGTGTGTCCTCAACTAAAGGAGTAGAACCTTTCTTTTCATAGAGAAGTTTTGAAACGCTCTTTTTGTGGAATCTGCAAGTGGATATTTGGCTAGTTTTGAGGATTTCGTTGGAAGCGGGAATTCATACAAATTGCAGACTGCAGCGTTCTGAGAAACATCTTTGTGATGTTTGTATTCAGGACACAGAGTTGAACGTTCCCTATCATAGAGCAGGTTTGAATCACTCCTTTTGTAGTATCTGGAAGTGGACATTTGGAGCGCTTTCCGGCCTCAGGTGAAAAAGGAAATATCTTCCCATAAAAACTAGACAGAAGCATTCTCAGAAACTTACTCGTGATGTGTGTCCTCAACTAAAGGGGTAGAACCTTTCTTTTGATAGAGCAGTTTTGAAACACTCTTTTTGTAGAATCTGCAAGTGGATATTTCGATAGCTTTGTGGATTTCGTTGGAAACGGGAATATCCTCATATAAAAATCTAGAGAGAAGCGTTCTGAGAAACATCTTTGTGATGTTTCTATTCAGGACACAGAGATGAACATTCCCTATCATAGAGCAGGTTGGAATCACTCCCTTTGTAGTATCTGGAAGTGGACATTTGGAGCGCTTTCAGGCCTATGTTGAAAAAGGAAATATCTTCCCATAACAACTAGACACAAGCATTCTCAGAAACTTGTTTGTGATGTGTGCCCTCTACTGACAGAGTTGAACCTTTCTTTTCATAGAGCAGTTTTGAAACACTCTTTTTGTAGAATCCGCAAGAGGATATTTGCATAGCTTTGAGGATTTCGTGGGAAACGGGATTGTCTTCAGGTAAAATCTAGACAGAAGCATTCTCAGAAACTTCTTTGGGATGTTTGCATTCAAGTCACAGAGTAGAACATTCCCTTTGGTAGAGCAGGTTTGAAACACTCTTTTTGTAGTATCTGGAAGTGGACATTTGGAGCGCTTTCAGGCCTATGTTGGAAAGGGAAATATCTTCCCGTAACAACTAGGCAGAAGCATTCTCAGAAACTTATTTGAGATGTGTGTACTCAACTTAAGAGAATTGAACCACCTTTTGAAGGAGCAGTTTTGAAACACTCTTTTTCTGGAATCTGCAAGAGGATATTTGCATAGCTTTGAGGATTTCGTTGGAAACGGGATTGTCTTCAGATCAAATCTAGACAGAAGCATTCTCAGAAACTTCTTTGGGATGTTTGCATTCAAGTCACAGAGTAGAACATTCCCTTTGGTAGAGCAGGTTTGAAACACTCTTTTTTTAGTATATGGAAGTGGACATTTGGAGCGCTTTCAGGCCTACGTTGGAAAAGGAAATATCTTCCCATAACAACTAGACAGAAGCATTCTCAGAAACTAGTTTCTGATATGTGTCCTCAACTAACACAGTTGAACATTTCTTTAGACAGAACAGTTTTGAAACACTCTTTTTGTGGTATCTGCAAGTGGCTATTTGGCTAGATTTGAGGATTTCGTTGGAAACGGGATTACATATAAAAAGCAGACAGCAGCATTCTCAGAAACTTCTTTGTGATGATTGCATTCAAGTCACAGTATTGAACATTCCCTTTCACAGAGCAGGTTTGAAACACTCTTTGTATAGTGTGTGTAAGTGGACATTTGGAGCACTTTCCGGCCTAAGGTGAAAAAGGAAATATCTTCCCATAAAAACTAGACAGAAGCATTCTCAGAAACTTACTCGTGATGTGTGTCCTCAACTAAAGGAGTAGAACCTTTCTTTTCATAGAGAAGTTTTGAAACGCTCTTTTTGTGGAATCTGCAAGTGGATATTTGGCTAGTTTTGAGGATTTCGTTGGAAGCGGGAATTCATACAAATTGCAGACTGCAGCGTTCTGAGAAACATCTTTGTGATGTTTGTATTCAGGACAGAGAGTTGAACATTCCCTATCATAGAGCAGGTTTGAATCACTCCTTTTGTAGTATCTGGAAGTGGACATTTGGAGCGCTTTCAGGCCTATGTTGGAAAAGGAAATATCTTCCCATAACAACTAGACAGAAGCATTCTCAGAAACTTATTTGAGATGTGTGTACTCAACTAAGAGAATTGAACCACCGTTTTGAAGGAGCAGTTTTGAAACACTCTTTTTCTGGAATCTGCAAGTGGATATTTGGCTAGCTTTGGGGATTTCGCTGGAAGCGGGAATACATATAAAAAGCACACAGCAGCGTTCTGAGAAACTGCTTTCTGATGTTTGCATTCAAGTCAAAAGTTGAACACTCCCTTTCATAGAGCAGTCCTGAAACACCCCTTTTGTAGTATCTGGAACTGGACTTTTGGAGCGATTTCAGGGCTAAGGTGAAAAAGGAAATATCTTCCCATAAAAACTGGACAGAAGCATTCTCAGAAACTTGTTTATGCTGTATCTACTCAACTAACAAAGTTGAACCTTTCTTTTGATAGAGCAGTTTTGAAATGCTCTTTTTGTGGAATCTGCAAGTGGATATTTGGCTAGTTTGGAGGATTTCGTTGGAAGCGGGAATTCATACAAATTGCAGACTGCAGCGTTCTGAGAAACATCTTTGTGATGTTTGTATTCAGGACAGAGAGTTGAACATTCCCTATCATAGAGCAGGTTGGAATCACTCCTTTTGTAGTATCTGGAAGTGGACATTTGGAGCGCTTTCAGGCCTATGTTGAAAAAGGAAATATCTTCCCATAACAACTAGACACAAGCATTCTCAGAAACTTGTTTGTGATGTGTGCCCTCTACTGACAGAGTTGAACCTTTCTTTTCATAAAGCAGTTTTGAAACACTCTTTTTGTAGAATCTGCAAGAGGATATTTGCATAGCTTTGAGGATTTCGTGGGAAACGGGATTGTCTTCAGGTAAAATCTAGACAGAAGCATTCTCAGAAACTTCTTTGGGATGTTTGCATTCAAGTCACAGAGCAGAACATTCCCTTTGGTAGAGCAGGTTTGAAACACTCTTTTTGTAGTATCTGGAAGTGGACATTTGGAGCGCTTTCAGGCCTATGTTGGAAAGGGAAATATCTTCCCGTAACAACTAGGCAGAAGCATTCTCAGAAACTTATTTGAGATGTGTGTACTCAACTAAGAGAATTGAACCACCGTTTTGAAGGAGCAGTTTTGAAACACTCTTTTTCTGGACTCTGCAAGAGGATATTTGCCTAGCCTTGAGGATTTCGTTGGAAACGGGATTGTCTTCAGATCAAATCTAGACAGAAGCATTCTCAGAAACTTCTTTGGGATGTTTGCATTCATGTCACAGAGTAGAACATTCCCTTTGGTAGAGCAGGTTTGAAACACTCTTTTTTTAGTATATGGAAGTGGACATTTGGAGCGCTTTCAGGCCTACGTTGGAAAAGGAAATATCTTCCCATAACAACTAGACAGAAGCATTCTCAGAAACTAGTTTCTGATGTGTGTCCTCAACTAACACAGTTGAACATTTCTTTAGACAGAACAGTTTTGAAACACTCTTTTTGTGGAATCTGCAAGTGGCTATTTGGCTAGATTTGAGGATTTCGTTGGAAACGGGATTACATATAAAAAGCAGACAGCAGCATTCTCAGAAAGTTCTTTGTGATGATTGCATTCAAGTCACAGAATTGAACATTTCCTTTCACAGAGCAGGTTTGAAACACTCTTTTTATAGTGTGTGTAAGTGGACATTTGGAGCACTTACCGGCCTAAGGTGAAAAAGGAAATATCTTCCCATAAAAACTAGACAGAAGCATTCTCAGAAACTTACTCGTGATGTGTGTCCTCAACTAAAGGAGTAGAACCTTTCTTTTCATAGAGAAGTTTTGAAACGCTCTTTTTGTGGAATCTGCAAGTGGATATTTGGCTAGTTTTGAGGATTTCGTTGGAAGCGGGAATTCATACAAATTGCAGACTGCAGCGTTCTGAGAAACATCTTTGTGATGTTTGTATTCAGGACACAGAGTTGAACATTCCCTATCATAGAGCAGGTTGGAATCACTCCTTTTGTGGTATCTGGAAGTGGACATTTGGAGCGCTTTCAGGCCTATGTTGGAAAAGGAAATATCTTCCCATAACAACTAGACAGAAGCATTCTCAGAAACTTATTTGAGATGTGTGTACTCAACTAAGAGAATTGAACCACCGTTTTGAAGGAGCAGTTTTGAAACACTCTTTTTCTGGAATCTGCAAGTGGATATTTGGCTAGCTTTGGGGATTTCGCTGGAAGCGGGAATACATATAAAAAGCACACAGCAGCGTTCTGAGAAACTGCTTTCTGATGTTTGCATTCAAGTCAAAAGTTGAACACTCCCTTTCATAGAGCAGTCCTGAAACACTCCTTTTGTAGTATCTGGAACTGGACTTTTGGAGCGCTTTCAGGGCTAAGGTGAAAAAGGAAATATCTTCCCATAAAAACTGGACAGAAGCATTCTCAGAAACTTGTTTATGCTGTATCTACTCTGCTAACAAAGTTGAAGCTTTCTTTTGATAGAGCAGTTTTGAAATGCTCTTTTTGTGGAATCTGCAAGTGGATATTTGGCTAGATTTGAGGATTTCGTTGGAAGCTGGAATTCATACAAATTGCAGACTGCAGCATTCTCAGAAACTTATTTGAGATGTGTGTACTCAACTAAGAGAATTGAACCACCGTTTTGAAGGAGCAGTTTTGAAACACTCTTTTTCTGGAATCTGCAAGTGGATATTTGGCTAGCTTTGGGGATTTCGCTGGAAGCGGGAATACATATAAAAAGCACACAGCAGCGTTCTGAGAAACTGCTTTCTGATGTTTGCATTCAAGTCAAAAGTTGAACACTCCCTTTCATAGAGCAGTCCTGAAACACTCCTTTTGTAGTATCTGGAACTGGACTTTTGGAGCGCTTTCAGGGCTAAGGTGAAAAAGGAAATATCTTCCCATAAAAACTGGACAGAAGCATTCTCAGAAACTTGTTTATGCTGTATCTACTCAACTAACAAAGTTGAACCTTTCTTTTGATAGAGCAGTTTTGAAATGCTCTTTTTGTGGAATCTGCAAGTGGATATTTGGCTAGTTTTGAGGATTTCGTTGGAAGCGGGAATTCATACAAATTGCAGACTGCAGCGTTCTGAGAAACATCTTTGTGATGTTTGTATTCAGGACACAGAGTTGAACATTCCCTATCATAGAGCAGGTTGGAATCACTCCTTTTGTAGTATCTGGAAGTGGACATTTGGAGCGCTTTCAGGCCTATGTTGGAAAAGGAAATATCTTCCCATAACAACTAGACAGAAGCATTCTCAGAAACTTATTTGAGATGTGTGTACTCAACTAAGAGAATTGAACCACCGTTTTGAAGGAGCAGTTTTGAAACTCTCTTTTTCTGGAATCTGCAAGTGGATATTTGGCTAGCTTTGGGGATTTCGCTGGAAGCGGGAATACATATAAAAAGCACACAGCAGCGTTCTGAGAAACTGCTTTCTGATGTTTGCATTCAAGTCAAAAGTTGAACACTCCCTTTCATAGAGCAGTCTTGAAACACCCCTTTTGTAGTATCTGGAACTGGACTTTTGGAGCGATTTCAGGGCTAAGGTGAAAAAGGAAATATCTTCCCATAAAAACTGGACAGAAGCATTCTCAGAAACTTGTTTATGCTGTATCTACTCAACTAACAAAGTTGAACCTTTCTTTTGATAGAGCAGTTTTGAAATGGTCTTTTTGTGGAATCTGCAAGTGGATATTTGGCTAGTTTTGAGGATTTCGTTGGAAGCGGGAATTCATACAAATTGCAGACTGCAGCGTTCTGAGAAACATCTTTGTGATGTTTGTATTCAGGACACAGAGTTGAACATTCCCTATCATAGAGCAGGTTGGAATCACTCCTTTTGTAGTATCTGGAAGTGGACATTTGGAGCGCTTTCAGGCCTATTTTGGAAAGGGAAATATCTTCCCGTAACAACTATGCAGAAGCATTCTCAGAAACTTGTTTGTGATGTGTGCCCTCTACTGACAGAGTTGAACCTTTCTTTTCATAGAGCAGTTTTGAAACACTCTTTTTGTAGAATCTGCAAGAGGATATTTGCATAGCTTTGAGGATTTCGTGGGAAACGGGATTGTCTCAGGAAAAATCTAGACAGAAGCATTCTCAGAAACTTCTTTGGGATGTTTGCATTCAAGTCACAGAGTAGAACATTCCCTTTGGTAGAGCAGGTTTGAAACACTCTTTTTGTAGTATCTGGAAGTGGACATTTGGAGCGCTTTCAGGCCCATGTTGGAAAGGGAAATATCTTCCCGTAACAACTAGGCAGAAGCATTCTCAGAAACTTATTTGAGATGTGTGTACTCAACTAAGAGAATTGAACCACCGTTTTGAAGGAGCAGTTTTGAAACCCTCTTTTTCTGGAATCTGCAAGAGTATATTTGCCTAGCCTTGAGGATTTCGTTGGAAACGGGATTGTCTTCAGATAAAATCTAGACAGAAGCATTCTCAGAAACTTCTTTGGGATGTTTGCATTCAAGTCACAGAGTAGAACATTCCCTTTGGTAGAGCAGGTTTGAAACACTCTTTTTTTAGTATATGGAAGTGGACATTTGGAGCGCTTTCAGGCCTACGTTGGAAAAGGAAATATCTTCCCATAACAACTAGACAGAAGCATTCTCAGAAACTAGTTTCTGATGTGTGTCCTCAACTAACACAGTTGTACATTTCTTTAGACAGAACAGTTTTGAAACACTCTTTTTGTGGAATCTGCAAGTGGATATTGGGCTAGATTTGAGGATTTCGTTGGAAACGGGATTACATATAAAAAGCAGTCAGCAGCATTCTCAGAAAGTTCTTTGTGATGATTGCATTCAAGTCACAGTAATTGAACATTCCCTTTCACAGAGCAGGTTTGAAACACTCTTTTTGTAGTGAGTGTAAGTGGACATTTGGAGCGCTTTCCGGCCTAAGGTGAAAAAGGAAATATCTTCCCATAAAAACTAGACAGAAGTATTCTCAGAAACTTACTCGTGATGTGTGTCCTCAACTAAAGGAGTAGAACCTTTCTTTTCATAGAGAAGTTTTGAAACGCTCTTTTTGTGGAATCTGCAAGTGGATATTTGGCTAGTTTTGAGGATTTCGTTGGAAGCGGGAATTCATACAAATTGCAGACTGCAGCATTCTCAGAAACTTATTTGAGATGTGTGTACTCAACTAAGAGAATTGAACCACCGTTTTGAAGGAGCAGTTTTGAAACACTCTTTTTCTGGAATCTGCAAGTGGATATTTGGCTAGCTTTGGGGATTTCGCTGGAAGCGGGAATACATATAAAAAGCACACAGCAGCGTTCTGAGAAACTGCTTTCTGATGTTTGCATTCAAGTCAAAAGTTGAACACTCCCTTTCATAGAGCAGTCCTGAAACACTCCTTTTGTAGTATCTGGAACTGGACTTTTGGAGCGCTTTCAGGGCTAAGGTGATAAAGGAAATATCTTCCCATAAAAACTGGACAGAAGCATTCTCAGAAACTTGTTTATGCTGTATCTACTCAACTAACAAAGTTGAACCTTTCTTTTGATAGAGCAGTTTTGAAATGCTCTTTTTGTGGAATCTGCAAGTGGATATTTGGCTAGTTTTGAGGATTTCGTTGGAAGCGGGAATTCATACAAATTGCAGACTGCAGCGTTCTGAGAAACATCTTTGTGATGTTTGTATTCAGGACACAGAGTTGAACATTCCCTATCATAGAGCAGGTTTGAATCACTCCTTTTGTAGTATCTGGAAGTGGACATTTGGAGCGCTTTCAGGCCTATGTTGGAAAAGGAAATATCTTCCCATAACAACTAGACAGAAGCATTCTCAGAAACTTATTTGAGATGTGTGTACTCAACTAAGAGAATTGAACCACCGTTTTGAAGGAGCAGTTTTGAAACACTCTTTTTCTGGAATCTGCAAGTGGATATTTGGCTAGCTTTGGGGATTTCGCTGGAAGCGGGAATACATATAAAAAGCACACAGCAGCGTTCTGAGAAACTGCTTTCTGATGTTTGCATTCAAGTCAAAAGTTGAACACTCCCTTTCATAGAGCAGTCCTGAAACACTCCTTTTGTAGTATCTGGAACTGGACTTTTGGAGCGCTTTCAGGGCTAAGGTGAAAAAGGAAATATCTTCCCATAAAAACTGGACAGAAGCATTCTCAGAAACTTACTCGTATTGTGTGTCCTCAACTAAAGGAGTAGAACCTTTCTTTTCATAGAGAAGTTTTGAAACGCTCTTTTTGTGGAATCTGCAAGTGGATATTTGGCTAGTTTTGAGGATTTCGTTGGAAGCGGGAATTCATACAAATTGCAGACTGCAGCGTTCTGAGAAACATCTTTGTGATGTTTGTATTCAGGACACAGAGTTGAACATTCCCTATCATAGAGCAGGTTGGAATCACTCCTTTTGTAGTATCTGGAAGTGGACATTTGGAGCGCTTTCAGGCCTATGTTGGAAAAGGAAATATCTTCCCATAACAACTAGACAGAAGCATTCTCAGAAACTTATTTGAGATGTGTGTACTCAACTAAGAGAATTGAACCACCGTTTTGAAGGAGCAGTTTTGAAACTCTCTTTTTCTGGAATCTGCAAGTGGATATTTGGCTAGCTTTGGGGATTTCGCTGGAAGCGGGAATACATATAAAAAGCACACAGCAAGCGTTCTGAGAAACTGCTTTCTGATGTTTGCATTCAAGTCAAAAGTTGAACACTCCCTTTCATAGAGCAGTCCTGAAACACTCCTTTTGCAGTATCTGGAACTGGACTTTTGGAGCGCTTTCAGGGCTAAGGTGAAAAAGAAAATATCTTCCCATAAAAACTGGACAGAAGCATTCTCAGAAACTTGTTTATGCTGTATCTACTCAACTAACAAAGTTGAACCTTTCTTTTGATAGAGCAGTTTTGAAATGGTCTTTTTGTGGAATCTGCAAGTGGATATTTGGCTAGTTTTGAGGATTTCGTTGGAAGCGGGAATTCATACAAATTGCAGACTGCAGCGTTCTGAGAAACATCTTTGTGATGTTTGTATTCAGGACACAGAGTTGAACATTCCCTATCATAGAGCAGGTTGGAATCACTCCTTTTGTAGTATCTGGAAGTGGACATTTGGAGCGCTTTCAGGCCTATTTTGGAAAGGGAAATATCTTCCCGTAACAACTATGCAGAAGCATTCTCAGAAACTTGTTTGTGATGTGTGCCCTCTACTGACAGAGTTGAACCTTTCTTTTCATAGAGCAGTTTTGAAACACTCTTTTTGTAGAATCTGCAAGAGGATATTTGCATAGCTTTGAGGATTTCGTGGGAAACGGGATTGTCTTCAGGTAAAATCTAGACAGAAGCATTCTCAGAAACTTCTTTGGGATGTTTGCATTCAAGTCACAGAGTAGAACATTCCCTTTGGTAGAGCAGGTTTGAAACACTCTTTTTGTAGTATCTGGAAGTGGACATTTGGAGCGCTTTCAGGCCCATGTTGGAAAGGGAAATATCTTCCCGTAACAACTAGGCAGAAGCATTCTCAGAAACTTATTTGAGATGTGTGTACTCAACTAAGAGAATTGAACCACCGTTTTGAAGGAGCAGTTTTGAAACACTCTTTTTCTGGAATCTGCAAGAGTATATTTGCCTAGCCTTGAGGATTTCGTTGGAAACGGGATTGTCTTCAGAGAAAATCTAGACAGAAGCATTCTCAGAAACTTCTTTGGGATGCTTGCATTCCAGTCACAGAGTAGAACATTCCCTTTGGTAGAGCAGGTTTGAAACACTCTTTTTTTAGTATCTGGAAGTGGACATTTGGAGCGCTTTCAGGCCTACGTTGGAAAAGGAAATATCTTCCCATAACAACTAGACAGAAGCATTCTCAGAAACTAGTTTCTGATGTGTGTCCTCAACTAACACAAGTTGAACATTTCTTTAGACAGAACAGTTTTGAAACACTCTTTTTGTGGAATCTGCAAGTGGCTATTTGGCTAGATTTGAGGATTTCGTTGGAAACGGGATTACATATAAAAAGCAGTCAGCAGCATTCTCAGAAAGTTCTTTGTGATGATTGCATTCAAGTCACAGAATTGAACATTCCCTTTCACAGAGCAGGTTTGAAACACTCTTTTTGTAGGGTGTGTAAGTGGACATTTGGAGCGCTTTCCGGCCTAAGGTGAAAAAGGACATATCTTCCCATAAAAACTAGACAGAAGCATTCTCAGAAACTTACTCGTGATGTGTGCCTTCAACTAAAGGAATAGAACCTTTCTATTCATAGAGAAGTTTTGAAACGCTCTTTTTGTGGAATCTCCAAGTGGATATTTGGCTAGTTTTGAGGATTTCGTTGGAAGCGGGAATTCATCCAAATTGCAGACTGCAGCGTTCTGAGAAACATCTTTGTGATGTTTGTATTCAAGACACAGAGATGAACATTCCCTATCATAGAGCATGTTGGAATCACTCCTTTTGTAGTATCTGGAAGTGGACATTTGGAGCGCTTTCAGGCCTATGTTGAAAAAGGAAATATCTTCCCATAACAACTAGACACAAGCATTCTCAGAAACTTGTTTGTGATGTGTGCCCTCTACTGACAGAGTTGAACCTTTCTTTTCATAGAGCAGTTTTGAAACACTCTTTTTGTAGAATCTGCAAGAGGATATTTGCATAGCTTTGAGGATTTCGTGGGAAACGGGATTGTCTTCAGGTAAAATCTAGACAGAAGCATTCTCAGAAACTTCTTTGGGATGTTTGCATTCAAGTCACAGAGCAGAACATTCCCTTTGGTAGAGCAGGTTTGAAACACTCTTTTTGTAGTATCTGGAAGTGGACATTTGGAGCGCTTTCAGGCCTATGTTGGAAAGGGAAATATCTTCCCGTAACAACTAGGCAGAAGCATTCTCAGAAACTTATTTGAGATGTGTGTACTCAACTAAGAGAATTGAACCACCGTTTTGAAGGAGCAGTTTTGAAACACTCTTTTTCTGGAATCTGCAAGAGGATATTTGCCTAGCCTTGAGGATTTCGTTGGAAAGGGGATTGTCTTCAGATCAAATCTAGACAGAAGCATTCTCAGAAACTTCTTTGGGATGTTTGCATTCATGTCACAGAGTAGAACATTCCCTTTGGTAGAGCAGGTTTGAAACACTCTTTTTTAAGTATATGGAAGTGGACATTTGGAGCGCTTTCAGGCCTACGTTGGAAAAGGAAATATCTTCCCATAACAACTAGACAGAAGCATTCTCAGAAACTAGTTTCTGAGGTGTGTCCTCAACTAACACAGTTGAACATTTCTTTAGACAGAACAGTTTTGAAACACTCTTTTTGTGGAATCTGCAAGTGGCTATTTGGCTAGATTTGAGGATTTCGTTGGAAACGGGATTACATATAAAAAGCAGACAGCGGCATTCTCAGAAAGTTCTTTGTGATGATTGCATTCAAGTCACAGAATTGAACATTCCCTTTCACAGAGCAGGTTTGAAACACTCTTTTTGTAGTGTGTGTAAGTGGACATTTGGAGCGCTTTCCGGCCTAAGGTGAAAAAGGAAATATCTTCCCATAAAAACTAGACAGAAGCATTCTCAGAAACTTACTCGTGATGTGTGTACTCAAGTAAAATAGTAGAAACTTTCTTTTCATAGAGAAGTTTTGAAACGCTCTTTTTGTGGAATCTGCAAGTGGATATTTGGCTAGTTTTGAGGATTTCGTTGGAAGCGGGAATTCATACAAATTGCAGACTGCAGCGTTCTGAGAAACATCTTTGTGATGTTTGTATTCAGGACACAGAGTTGAACATTCCCTATCATAGAGCAGGTTGGAATCACTCCTTTTGTAGTATCTGGAAGTGGACATTTGGAGCGCTTTCAGGCCTATGTTGGAAAAGGAAATATCTTCCCATAACAACTAGACAGAAGCATTCTCAGAAACTTATTTGAGATGTGTGTACTCAACTAAGAGAATTGAACCACCGTTTTGAAGGAGCAGTTTTGAAACACTCTTTTTCTGGAATCTGCAAGTGGATATTTGGCTAGCTTTGGGGATTTCGCTGGAAGCGGGAATACATATAAAAACCACACAGCAGCGTTCTGAGAAACTGCTTTCTGATGTTTGCATTCAAGTCAAAAGTTGAACACTCCCTTTCATAGAGCAGTCCTGAAACACTCCTTTTGTAGTATCTGGAACTGGACTTTTGGAGCGCTTTCAGGGCTAAGGTGAAAAAGGAAATATCTTCCCATAAAAACTGGACAGAAGCATTCTCAGAAACTTGTTTATGCTGTATCTACTCAACTAACAAAGTTGAACCTTTCTTTTGATAGAGCAGTTTTGAAATGCTCTTTTTGTGGAATCTGCAAGTGGATATTTGGCTAGTTTTGAGGATTTCGTTGGAAGCGGGAATTCATACAAATTGCAGACTGCAGCGTTCTGAGAAACATCTTTGTGATGTTTGTATTCAGGACAGAGAGTTGAACATTCCCTATCATAGAGCAGGTTGGAATCACTCCTTTTGTAGTATCTGGAAGTGGACATTTGGAGCGCTTTCAGGCCTATGTTGAAAAAGGAAATATCTTCCCATAACAACTAGACACAAGCATTCTCAGAAACTTGTTTGTGATGTGTGCCCTCTACTGACAGAGTTGAACCTTTCTTTTCATAGAGCAGTTTTGAAACACTCTTTTTGTAGAATCTGCAAGAGGATTTTTGCATAGCTTTGAGGATTTCGTGGGGAAGCGGGATTGTCTTCAGGTAAAATCTAGACAGAAGCATTCTCAGAAACTTCTTTGGGATGTTTGCATTCAAGTCACAGAGTAGAACATTCCCTTTGGTAGAGCAGGTTTGAAACACTCTTTTTGTAGTATCTGGAAGTGGACATTTGGAGCGCTTTCAGGCCTATGTTGGAAAGGGAAATATCTTCCCGTAACAACTAGGCAGAAGCATTCTCAGAAACTTATTTGAGATGTGTGTACTCAACTAAGAGAATTGAACCACCGTTTTGAAGGAGCAGTTTTGAAACACTCTTTTTCTGGAATCTGCAAGAGGATATTTGCCTAGCCTTGAGGATTTCGTTGGAAACGGGATTGTCTTCAGATCAAATCTAGACAGAAGCATTCTCAGAAACTTCTTTGGGATGTTTGCATTCAAGTCACAGAGTAGAACATTCCCTTTGGTAGAGCAGGTTTGAAACACTCTTTTTTTAGTATATGGAAGTGGACATTTGGAGCGCTTTCAGGCCTACGTTGGAAAAGGAAATATCTTCCCATAACAACTAGACAGAAGCATTCTCAGAAACTAGTTTCTGATGTGTGTCCTCAACTAACACAGTTGTACATTTCTTTAGACAGAACAGTTTTGAAACAGTCTTTTTGTGGAATCTGCAAGTGCATATTTGGCCAGATTTGAGGATTTCGTTGGAAACGGGATTACGTATAAAAAGCAGTCAGCAGCATTCTCAGAAAGTTCTTTGTGATGATTGCATTCAAGTCACAGAATTGAACATTCCCTTTCACAGAGCAGGTTTGAAACACTCTTTTTGTAGTGTGTGTAAGTGGACATTTGGAGCGCTTTCCGGCCTAAGGTGAAAAAGGACATATCTTCCCATAAAAACTAGACAGAAGCATTCTCAGAAACTTACTCGCGATGTGTGTCCTCAACTAAAGGAGTAGAACCTTTCTTTTCATAGAGAAGTTTCGAAACGCTCTTTTTGTGGAATCTGCAAGTGGATATTTGGCTAGTTTTGAGGATTTCGTTGGAAGCGGGAATTCATACAAATTGCAGACTGCAGCGTTCTGAGAAACATCTTTGTGATGTTTGTATTCAGGACACAGAGTTGAACATTCCCTATCATAGAGCAGGTTTGAATCACTCCTTTTGTAGTATCTGGAAGTGGACATTTGGAGCGCTTTCAGGCCTATGTTGGAAAAGGAAATATCTTCCCATAACAACTAGACAGAAGCATTCCCAGAAACTTATTTGAGATGTGTGTACTCAACTAAGAGAATTGAACCACCGTTTTGAAGGAGCAGTTTGGAAACACTCTTTTTCTGGAATCTGCAAGTGGATATTTGGCTAGCTTTGGGGATTTCGCTGGAAGCGGGAATACATATAAAAAGCACACAGCAGCGTTCTGAGAAACTGCTTTCTGATGTTTGCATTCAAGTCAAAAGTTGAACACTCCCTTTCATAGAGCAGTCTTGAAACACCCCTTTTGTAGTATCTGGAACTGGAAATTTGGAGCGCTTTCAGGGCTAAGGTGAAAAAGGAAATATCTTCCCATAAAAACTGGACAGAAGCATTCTCAGAAACTTGTTTATGCTGTATCTACTCAACTAACAAAGTTGAACCTTTCTTTTGATAGAGCAGTTTTGAAATGCTCTTTTTGTGGAATCTGCAAGTGGATATTTGGCTAGTTTTGAGGATTTCGTTGGAAGCGGGAATTCATACAAATTGCAGACTGCAGCGTTCTGAGAAACATCTTTGTGATGTTTGTATTCAGGACACAGAGTTGAACATTCCCTATCATAGAGCAGGTTGGAATCACTCCTTTTGTAGTATCTGGAAGTGGACATTTGGAGCGCTTTCAGGCCTATGTTGGAAAAGGAAATATCTTCCCATAACAACTAGACAGAAGCATTCTCAGAAACTTATTTGAGATGTGTGTACTCAACTAAGAGAATTGAACCACCGTTTTGAAGGAGCAGTTTTGAAACTCTCTTTTTCTGGAATCTGCAAGTGGATATTTGGCTAGCTTTGGGGATTTCGCTGGAAGCGGGAATACATATAAAAAGCACACAGCAGCGTTCTGAGAAACTGCTTTCTGATGTTTGCATTCAAGTCAAAAGTTGAACACTCCCTTTCATAGAGCAGTCCTGAAACACCCCTTTTGTAGTATCTGGAACTGGACTTTTGGAGCGATTTCAGGGCTAAGGTGAAAAAGGAAATATCTTCCCATAAAAACTGGACAGAAGCATTCTCAGAAACTTGTTTATGATGTATCTACTCAACTAACAAAGTTGAACCTTTCTTTTGATAGAGCAGTTTTGAAATGCTCTTTTTGTGGAATCTGCAAGTGGATATTTGGCTAGTTTTGAGGATTTCGTTGGAAGCGGGAATTCATACAAATTGCAGACTGCAGCGTTCTGAGAAACATCTTTGTGATGTTTGTATTCAGGACAGAGAGTTGAACATTCCCTATCATAGAGCAGGTTGGAATCACTCCTTTTGTAGTATCTGGAAGTGGACATTTGGAGCGCTTTCAGGCCTATGTTGAAAAAGGAGATATCTTCCCATAACAACTAGACACAAGCATTCTCAGAAACTTGTTTGTGATGTGTGCCCTCTACTGACAGAGTTGAACCTTTCTTTTCATAGAGCAGTTTTGAAACACTCTTTTTGTAGAATCTGCAAGAGGATATTTGCATAGCTTTGAGGATTTCGTGGGAAACGGGATTGTCTTCAGGTAAAATCTAGACAGAAGCATTCTCAGAAACTTCTTTGGGATGTTTGCATTCAAGTCACAGAGTAGAACATTCCCTTTGGTAGAGCAGGTTTGAAACACTCTTTTTGTAGTATCTGGAAGTGGACATTTGGAGCGCTTTCAGGCCTATGTTGGAAAGGGAAATATCTTCCCGTAACAACTAGGCAGAAGCATTCTCAGAAACTTATTTGAGATGTGTGTACTCAACTAAGAGAATTGAACCACCGTTTTGAAGGAGCAGTTTTGAAACACTCTTTTTCTGGAATCTGCAAGAGGATATTTGCCTAGCCTTGAGGATTTCGTTGGAAACGGGATTGTCTTCAGATCAAATCTAGACAGAAGCATTCTCAGAAACTTCTTTGGGATGTTTGCATTCAAGTCACAGAGTAGAACATTCCCTTTGGTAGAGCAGGTTTGAAACACTCTTTTTTTAGTATATGGAAGTGGACATTTGGAGCGCTTTCAGGCCTACGTTGGAAAAGGAAATATCTTCCCATAACAACTAGACAGAAGCATTCTCAGAAACTAGTTTCTGATGTGTGTCCTCAACTAACACAGTTGAACTTTTCTTTAGACAGAACAGTTTTGAAACACTCTTTTTGTGGAATCTGCAAGTGGCTATTTGGCTAGATTTGAGGATTTCGTTGGAAACGGGATTACATATAAAAAGCAGACAGCAGCATTCTCAGAAACTTCTTTGTGATGATTGCATTCAAGTCACAGAATTGAACATTCCCTTTCACAGAGCAGGTTTGAAACACTCTTTTTCTAGTGTGTGTAAGTGGACATTTGGAGCGCTTTCCAGCCTAAGGTGAACAAGGAAATATCTTCCCATAAAAACTAGACAGAAGCATTCTCAGAAACTTACTCGTGATGTGTGTCCTCAACTAAAGGAGTAGAACCTTTCTTTTCATAGAGAAGTTTTGAAACGCTCTTTTTGTGGAATCTGCAAGTGGATATTTGGCTAGTTTGGAGGATTTCGTTGGAAGCGGGAATTCATACAAATTGCAGACTGCAGCGTTCTGAGAAACATCTTTGTGATGTTTGTATTCAGGACACAGAGTTGAACATTCCCTATCATAGAGCAGGTTGGAATCACTCCTTTTGTAGTATCTGAAAGAGGACATTTGGAGCGCTTTCAAGCCTATGTTGGAAAAGGAAATATCTTCCCATAACAACTAGACAGAAGCATTCTCAGAAACTTATTTGAGATGTGTGTACTCAACTAAGAGAATTGAACCACCGTTTTGAAGGAGCAGTTTTGAAACACTCTTTTTCTGGAATCTGCAAGTGGATATTTGGCTAGCTTTGGGGATTTCGCTGGAAGCGGGAATACATATAAAAAGCACACAGCAGCGTTCTGAGAAACTGCTTTCTGATGTTTGCATTCAAGTCAAAAGTTGAACACTCCCTTTCATAGAGCAGTCCTGAAACACCCCTTTTGTAGTATCTGGAACTGGACTTTTGGAGCGCTTTCAGGGCTAAGGTGAAAAAGGAAATATCTTCCCATAAAAACTGGACAGAAGCATTCTCAGAAACTTGTTTATGCTGTATCTACTCAACTAACAAAGTTGAACCTTTCTTTTGATAGAGCAGTTTTGAAATGCTCTTTTTGTGGAATCTGCAAGTGGATATTTGGCTAGTTTTGAGGATTTCGTTGGAAGCGGGAATTCATACAAATTGCAGACTGCAGCGTTCTGAGAAACATCTTTGTGATGTTTGTATTCAGGACAGAGAGTTGAACATTCCCTATCATAGAGCAGGTTGGAATCACTCCTTTTGTAGTATCTGGAAGTGGACATTTGGAGCGCTTTCAGGCCTATGTTGAAAAAGGAAATATCTTCCCATAACAACTAGACACAAGCATTCTCAGAAACTTGTTTGTGATGTGTGCCCTCTACTGACAGAGTTGAACCTTTCTTTTCATAGAGCAGTTTTGAAACACTCTTTTTGTAGAATCTGCAAGAGGATATTTGCATAGCTTTGAGGATTTCGTGGGAAACGGGATTGTCTTCAGGTAAAATCTAGACAGAAGCATTCTCAGAAACTTCTTTGGGATGTTTGCATTCAAGTCACAGAGTAGAACATTCCCTTTGGTAGAGCAGGTTTGAAACACTCTTTTTGTAGTATCTGGAAGTGGACATTTGGAGCGCTTTCAGGCCTATGTTGGAAAGGGAAATATCTTCCCGTAACAACTAGGCAGAAGCATTCTCAGAAACTTATTTGAGATTTGTGTACTCAACTAAGAGAATTGAACCACCGTTTTGAAGGAGCAGTTTTGAAACACTCTTTTTCTGGAATCTGCAAGAGGATATTTGCCTAGCCTTGAGGATTTCGTTGGAAACGGGATTGTCTTCAGATCAAATCTAGACAGAAGCATTCTCAGAAACTTCTTTGGGATGTTTGCATTCAAGTCACAGAGTAGAACATTCCCTTTGGTAGAGCAGGTTTGAAACACTCTTTTTTTAGTATATGGAAGTGGACATTTGGAGCGCTTTCAGGCCTACGTTGGAAAAGGAAATATCTTCCCATAACAACTAGACAGAAGCATTCTCAGAAACTAGTTTCTGATGTGTGTCCTCAACTAACACAGTTGTACATTTCTTTAGACAGAACAGTTTTGAAACACTCTTTTTGTGGAATCTGCAAGTGGATATTGGGCTAGATTTGAGGATTTCGTTGGAAACGGGATTACATATAAAAAGCAGTCAGCAGCATTCTCAGAAAGTTCTTTGTGATGATTGCATTCAAGTCACAGAATTGAACATTCCCTTTCACAGAGCAGGTATGAAACACTCTTTTTGTAGTGTGTGTAAGTGGACATTTGAAGCGCTTTCCGGCCTAAGGTGAAAAAGGAAATATCTTCCCATAAAAACTAGACAGAAGCATTCTCAGAAACTTACTCGTGATGTGTTTCCTCAACTAAAGGAGTAGAACCTTTCTATTCATAGAGAAGTTTTGAAACGCTCTTTTTGTGGAATCTCCAAGTGGATATTTGGCTAGTTTTGAGGATTTCGTTGGAAGCGGGAATTCATCCAAATTGCAGACTGCAGCGTTCTGAGAAACATCTTTGTGATGTTTGTATTCAGGACACAGAGATGAACATTCCCTATCATAGAGCAGGTTGGAATCACTCCTTTTGTAGTATCTGGAAGTGGACATTTGGAGCGCTTTCAGGCCTATGTTGAAAAAGGAAATATCTTCCCATAACAACTAGACACAAGCATTCTCAGAAACTTGTTTGTGATGTGTGCCCTCTACTGACAGAGTTGAACCTTTCTTTTCATAGAGGAGTTTTGAAACACTCTTTTTGTAGAGTCCGCAAGAGGATATTTGCATAGCTTTGAGGATTTCGTGGGAAACGGGATTGTCTTCAGGTAAAATCTAGACAGAAGCATTGTCAGAAACTTCTTTGGGATGTTTGCATTCAAGTCACAGAGTAGAACATTCCCTTTGGTAGAGCAGGTTTGAAACACTCTTTTTGTAGTATCTGGAAGTGGACATTTGGAGCGCTTTCAGGCCCATGTTGGAAAGGGAAATATCTTCCCGTAACAACTAGGCAGAAGCATTCTCAGAAACTTATTTGAGATGTGTGTACTCAACTAAGAGAATTGAACCACCGTTTTGAAGGACCAGTTTTGAAACACTCTTTTTCTGGAATCTGCAAGAGGATATTTGCCTAGCTTTGAGGATTTCGTTGGAAACGGGATTGTTTTCAGATAAAATCTAGACAGAAGCATTCTCAGAAACTTCTTTGGGATGTTTGCATTCAAGTCACAGAGTAGAACATTCCCTTTGGTAGAGCAGGTTTGAAACACTCTTTTTTTAGTATATGGAAGTGGACATTTGGAGCGCTTTCAGGCCTACGTTGGAAAAGGAAATATCTTCCCATAACAACTAGACAGAAGCATTCTCAGAAACTAGTTTCTGATGTGTGTCCTCAACTAACACAGTTGAACATTTCTTTAGACAGAACAGTTTTGAAACACTCTTTTTGTGGAATCTGCAAGTGGCTATTTGGCTAGATTTGAGGATTTCGTTGGAAACGGGATTACATATAAAAAGCAGTCAGCAGCATTCTCAGAAAGTTCTTTGTGATGATTGCATTCAAGTCACAGAATTGAACATTCCCTTTCACAGAGCAGGTTTGAAAGACTCTTTTTGTAGTGTGTGTAAGTGGACATTTGGAGCACTTACCGGCCTAAGGTGAAAAAGGAAATATCTTCCCATAAAAACTAGACAGAAGCATTCTCAGAAACTTACTCGTGATGTGTGTCCTCAACTAAAGGAGTAGAACCTTTCTTTTCATAGAGAAGTTTTGAAACGCTCTTTTTGTGGAATCTGCAAGTGGATATTTGGCTAGTTTTGAGGATTTCGTTGGAAGCGGGAATTCATACAAATTGCAGACTGCAGCGTTCTGAGAAACATCTTTGTGATGTTTGTATTCAGGACACAGAGTTGAACATTCCCTATCATAGAGCAGGTTGGAATCACTCCTTTTGTAGTATCTGGAAGTGGACATTTGGAGCGCTTTCAGGCCTATGTTGGAAAAGGAAATATCTTCCCATAACAACTAGACAGAAGCATTCCCAGAAACTTATTTGAGATGTGTGTACTCAACTAAGAGAATTGAACCACCGTTTTGAAGGAGCAGTTTGGAAACACTCTTTTTCTGGAATCTGCAAGTGGATATTTGGCTAGCTTTGGGGATTTCGCTGGAAGCGGGAATACATATAAAAAGCACACAGCAGCGTTCTGAGAAACTGCTTTCTGATGTTTGCATTCAAGTCAAAAGTTGAACACTCCCTTTCATAGAGCAGTCTTGAAACACCCCTTTTGTAGTATCTGGAACTGGAAATTTGGAGCGCTTTCAGGGCTAAGGTGAAAAAGGAAATATCTTCCCATAAAAACTGGACAGAAGCATTCTCAGAAACTTGTTTATGCTGTATCTGCTCAACTAACAAAGTTGAACCTTTCTTTTGATAGAGCAGTTTTGAAATGCTCTTTTTGTGGAATCTGCAAGTGGATATTTGGCTAGTTTTGAGGATTTCGTTGGAAGCGGGAATTCGTACAAATTGCAGACTGCAGCGTTCTGAGAAACATCTTTGTGATGTTTGTATTCAGGACAGAGAGTTGAACATTCCCTATCATAGAGCAGGTTGGAATCACTCCTTTTGTAGTATCTGGAAGTGGACATTTGGAGCGCTTTCTGGCCTATGTTGAAAAAGGAAATATCTTCCCATAACAACTAGACACAAGCATTCTCAGAAACTTGTTTGTGATGTGTGCCCTCTACTGACAGAGTTGAACCTTTCTTTTCATAGAGCAGTTTTGAAACACTCTTTTTGTAGAATCTGCAAGAGGATATTTGCATAGCTTTGAGGATTTCGTGGGAAACGGGATTGTCTTCAGGTAAAATCTAGACAGAAGCATTCTCAGAAACTTCTTTGGGATGTTTGCATTCAAGTCACAGAGTAGAACATTCCCTTTGGTAGAGCAGGTTTGAAAAACTCTTTTTGTAGTATCTGGAAGTGGACATTTGGAGCGCTTTCAGGCCTATGTTGGAAAGGGAAATATCTTCCCGTAACAACTAGGCAGAAGCATTCTCAGAAACTTATTTGAGATGTGTGTACTCAACTAAGAGAATTGAACCACCGTTTTGAAGGAGCAGTTTTGAAACACTCTTTTTCTGGAATCTGCAAGAGTATATTTGCCTAGCCTTGAGGATTTCGTTAGAAACGGGATTGTCTTCAGATAAAATCTAGACAGAAGCATTCTCAGAAACTTCTTTGGGATGTTTGCATTCAAGTCACAGAGTAGAACATTCCCTTTGGTAGAGCAGGTTTGAAACACTCTTTTTTTAGTATATGGAAGTGGACATTTGGAGCGCTTTCAGGCCTACGTTGGAAAAGGAAATATCTTCCCATAACAACTAGACAGAAGCATTCTCAGAAACTAGTTTCTGATGTGTGTCCTCAACTAACACAGTTGAACATTTCTTTAGACAGAACAGTTTTGAAACACTCTTTTTGTGGAATCTGCAAGTGGCTATTTGGCTAGATTTGAGGATTTCGTTGGAAACGGGATTACATATAAAAAGCAGACAGCAGCATTCTCAGAAAGTTCTTTGTGATGATTGCATTCAAGTCACAGAATTGAACATTCCCTTTCACAGAGCAGGTTTGAAAGACTCTTTTTGTAGTGTGTGTAAGTGGACATTTGGAGCACTTTCCGGCCTAAGGTGAAAAAGGAAATATCTTCCCATAAAAACTAGACAGAAGCACTCTCAGAAACTTACTCGTGATGTGTGTCCTCAACTAAAGGAGTAGAACCTTTCTTTTCATAGAGAAGTTTTGAAACGCTCTTTTTGTGGAATCTGCAAGTGGATATTTGGCTAGTTTGGAGGATTTCGTTGGAAGCGGGAATTCATACAAATTGCAGACTGCAGCGTTCTGAGAAACATCTTTGTGATGTTTGTATTCAGGACACAGAGTTGAACATTCCCTATCATAGAGCAGGTTTGAATCACTCCTTTTGTAGTATCTGGAAGTGGACATTTGGAGCGCTTTCAGGCCTATGTTGGAAAAGGAAATATCTTCCCATAACAACTAGACAGAAGCATTCTCAGAAACTTATTTGAGATGTGTGTACTCAACTAAGAGAATTGAACCACCGTTTTGAAGGAGCAGTTTTGAAACACTCTTTTTCTGGAATCTGCAAGTGGATATTTGGCTAGCTTTGGGGATTTCGCTGGAGGCGGGAATACATATAAAAAGCACACAGCAGCGTTCTGAGAAACTGCTTTCTGATGTTTGCATTCAAGTCAAAAGTTGAACACTCCCTTTCATAGAGCAGTCCTGAAACACTCCTTTTGTAGTATCTGGAACTGGACTTTTGGAGCGCTTTCAGGGCTAAGGTGAAAAAGGAAATATCTTCCCATAAAAACTGGACAGAAGCATTCTCAGAAACTTGTTTATGCTGTATCTACTCAACTAACAAAGTTGAACCTTTCTTTTGATAGAGCAGTTTTGAAATGCTCTTTTTGTGGAATCTGCAAGTGGATATTTGGCTAGTTTTGAGGATTTCGTTGGAAGCGGGAATTCATACAAATTGCAGACTGCAAGCGTTCTGAGAAACATCTTTGTGATGTTTGTATTCAGGACACAGAGTTGAACATTCCCTATCATAGAGCAGGTTTGAATCACTCCTTTTGTAGTATCTGGAAGTGGACCTTTGGAGCGCTTTCAGGTCTATGTTGGAAAAGGAAATATCTTCCCATAACAAGTAGACAGAAGCATTCTCAGAAACTTATTTGAGATGTGTGTACTCAACTAAGAGAATTGAACCACCGTTTTGAAGGAGCAGTTTTGAAACACTCTTTTTCTGGAATCTGCAAGTGGATATCTGGCTAGCTTTGGGGATTTCGCTGGAAGCGGGAATACATATAAAAAGCACACAGCAGCGTTCTGAGAAACTTCTTTCTGATGTTCGCATTCAAGTCAAAAGTTGAACACTCCCTTTCATAGAGCAGTCTTGAAACTCCCCTTTTGTGGTATCTGGAAGTGGACATTTGGAGTGCTTTCAGGGCTAAGGTGAAAAAGGAAATATCTTCCCATAAAAACTGGACAGAAGCATTCTCAGAAACTTGTTTATGCTGTATCTACTCAGCTAACAAAGTTGAACCTTTCTTTTGATAGAGCAGTTTTGAAATGCTCTTTTTGTGGAGTCTGCAAGTGGATATTTGGTTAGTTTTGAGGAATTCGTTGGAAGCGGGAATTCATACAAATTGCAGACTGCAGCGTTCTGAGAAACATCTTTGTGATGTTTGTATTCAGGACACAGAGTTGAACATTCCCTATCATACAGCAGGTTGGAATCACTCCTTTTGTAGTATCTGGAAGTGGACATTTGGAGCGCTTTCAGGCCTATGTTGAAAAAGGAAATATCTTCCGATAACAAGTAGACACAAGCATTCTCAGAAACTTGTTTGTGATGTGTGCCCTCTACTGACAGAGTTGAACCTTTCTTTTCATAGAGCAGTTTCGAAACACTCTTTTTGTAGAATCTGCAAGAGGATATTTGCATAGCTTTGAGGATTTCGTGGGAAACGGGATTGTCTTCAGGTAAAATCTAGACAGAAGCATTCTCAGAAAATTCCTCGGGATGTTTGCATTCAAGTCACAGAGTAGAACATTCCCTTTGTTAGAGCAGGTTTGAAACACTCTTTTTGTAGTATCTGGAAGTGGACATTTGGAGCGCTTTCAGGCCTATGTTGGAAAGGGAAATATCTTCCCGTAACAACTAGGCAGAAGCATTCTCAGAAACTTATTTGAGATGTGTGTACTCAACTTAAGAGAATTGAACCACCTTTTGAAGGAGCAGTTTTGAAACACTCTTTTTCTGGAATCTGCAAGAGGATATTTGCATAGCTTTGAGGATTTCGTTGGAAACGGGATTGTCTTCAGATCAAATCTAGACAGAAGCATTCTCAGAAACTTCTTTGGGATGTTTGCATTCAAGTCACAGAGTAGAACATTCCCTTTGGTAGAGCAGGTTTTAAACACTCTTTTTTTAGTATATGGAAGTGGACATTTGGAGCGCTTTCACGCCTACGTTGGAAAAGGAAATATCTTCCCATAACAACTAGACAGAAGCATTCTCAGAAACTAGTTTCTGATGTGTGTCCTCAACTAACACAGTTGAACATTTCTTTAGACAGAACAGTTTTGAAACTCTCTTTTTGTGGAATCTGCAAGTGGATATTTGGCTAGATTTGAGGATTTCGTTGGAAACGGGATTACATATAAAAAGCAGACAGCAGCATTCTCAGAAAGTTCTTTGTGATGATTGCATTCAAGTCACAGAATTGAACATTCCCTTTCACAGAGCAGGTTTGAAACACTCTTTTTGTAGTGTGTGTAAGTGGACATTTGGAGCGCTTTCCGGCCTAAGGTGAAAAAGGAAATATCTTCCCATAAAAACTAGACAGAAACATTCTCAGAAACTTACTCTTGATGTGTTTCCTCAACTAAAGGAGTAGAACCTTTCTATTCATAGAGAAGTTTTGAAACGCTCTTTTTGTGGAATCTCCAAGTGGATATTTGGCTAGTTTTGAGGATTTCGTTGGAAGCGGGAATTCATCCAAATTGCAGACTGCAGCGTTCTGAGAAACATCTTTGTGATGTTTGTATTCAGGACACAGAGATGAACATTCCCTATCATGGAGCAGGTTGGAATCACTCCTTTTGTAGTATCTGGAAGTGGACATTTGGAGCGCTTTCAGGCCTATGTTGAAAAAGGAAATATCTTCCCATAACAACTAGACACATAAGCATTCTCAGAAAACTTATTTGAGATGTGTGTACTCAACTAAGAGAATTGAACCACCGTTTTGAAGGAGCAGTTTTGAAACTCTCTTTTTCTGGAATCTGCAAGTGGATATTTGGCTAGCTTTGGGGATTTCGCTGGAAGCGGGAATACATATAAAAAGCACACAGCAGCGTTCTGAGAAACTGCTTTCTGATGTTTGCATTCAAGTCAAAAGTTGAACACTCCCTTTCATAGAGCAGTCCTGAAACACCCCTTTTGTAGTATCTGGAACTGGACTTTTGGAGCGATTTCAGGGCTAAGGTGAAAAAGGAAATATCTTCCCATAAAAACTGGACAGAAGCATTCTCAGAAACTTGTTTATGCTGTATCTACTCAACTAACAAAGTTGAACCTTTCTTTTGATAGAGCAGTTTTGAAATGGTCTTTTTGTGGAATCTGCAAGTGGATATTTGGCTAGTTTTGAGGATTTCGTTGGAAGCGGGAATTCATACAAATTGCAGACTGCAGCGTTCTGAGAAACATCTTTGTGATGTTTGTATTCAGGACACAGAGTTGAACATTCCCTATCATAGAGCAGGTTGGAATCACTCCTTTTGTAGTATCTGGAAGTGGACATTTGGAGCGCTTTCAGGCCTATTTTGGAAAGGGAAATATCTTCCCGTAACAACTATGCAGAAGCATTCTCAGAAACTTGTTTGTGATGTTGTGCCCTCTACTGACAGAGTTGAACCTTTCTTTTCATAGAGCAGTTTTGAAACACTCTTTTTGTAGAATCTGCAAGAGGATATTTGCATAGCTTTGAGGATTTCGTGGGAAACGGGATTGTCTTCAGGTAAAATCTAGACAGAAGCATTCTCAGAAACTTCCTTGGGATGTTTGCATTCAAGTCACAGAGTAGAACATTCCCTTTGGTAGAGCAGGTTTGAAACACTCTTTTTGTAGTATCTGGAAGTGGACATTTGGAGCGCTTTCAGGCCTATGTTGGAAAGGGAAATATCTTCCCGTAACAACTATGCAGAAGCATTCTCAGAAACTTATTTGAGATGTGTGTACTCAACTAAGAGAATTGAACCACCGTTTTGAAGGAGCAGTATTGAAACACTCTTTTTCTGGAATCTGCAAGAGGATATTTGCCTAGCCTTGAGGATTTCGTTGGAAACGGGATTGTCTTCAGATCAAATCTAGACAGAAGCATTCTCAGAAACTTCTTTGGGATGTTTGCATTCAAGTCACAGAGTAGAACATTCCCTTTGGTAGAGCAGGTTTGAAACACTCTTTTTGTAGTATCTGGAAGTGGACATTTGGAGCGCTTTCAGGCCTATGTTGGAAAGGGAAATATCTTCCCGTAACAACTAGGCAGAAGCATTCTCAGAAACTTATTTGAGATGTGTGTACTCAACTAAGAGAATTGAACCACCGTTTTGAAGGAGCAGTTTTGAAACACTCTTTTTCTGGAATCTGCAAGAGGATATTTGCCTAGCCTTGAGGATTTCGTTGGAAACGGGATTGTCTTCAGATCAAATCTAGACAGAAGCATTCTCAGAAACTTCTTTGGGATGTTTGCATTCAAGTCACAGAGTAGAACATTCCCTTTGGTAGAGCAGGTTTGAAACACTCTTTTTTTAGTATATGGAAGTGGACATTTGGAGCGCTTTCAGGCCTACGTTGGAAAAGGAAATATCTTCCCATAACAATTAGACAGAAGCATTCTCAGAAACTAGTTTCTGATGTGTGTCCTCAACTAACACAGTTGAACATTTCTTTAGACAGAACAGTTTTGAAACTCTCTTTTTGTGGAATCTGCAAGTGGCTATTTGGCTAGATTTGAGGATTTCGTTGGAAACGGGATTACATATAAAAAGCAGACAGCAGCATTCTCAGAACGTTCTTTGTGATGATTGCATTCAAGTCACAGAATTGAACATTCCCTTTCACAGAGCAGGTTTGAAACACTCTTTTTGTAGTGTGTGTAAGTGGACATTTGGAGCACTTTCCGGCCTAAGGTGAAAAAGGAAATATCTTCCCATAAAAACTAGACAGAAGCATTCTCAGAAACTTACTCGTGATGTGTGTCCTCAACTAAAGGAGTAGAACCCCTTTCTTTTCATAGAGAAGTTTTGAAACGCTCTTTTTGTGGAATCTGCAAGTGGATATTTGGCTAGTTTTGAGGATTTCGTTGGAAGTGGGAATTCATACAAATTGCAGACTGCCAGCGTTCTGAGAAACATCTTTGTGATGTTTGTATTCAGGACACAGAGTTGAACATTCCCTATCATAGAGCAGGTTGGAATCACTCCTTTTGTAGTATCTGGAAGTGGACATTTGGAGCGCTTTCAGGCCTATGTTGGAAAAGGAAATATCTTCCCATAACAACTAGACAGAGCATTCTCAGAAACTTATTTGAGATGTGTGTACTCAACTAAGAGAATTGAACCACCGTTTTGAAGGAGCAGTTTTGAAACTCTCTTTTTCTGGAATCTGCAAGTGGATATTTGGCTAGCTTTGGGGATTTCGCTGGAAGCGGGAATACATATAAAAAGCACACAGCAGCGTTCTGAGAAACTGCTTTCTGATGTTTGCATTCAAGTCAAAAGTTGAACACTCCCTTTCATAGAGCAGTCTTGAAACACCCCTTTTGTAGTATCTGGAACTGGACTTTTGGAGCGATTTCAGGGCTAAGGTGAAAAAGGAAATATCTTCCCATAAAAACTGGACAGAAGCATTCTCAGAAACTTGTTTATGCTGTATCTACTCAACTAAAAAAGTTGAACCTTTCTTTTGATAGAGCAGTTTTGAAATGGTCTTTTTGTGGAATCTGCAAGTGGATATTTGGCTAGTTTTGAGGATTTCGTTGGAAGCGGGAATTCATACAAATTGCAGACTGCAGCGTTCTGAGAAACATCTTTGTGATGTTTGTATTCAGGACACAGAGTTGAACATTCCCTATCATAGAGCAGGTTGGAATCACTCCTTTTGTAGTATCTGGAAGTGGACATTTGGAGCGCTTTCAGGCCTATTTTGGAAAGGGAAATATCTTCCCGTAACAACTATGCAGAAGCATTCTCAGAAACTTGTTTGTGATGTGTGCCCTCTACTGACAGAGTTGAACCTTTCTTTTCATAGAGCAGTTTTGAAACACTCTTTTTGTAGAATCTGCAAGAGGATATTTGCATAGCTTTGAGGATTTCGTGGGAAACGGGATTGTCTTCAGGTAAAATCTAGACAGAAGCATTCTCAGAAACTTCTTTGGGATGTTTGCATTCAAGTCACAGAGTAGAACATTCCCTTTGGTAGAGCAGGTTTGAAACACTCTTTTTGTAGTATCTGGAAGTGGACATTTGGAGCGCTTTCAGGCCCATGTTGGAAAGGGAAATATCTTCCCGTAACAACTAGGCAGAAGCATTCTCAGAAACTTATTTGAGATGTGTGTACTCAACTAAGAGAATTGAACCACCGTTTTGAAGGAGCAGTTTTGAAACACTCTTTTTCTGGAATCTGCAAGAGTATATTTGCCTAGCCTTGAGGATTTCGTTGGAAACGGGATTGTCTTCAGAGAAAATCTAGACAGAAGCATTCTCAGAAACTTCTTTGGGATGTTTGCATTCAAGTCACAGAGTAGAACATTCCCTTTGGTAGAGCAGGTTTGAAACACTCTTTTTTTAGTATATGGAAGTGGACATTTTGATCGTTTTCAGGCCTACGTTGGAAAAGGAAATATCTTCCCATAACAACTAGACAGAAGCATTCTCAGAAACTAGTTTCTGATGTGTGTCCTCAACTAACACAGTTGAACATTTCTTTAGACAGAACAGTTTTGAAACACTCTTTTTGTGGAATCTGCAAGTGGCTATTTGGCTAGATTTGAGGATTTCGTTGGAAACGGGATTACATATAAAAAGCAGACAGCAGCATTCTCAGAAAGTTCTTTGTGATGATTGCATTCAAGTCACAGAATTGAACATTCCCTTTCACAGAGCAGGTTTGAAACACTCTTTTTGTAGTGTGTGTAAGTGGACATTTGGAGCACTTTCCGGCCTAAGGTGAAAAAGGAAATATCTTCCCATAAAAACTAGACAGAAGCACTCTCAGAAACTTACTCGTGATGTGTGTCCTCAACTAAAGGAGTAGAACCTTTGTTTTCATAGAGAAGTTTTGAAACGCTCTTTTTGTGGAATCTGCAAGTGGATATTTGGCTAGTTTGGAGGATTTCGTTGGAAGCGGGAATTCATACAAATTGCAGACTGCAGCGTTCTGAGAAACATCTTTGTGATGTTTGTATTCAGGACACAGAGTTGAACATTCCCTATCATAGAGCAGGTTGGAATCACTCCTTTTGTAGTATCTGGAAGTGGACATTTGGAGCGCTTTCAGGCCTATGTTGGAAAAGGAAATATCTTCCCATAACAACTAGACAGAAGCATTCTCAGAAACTTATTTGAGATGTGTGTACTCAACTAAGAGAATTGAACCACCGTTTTGAAGGAGCAGTTTTGAAACACTCTTTTTCTGGAATCTGCAAGTGGATATTTGGCTAGCTTTGGGGATTTCGCTGGAGGCGGGAATACATATAAAAAGCACACAGCAGCGTTCTGAGAAACTGCTTTCTGATGTTTGCATTCAAGTCAAAAGTTGAACACTCCCTTTCATAGAGCAGTCCTGAAACACTCCTTTTGTAGTATCTGGAACTGGACTTTTGGAGCGCTTTCAGGGCTAAGGTGAAAAAGGAAATATCTTCCCATAAAAACTGGACAGAAGCATTCTCAGAAACTTGTTTATGCTGTATCTACTCAACTAACAAAGTTGAACCTTTCTTTTGATAGAGCAGTTTTGAAATGCTCTTTTTGTGGAATCTGCAAGTGGATATTTGGCTAGTTTTGAGGATTTCGCTGGAAGCGGGAATTCATACAAATTGCAGACTGCAGCGTTCAGAGAAACATCTTTGTGATGTTTGTATTCAGGACAGAGAGTTGAACATTCCCTATCATAGAGCAGGTTGGAATCACTCCTTTTGTAGTATCTGGAAGTGGACATTTGGAGCACTTTCCGGCCTAAGGTGAAAAAGGAAATATCTTCCCATAAAAACTAGACAGAAGCATTCTCAGAAACTTATTTGAGATGTGTGTACTCAACTAAGAGAATTGAACCACCGTTTTGAAGGAGCAGTTTTGAAACACTCTTTTTCTGGAATCTGCAAGTGGATATTTGGCTAGCTTTGGGGATTTCGCTGGAAGCGGGAATACATATAAAAAGCACACAGCAGCGTTCTGAGAAACTGCTTTCTGATGTTTGCATTCAAGTCAAAAGTTGAACACTCCCTTTCATAGAGCAGTCTTGAAACACCCCTTTTGTAGTATCTGGAACTGGACTTTTGGAGCGATTTCAGGGCTAAGGTGAAAAAGGAAATATCTTCCCATAAAAACTGGACAGAAGCATTCTCAGAAACTTGTTTATGCTGTATCTACTCAACTAACAAAGTTGAACCTTTCTTTTGATAGAGCAGTTTTGAAATGGTCTTTTTGTGGAATCTGCAAGTGGATATTTGGCTAGTTTTGAGGATTTCGTTGGAAGCGGGAATTCATACAAATTTGCAGACTGCAGCGTTCTGAGAAACATCTTTGTGATGTTTGTATTCAGGACACAGAGTTGAACATTCCCTATCATAGAGCAGGTTGGAATCACTCCTTTTGTAGTATCTGGAAGTGGACATTTGGAGCGCTTTCAGGCCTATTTTGGAAAGGGAAATATCTTCCCGTAACAACTATGCAGAAGCATTCTCAGAAACTTGTTTGTGATGTGTGCCCTCTACTGACAGAGTTGAACCTTTCTTTTCATAGAGCAGTTTTGAAACACTCTTTTTGTAGAATCTGCAAGAGGATATTTGCATAGCTTTGAGGATTTCGTGGGAAACGGGATTGTCTTCAGGTAAAATCTAGACAGAAGCATTCTCAGAAACTTCTTTGGGATGTTTGCATTCAAGTCACAGAGTAGAACATTCCCTTTGGTAGAGCAGGTTTGAAACACTCTTTTTGTAGTATCTGGAAGTGGACATTTGGAGCGCTTTCAGGCCCATGTTGGAAAGGGAAATATCTTCCCGTAACAACTAGGCAGAAGCATTCTCAGAAACTTATTTGAGATGTGTGTACTCAACTAAGAGAATTGAACCACCGTTTTGAAGGAGCAGTTTTGAAACACTCTTTTTCTGGAATCTGCAAGAGTATATTTGCCTAGCCATGAGGATTTCGTTGGAAACGGGATTGTCTTCAGAGAAAATCTAGACAGAAGCATTCTCAGAAACTTCTTTGGGATGCTTGCATTCCAGTCACAGAGTAGAACATTCCCTTTGGTAGAGCAGGTTTGAAACACTCTTTTTTTAGTATCTGGAAGTGGACATTTGGAGCGCTTTCAGGCCTACGTTGGAAAAGAAAATATCTTCCCATAACAACTAGACAGAAGCATTCTCAGAAACTAGTTTCTGATGTGTGTCCTCAACTAACACAGTTGAACATTTCTTTAGACAGAACAGTTTTGAAACACTCTTTTTGTGGAATCTGCAAGTGGCTATTTGGCTAGATTTGAGGATTTCGTTGGAAACGGGATTACATATAAAAAGCAGTCAGCAGCATTCTCAGAAAGTTCTTTGTGATGATTGCATTCAAGTCACAGAATTGAACATTCCCTTTCACAGAGCAGGTTTGAAACACTCTTTTTGTAGTGTGTGTAAGTGGACATTTGGAGCACTTACCGGCCTAAGGTGAAAAAGGAAATATCTTCCCATAAAAACTAGACAGAAGCATTCTCAGAAACTTACTCGTGATGTGTGTCCTCAACTAAAGGAGTAGAACCTTTCTTTTCATAGAGAAGTTTTGAAACGCTCTTTTTGTGGAATCTGCAAGTGGATATTTGGCTAGTTTTGAGGATTTCGTTGGAAGCGGGAATTCATACAAATTGCAGACTGCAGCGTTCTGAGAAACATCTTTGTGATGTTTGTATTCAGGACACAGAGTTGAACATTCCCTATCATAGAGCAGGTTGGAATCACTCCTTTTGTAGTATCTGGAAGTGGACATTTGGAGCGCTTTCAGGCCCTATGTTGGAAAAGGAAATATCTTCCCATAACAACTAGACAGAAGCATTCTCAGAAACTTATTTGAGATGTGTGTACTCAACTAAGAGAATTGAACCACCGTTTTGAAGGAGCAGTTTTGAAACACTCTTTTTCTGGAATCTGCAAGTGGATATTTGGCTAGCTTTGGGGATTTCGCTGGAAGCGGGAATACATATAAAAAGCACACAGCAGCGTTCTGAGAAACTGCTTTCTGATGTTTGCATTCAAGTCAAAAGTTGAACACTCCCTTTCATAGAGCAGTCCTGAAACACTCCTTTTGTAGTATCTGGAACTGGACTTTTGGAGCGCTTTCTGGGCTAAGGTGAAAAAGGAAATATCTTCCCATAAAAACTGGACAGAAGCATTCTCAGAAACTTGTTTATGCTGTATCTACTCAACTAACAAAGTTGAACCTTTCTTTTGATAGAGCAGTTTTGAAATGCTCTTTTTGTGGAATCTGCAAGTGGATATTTGGCTAGTTTTGAGGATTTCGTTGGAAGCGGGAATTCATACAAATTGCAGACTGCAGCGTTCTGAGAAACATCTTTGTGATGTTTGTATTCAGGACACAGAGTTGAACATCCCCTATCATAGAGCAGGTTTGAATCACTCCTTTTGTAGTATCTGGAAGTGGACATTTGGAGCGCTTTCAGGCCTATGTTGGAAAAGGAAATATCTTCCCATAACAACTAGACAGAAGCATTCTCAGAAACTTATTTGAGATGTGTGTACTCAACTAAGAGAATTGAACCACCGTTTTGAAGGAGCAGTTTTGAAACACTCTTTTTCTGGAATCTGCAAGTGGCTATTTGGCTAGCTTTGGGGATTTCGCTGGAAGCGGGAATACATATAAAAAGCACACAGCAGCGTTCTGAGAAACTGCTTTCTGATGTTTGCATTCAAGTCAAAAGTTGAACACTCCCTTTCATAGAGCAGTCCTGAAACACTCCTTTTGTAGTATCTGGAACTGGACTTTTGGAGCGCTTTCAGGGCTAAGGTGAAAAAGGAAATATCTTCCCATAAAAACTGGACAGAAGCATTCTCAGAAACTTGTTTATGCTGTATCTACTCTACTAAAAAAGTTGAACTTTTCTTTTGATAGAGCAGTTTTGAAATGCTCTTTTTGTGGAATCTGCAAGTGGATATTTGGCTAGATTTGAGGATTTCGTTGGAAGCTGGAATACATACAAATTGCAGACTGCAGCGTTCTGAGAAACATCTTTGTGATGTTTGTATTCAGGACACAGAGTTGAACATTCCCTATCATAGAGCAGGTTGGAATCACTCCTTTTGTAGTATCTGGAAGTGGACATTTGGAGCGCTTTCAGGCCTATGTTGAAAAAGGAAATATCTTCCCATAACAACTAGACACAAGTATTCTCAGAAACTTGTTTGTGATGTGTGCCCTCTACTGACAGAGTTGAACCTTTCTTTTCATAGAGCAGTTTTGAAACACTCTTTTTGTAGAATCTGCAAGAGGATATTTGCATAGCTTTGAGGATTTCGTGGGAAACGGGATTGTCTTCAGGTAAAATCTAGACAGAAGCATTCTCAGAAACTTCTTTGGGATGTTTGCATTCAAGTCACAGAGTAGAACATTCCCTTTGGTAGAGCAGGTTTGAAACACTCTTTTTGTAGTATCTGGAAGTGGACATTTGGAGCGCTTTCAGGCCCATGTTGGAAAGGGAAATATCTTCCCGTAACAACTAGGCAGAAGCATTCTCAGAAACTTATTTGAGATGTGTGTACTCAACTAAGAGAATTGAACCACCGTTTTGAAGGAGCAGTTTTGAAACACTCTTTTTCTGGATTCTGCAAGAATATATTTGCCTAGCCTTGAGGATTTCGTTGGAAACGGGATTGTCTTCAGATATAATCTAGACAGAAGCATTCTCAGAAACTTCTTTGGGATGTTTGCATTCAAGTCACAGAGTAGAACATTCTCTTTGGTAGAGCAGGTTTGAAACACTCTTTTTTTAGTATATGGAAGTGGACATTTGGAGCGCTTTCAGGCCTACTTTGGAAAAGGAAATATCTTCCCATAACAACTAGACAGAAGCATTCTCAGAAACTAGTTTCTGATGTGTGTCCTCAACTAACACAGTTGTACATTTCTTTAGACAGAACAGTTTTGAAACACTCTTTTTGTGGAATCTGCAAGTGGATATTTGGCTAGATTTGAGGATTTCGTTGGAAACGGGATTACATATAAAAAGCAGTCAGCAGCATTCTCAGAAAGTTCTTTGTGATGATTGCATTCAAGTCACAGAATTGAACATTCCCTTTCACAGAGCAGGTTTGAAACACTCTTTTTGTAGTGTGTGTAAGTGGACATTTGGAGCACTTTCCGGCCTAAGGTGAAAAAGGAAATATCTTCCCATAAAAACTAGACAGAAGCATTCTCAGAAACTTACTCGTGATGTGTGTCCTCAACTAAAGGAGTAGAACCTTTCTTTTCATAGAGAAGTTTTGAAACGCTCTTTTTGTGGAATCTGCAAGTGGATATTTGGCTAGTTTGGAGGATTTCGTTGGAAGCGGGAATTCATACAAATTGCAGACTGCAGCGTTCTGAGAAACATCTTTGTGATGTTTGTATTCAGGACACAGAGTTGAACATTCCCTATCATAGAGCAGGTTTGAATCACTCCTTTTGTAGTATCTGGAAGTGGACATTTGGAGCGCTTTCAGGCCTATGTTGGAAAAGGAAATATCTTCCCATAACAACTAGACAGAAGCATTCTCAGAAACTTATTTGAGATGTGTGTACTCAACTAAGAGAATTGAACCACCGTTTTGAAGGAGCAGTTTTGAAACTCTCTTTTTCTGGAATCTGCAAGTGGATATTTGGCTAGCTTTGGGGATTTCGCTGGAAGCGGGAATACATATAAAAAGCACACAGCAGCGTTCTGAGAAACTGCTTTCTGATGTTTGCATTCAAGTCAAAAGTTGAACACTCCCTTTCATAGAGCAGTCCTGAAACACCCCTTTTGTAGTATCTGGAACTGGACTTTTGGAGCGATTTCAGGGCTAAGGTGAAAAAGGAAATATCTTCCCATAAAAACTGGACAGAAGCATTCTCAGAAACTTGTTTATGCTGTATCTACTCAACTAACAAAGTTGAACCTTTCTTTTGATAGAGCAGTTTTGAAATGGTCTTTTTGTGGAATCTGCAAGTGGATATTTGGCTAGTTTTGAGGATTTCGTTGGAAGCGGGAATTCATACAAATTGCAGACTGCAGCGTTCTGAGAAACATCTTTGTGATGTTTGTATTCAGGACACAGAGTTGAACATTCCCTATCATAGAGCAGGTTGGAATCACTCCTTTTGTAGTATCTGGAAGTGGACATTTGGAGCGCTTTCAGGCCTATTTTGGAAAGGGAAATATCTTCCCGTAACAACTATGCAGAAGCATTCTCAGAAACTTGTTTGTGATGTGTGCCCTCTACTGACAGAGTTGAACCTTTCTTTTCATAGAGCAGTTTTGAAACACTCTTTTTGTAGAATCTGCAAGAGGATATTTGCATAGCTTTGAGGATTTCGTGGGAAACGGGATTGTCTTCAGGTAAAATCTAGACAGAAGCATTCTCAGAAACTTCTTTGGGATGTTTGCATTCAAGTCACAGAGTAGAACATTCCCTTTGGTAGAGCAGGTTTGAAACACTCTTTTTGTAGTATCTGGAAGTGGACATTTGGAGCGCTTTCAGGCCCATGTTGGAAAGGGAAATATCTTCCCGTAACAACTAGGCAGAAGCATTCTCAGAAACTTATTTGAGATGTGTGTACTCAACTAAGAGAATTGAACCACCGTTTTGAAGGAGCAGTTTTGAAACACTCTTTTTCTGGAATCTGCAAGAGTATATTTGCCTAGCCTTGAGGATTTCGTTGGAAACGGGATTGTCTTCAGAGAAAATCTAGACAGAAGCATTCTCAGAAACTTCTTTGGGATGCTTGCATTCAAGTCACAGAGTAGAACATTCCCTTTGGTAGAGCAGGTTTGAAACACTCTTTTCGTAGTATCTGGAAGTGGACATTTGGAGCGCTTTCAGGCCTACGTTGGAAAAGGAAATATCTTCCCATAACAACTAGACAGAAGCATTCTCAGAAACTAGTTTCTGATGTGTGTCCTCAACTAACACAGTTGAACATTTCTTTAGACAGAACAGTTTTGAAACACTCTTTTTGTGGAATCTGCAAGTGGCTATTTGGCTAGATTTGAGGATTTCGTTGGAAACGGGATTACATATAAAAAGCAGTCAGCAGCATTCTCAGAAAGTTCTTTGTGATGATTGCATTCAAGTCACAGAATTGAACATTCCCTTTCACAGAGCAGGTTTGAAACACTCTTTTTGTAGTGTGTGTAAGTGGACATTTGGAGCACTTACCGGCCTAAGGTGAAAAAGGAAATAATCTTCCCATAAAAACTAGACAGAAGCATTCTCAGAAACTTACTCGTGATGTGTGTCCTCAACTAAAGGAGTAGAACCTTTCTTTTCATAGAGAAGTTTTGAAACGCTCTTTTTGTGGAATCTGCAAGTGGATATTTGGCTAGTTTTGAGGATTTCGTTGGAAGCGGGAATTCATACAAATTGCAGACTGCAGCGTTCTGAGAAACGTCTTTGTGATGTTTGTATTCAGGACACAGAGTTGAACATTCCCTATCATAGAGAAGGCTGGAATCACTCCTTTTGTAGTATCTGGAAGTCGACATTTGGAGCGCTTTCAGGCCTATGTTGAAAAAGGAAATATCTTCCCATAACAACTAGACAGAAGCATTCTCAGAAACTTATTTGAGATGTGTGTACTCAACTAAGAGAATTGAACCACCGTTTTGAAGGAGCAGTTTTGAAACACTCTTTTTCTGGAATCTGCAAGTGGATATTTGGCTAGCTTTGGGGATTTCGCTGGAAGCGGGAATACATATAAAAAGCACACAGCAGCGTTCTGAGAAACTGCTTTCTGATGTTTGCATTCAAGTCAAAAGTTGAACACTCCCTTTCATAGAGCAGTCCTGAAATACTCCTTTTGTAGTATCTGGAACTGGAATTTTGGAGCGCTTTCAGGGCTAAGGTGAAAAAGGAAATATCTTCCCATAAAAACTGGACAGAAGCATTCTCAGAAACTTGTTTATGCTGTATCTACTCAACTAACAAAGTTGAACCTTTCTTTTGATAGAGCAGTTTTGAAATGCTCTTTTTGTGGAATCTGCAAGTGGATATTTGGCTAGTTTTGAGGATTTCGTTGGAAGCGGGAATTCATACAAATTGCAGACTGCAGCGTTCTGAGAAACATCTTTGTGATGTTTGTATTCAGGACACAGAGTTGAACATTCCCTATCATAGAGCAGGTTGGAATCACTCCTTTTGTAGTATCTGGAAGTGGACATTTGGAGCGCTTTCAGGCCTATTTTGGAAAGGGAAATATCTTCCCGTAACAACTATGCAGAAGCATTCTCAGAAACTTGTTTGTGATGTGTGCCCTCTACTGACAGAGTTGAACCTTTCTTTTCATAGAGCAGTTTTGAAACACTCTTTTTGTAGAATCTGCAAGAGGATATTTGCATAGCTTTGAGGATTTCGTGGGAAACGGGATTGTCTTCAGGTAAAATCTAGACAGAAGCATTCTCAGAAACTTCTTTGGGATGTTTGCATTCAAGTCACAGAGTAGAACATTCCCTTTGGTAGAGCAGGTTTGAAACACTCTTTTTGTAGTATCTGGAAGTGGACATTTGGAGCGCTTTCAGGCCCATGTTGGAAAAGGAAATATCTTCCCGTAGCAACTAGGCAGAAGCATTCTCAGAAACTTATTTGAGATGTGTGTACTCAACTAAGAGAATTGAACCACCGTTTTGAAGGAGCAGTTTTGAAACACTCTTTTTCTGGAATCTGCAAGAGTATATTTGCCTAGCCTTGAGGATTTCGTTGGAAACGGGATTGTCTTCAGAGAAAATCTAGACAGAAGCATTCTCAGAAACTTCTTTGGGATGTTTGCATTCAAGTCACAGAGTAGAACATTCCCTTTGGTAGAGCAGGTTTGAAACACTCTTTTTTTAGTATATGGAAGTGGACATTTTGATCGCTTTCAGGCCTACGTTGGAAAAGGAAATATCTTCCCATAACAACTAGACAGAAGCATTCTCAGAAACTAGTTTCTGATGTGTGTCCTCAACTAACACAGTTGAACATTTCTTTAGACAGAACAGTTTTGAAACACTCTTTTTGTGGAATCTGCAAGTGGCTATTTGGCTAGATTTGAGGATTTCGTTGGAAACGGGATTACATATAAAAAGCAGTCAGCAGCATTCTCAGAAAGTTCTTTGTGATGATTGCATTCAAGTCACAGAATTGAACATTCCCTTTCACAGAGCAGGTTTGAAAGACTCTTTTTGTAGTGTGTGTAAGTGGACATTTGGAGCACTTACCGGCCTAAGGTGAAAAAGGAAATATCTTCCCATAAAAACTAGACAGAAGCATTCTCAGAAACTTACTCGTGATGTGTGTCCTCAACTAAAGGAGTAGAACCTTTCTTTTCATAGAGAAGTTTTGAAACGCTCTTTTTGTGGAATCTGCAAGTGGATATTTGGCTAGTTTTGAGGATTTCGTTGGAAGCGGGAATTCATACAAATTGCAGACTGCAGCATTCTCAGAAACATCTTTGTGATGTTTGTATTCAGGACACAGAGTTGAACATTCCCTATCATAGAGCAGGTTTGAATCACTCCTTTTGTAGTATCTGGAAGTGGACATTTGGAGCGCTTTCAGGCCTATGTTGGAAAAGGAAATATCTTCCCATAACAACTAGACAGAAGCATTCTCAGAAACTTATTTGAGATGTGTGTACTCAACTAAGAGAATTGAACCACCGTTTTGAAGGAGCAGTTTTGAAACACTCTTTTTCTGGAATCTGCAAGTGGATATTTGGCTAGCTTTGGGGATTTCGCTGGAGGCGGGAATACATATAAAAAGCACACAGCAGCGTTCTGAGAAACTGCTTTCTGATGTTTGCATTCAAGTCAAAAGTTGAACACTCCCTTTCATAGTGCAGTCTGAAACACTCCTTTTGTAGTATCTGGAACTGGACTTTTGGAGCGCTTTCAGGGCTAAGGTGAAAAAGGAAATATCTTCCCATAAAAACTGGACAGAATCATTCTCAGAAACTTGTTTATGCTGTATCTACTCAACTAACATAGTTGAACCTTTCTTTTGATAGAGCAGTTTTGAAATGCTCTTTTTGTGGAATCTGCAAGTGGATATTTGGCTAGTTTGGAGGATTTCGTTGGAAGCGGGAATTCATACAAATTGCAGAATGCCAGCGTTCTGAGAAACATCTTTGTGATGTTTGTATTCAGGACACAGCAGATGAACATTCCCTATCATAGAGCAGGTTGGAATCACTCCTTTTGTAGTATCTGGAAGTGGACATTTGGAGCGCTTTCAGGCCTATGTTGAAAAAGGAAATATCTTCCCATAACAACTAGACACAGCATTCTCAGAAACTTGTTTGTGATGTGTGCCCTCTACTGACAGAGTTGAACCTTTCTTTTCATAGAGCAGTTTTGAAACACTCTTTTTGTAGAATCTGCAAGAGGATATTTGCATAGCTTTGAGGATTTCGTGGGAAACGGGATTGTCTTCAGGTAAAATCTAGACAGAAGCATTCTCAGAAACTTCTTTGGGATGTTTGCATTCAAGTCACAGAGCAGAACATTCCCTTTGGTAGAGCAGGTTTGAAACACTCTTTTTGTAGTATCTGGAAGTGGACATTTGGAGCGCTTTCAGGCCTATGTTGGAAAGGGAAATATCTTCCCGTAACAACTAGGCAGAAGCATTCTCAGAAACTTATTTGAGATGTGTGTACTCAACTAAGAGAATTGAACCACCGTTTTGAAGGAGCAGTTTTGAAACACTCTTTTTCTGGAATCTGCAAGAGGATATTTGCCTAGCCTTGAGGATTTCGTTGGAAACGGGATTGTCTTCAGATCAAATCTAGACAGAAGCATTCTCAGAAACTTCTTTGGGATGTTTGCATTCAAGTCACAGAGTAGAACATTCCCTTTGGTAGAGCAGGTTTGAAACACTCTTTTTTTAGTATATGGAAGTGGACATTTGGAGCGCTTTCAGGCCTACGTTGGAAAAGGAAATATCTTCCCATAACAACTAGACAGAAGCATTCTCAGAAACTAGTTTCTGATGTGTGTCCTCAACTAACACAGTTGAACATTTCTTTAGACAGAACAGTTTTGAAACACTCTTTTTGTGGAATCTGCAAGTGGCTATTTGGCTAGATTTGAGGATTTCGTTGGAAACGGGATTACATATAAAAAGCAGACAGCAGCATTCTCAGAAAGTTCTTTGTGATGATTGCATTCAAGTCACAGAATTGAACATTCCCTTTCACAGAGCAGTTTTGAAACACTCTTTTTATAGTGTGTGTAAGTGGACATTTGGAGCACTTTCCGGCCTAAGGTGAAAAAGGAAATATCTTCCCATAAAAACTAGACAGAAGCATTCTCAGAAACTTACTCGTGATGTGTGTCCTCAACTAAAGGAGTAGAACCTTTCTTTTCATAGAGAAGTTTTGAAACGCTCTTTTTGTGGAATCTGCAAGTGGATATTTGGCTAGTTTGGAGGATTTCGTTGGAAGCGGGAATTCATACAAATTGCAGACTGCAGCGTTCTGAGAAACATCTTTGTGATGTTTGTATTCAGGACACAGAGTTGAACATTCCCTATCATAGAGCAGGTTTGAATCACTCCTTTTGTAGTATCTGGAAGTGGACATTTGGAGCGCTTTCAGGCCTATGTTGGAAAAGGAAATATCTTCCCATAACAACTAGACAGAAGCATTCTCAGAAACTTATTTGAGATGTGTGTACTCAACTAAGAGAATTGAACCACCGTTTTGAAGGAGCAGTTTTGAAACACTCTTTTTCTGGAATCTGCAAGTGGATATTTGGCTAGCTTTGGGGATTTCGCTGGAAGCGGGAATACATATAAAAAGCACACAGCAGCGTTCTGAGAAACTGCTTTCTGATGTTTGCATTCAAGTCAAAAGTTGAACACTCCCTTTCATAGAGCAGTCTTGAAACACCCCTTTTGTAGTATCTGGAACTGGACTTTTGGAGCGATTTCAGGGCTAAGGTGAAAAAGGAAATATCTTCCCATAAAAACTGGACAGAAGCATTCTCAGAAACTTGTTTATGCTGTATCTACTCAACTAACAAAGTTGAACCTTTCTTTTGATAGAGCAGTTTTGAAATGGTCTTTTTGTGGAATCTGCAAGTGGATATTTGGCTAGTTTTGAGGATTTCGTTGGAAGCGGGAATTCATACAAATTGCAGACTGCAGCGTTCTGAGAAACATCTTTGTGATGTTTGTATTCAGGACACAGAGTTGAACATTCCCTATCATAGAGCAGGTTGGAATCACTCCTTTTGTAGTATCTGGAAGTGGACATTTGGAGCGCTTTCAGGCCTATTTTGGAAAGGGAAATATCTTCCCGTAACAACTATGCAGAAGCATTCTCAGAAACTTGTTTGTGATGTGTGCCCTCTACTGACAGAGTTGAACCTTTCTTTTCATAGAGCAGTTTTGAAACACTCTTTTTGTAGAATCTGCAAGAGGATATTTGCATAGCTTTGAGGATTTCGTGGGAAACGGGATTGTCTTCAGGTAAAATCTAGACAGAAGCATTCTCAGAAACTTCTTTGCGATGTTTGCATTCAAGTCACAGAGTAGAACATTCCCTTTGGTAGAGCAGGTTTGAAACACTCTTTTTGTAGTATCTGGAAGTGGACATTTGGAGCGCTTTCAGGCCCATGTTGGAAAGGGAAATATCTTCCCGTAACAACTAGGCAGAAGCATTCTCAGAAACTTATTTGAGATGTGTGTACTCAACTAAGAGCATTGAACCACCGTTTTGAAGGAGCAGTTTGAAACCCTCTTTTTCTGGAATCTGCAAGAGTATATTTGCCTAGCCTTGAGGATTTCGTTGGAAACGGGATTGTCTTCAGATAAAATCTAGACAGAAGCATTCTCAGAAACTTCTTTGGCATGTTTGCATTCAAGTCACAGAGTAGAACATTCCCTTTGGTAGAGCAGGTTTGAAACACTCTTTTTTTAGTATATGGAAGTGGACATTTGGAGCGCTTTCAGGCCTAAGTTGGAAAAGGAAATATCTTCCCATAACAACTAGACAGAAGCATTCTCAGAAACTAGTTTCTGATGTGTGTCCTCAACTAACACAGTTGTACATTTCTTTAGACAGAACAGTTTTGAAACACTCTTTTTGTGGAATCTGCAAGTTGATATTGGGCTAGATTTGAGGATTTCGTTGGAAACGGGATTACATATAAAAAGCAGTCAGCAGCATTCTCAGAAAGTTCTTTGTGATGATTGCATTCAAGTCACAGAATTGAACATTCCCTTTCACAGAGCAGGTTTGAAACACTCTTTTTGTAATGTGTGTAAGTGGACATTTGGAGCGCTTTCCGGCCTAAGGTGAAAAAGGACATATCTTACCATAAAAACCAGACAGAAGCATTCTCAGAAACTTACTCGTGATGTGTGTCCTCAACTAAAGGAGTAGAACCTTTCTATTCATAGAGAAGTTTTGAAACGCTCTTTTTGTGGAATCTCCAAGTGGATATTTGGCTAGTTTTGAGGATTTCGTTGGAAGCGGGAATTCATACAAATTGCAGACTGCAGCGTTCTGAGAAACATCTTTGTGATGTTTGTATTCAGGACACAGAGTTGAACATTCCCTATCATAGAGCAGGTTTGAATCACTCATTTTGTAGTATCTGGAAGTGGACATTTGGAGCGCTTTCAGGCCTATGTTGGAAAAGGAAATATCTTCCCATAACAACTAGACAGAAGCATTCTCAGAAACTTATTTGAGATGTGTGTACTCAACTAAGAGAATTGAACCACCGTTTTGAAGGAGCAGTTTTGAAACACTCTTTTTCTGGAATCTGCAAGTGGATATTTGGCTAGCTTTGGGGATTTCGCTGGAAGCGGGAATACATATAAAAAGCACACAGCAGCGTTCTGAGAAACATCTTTGTGATGTTTGTATTCAGGACACAGAGATGAACATTCCCTATCATAGAGCAGGTTGGAATCACTCCTTTTGTAGTATCTGGAAGTGGACATATGGAGCGCTTTCAGGCCTATGTTGAAAAAGGAAATATCTTCCCATAACAACTAGACACAAGCATTCTCAGAAACTTGTTTGTGATGTGTGCCCTCTACTGACAGAGTTGAACCTTTCTTTTCATAGAGCAGTTTTGAAACACTCTTTTATAGAATCCGCAAGAGGATATTTGGATAGCTTTGAGGATTTCGTGGGAAACGGGATTGTCTTCAGGTAAAATCTAGACAGAAGCATTCTCAGAAACTTCTTTGGGATGTTTGCATTCAAGTCACAGAGTAGAACATTCCCTTTGGTAGAGCAGGTTTGAAACACTCTTTTTGTAGTATCTGGAAGTGGACATTTGGAGCGCTTTCAGGCCCATGTTGGAAAGGGAAATATCTTCCCGTAACAACTAGGCAGAAGCATTCTCAGAAACTTATTTGAGATGTGTGTACTCAACTAAGAGAATTGAACCACCGTTTTGAAGGAGCAGTTTTGAAACACTCTTTTTCTGGAATCTGCAAGAGTATATTTGCCTAGCCTTGAGGATTTCGTTGGAAACGGGATTGTCTTCAGAGAAAATCTAGACAGAAGCATTCTCAGAAACTTTTTTGGGATGTTTGCATTCAAGTCACAGAGTAGAACATTCCCTTTGGTAGAGCAGGTTTGAAACACTCTTTTTTTAGTATATGGAAGTGGACATTTGGAGCGCTTCAGGCCTACGTTGGAAAAGGAAATATCTTCCCATAACAACTAGACAGAAAGCATTCTCAGAAACTAGTTTCTGATGTGTGTCCTCAACTAACACAGTTGAACATTTCTTTAGACAGAACAGTTTTGAAACACTCTTTTTGTGGAATCTGCAAGTGGCTATTTGGCTAGATTTGAGGATTTCGTTGGAAACGGGATTACATATAAAAAGCAGTCAGAGCATTCTCAGAAAGTTCTTTGTGATGATTGCATTCAAGTCACAGAATTGAACATTCCCTTTCACAGAGCAGGTTTGAAACACTCTTTTTGTAGTGTGTGTAAGTGGACATTTGGAGCACTTACCGGCCTAAGGTGAAAAAGGAAATATCTTCCCATAAAAACTAGACAGAAGCATTCTCAGAAACTTACTCGTGATGTGTGTCCTCAACTAAAGGAGTAGAACCTTTCTTTTCATAGAGAAGTTTTGAAACGCTCTTTTTGTGGAATCTGCAAGTGGATATTTGGCTAGTTTTGAGGATTTCGTTGGAAGCGGGAATTCATACAAATTGCAGACTGCAGCGTTCTGAGAAACATCTTTGTGATGTTTGTATTCAGGACACAGAGTTGAACATTCCCTATCATAGAGCAGGTTGGAATCACTCCTTTTGTAGTATCTGGAAGTGGACATTTGGAGCGCTTTCAGGCCTATGTTGGAAAAGGAAATATCTTCCCATAACAACTAGACAGAAGCATTCTCAGAAACTTATTTGAGATGTGTGTACTCAACTAAGAGAATTGAACCACCGTTTTGAAGGAGCAGTTTTGAAACTCTCTTTTTCTGGAATCTGCAAGTGGATATTTGGCTAGCTTTGGGGATTTCGCTGGAAGCGGGAATACATATAAAAAGCACACAGCAGCGTTCTGAGAAACTGCTTTCTGATGTTTGCATTCAAGTCAAAAGTTGAACACTCCCTTTCATAGAGCAGTCTTGAAACACCCCTTTTGTAGTATCTGGAACTGGACTTTTGGAGCGATTTCAGGGCTAAGGTGAAAAAGGAAATATCTTACCATAAAAACTGGACAGAAGCATTCTCAGAAACTTGTTTATGCTGTATCTACTCAACTAACAAAGTTGAACCTTTCTTTTGATAGAGCAGTTTTGAAATGGTCTTTTTGTGGAATCTGCAAGTGGATATTTGGCTAGTTTTGAGGATTTCGTTGGAAGCGGGAATTCATACAAATTGCAGACTGCAGCGTTCTGAGAAACATCTTTGTGATGTTTGTATTCAGGACACAGAGTTGAACATTCCCTATCATAGAGCAGGTTGGAATCACTCCTTTTGTAGTATCTGGAAGTGGACATTTGGAGCGCTTTCAGGCCTATGTTGGAAAAGGAAATATCTTCCCATAACAACTAGACAGAAGCATTCTCAGAAACTTATTTGAGATGTGTGTACTCAACTAAGAGAATTGAACCACCGTTTTGAAGGAGCAGTTTTGAAACTCTCTTTTTCTGGAATCTGCAAGTGGATATTTGGCTAGCTTTGGGGATTTCGCTGGAAGCGGGAATACATATAAAAAGCACACAGCAGCGTTCTGAGAAACTGCTTTCTGATGTTTGCATTCAAGTCAAAAGTTGAACACTCCCTTTCATAGAGCAGTCTTGAAACACCCCTTTTGTAGTATCTGGAACTGGACTTTTGGAGCGATTTCAGGGCTAAGGTGAAAAAGGAAATATCTTCCCATAAAAACTGGACAGAAGCATTCTCAGAAACTTGGTTATGCTGTATCTACTCAACTAACAAAGTTGAACCTTTCTTTTGATAGAGCAGTTTTGAAATGGTCTTTTTGTGGAATCTGCAAGTGGATATTTGGCTAGTTTTGAGGATTTCGTTGGAAGCGGGAATTCATACAAATTGCAGACTGCAGCGTTCTGAGAAACATCTTTGTGATGTTTGTATTCAGGACAGAGAGTTGAACATTCCCTATCATAGAGCAGGTTGGAATCACTCCTTTTGTAGTATCTGGAAGTGGACATTTGGAGCGCTTTCAGGCCTATTTTGGAAAGGGAAATATCTTCCCGTAACAACTATGCAGAAGCATTCTCAGAAACTTGTTTGTGATGTGTGCCCTCTACTGACAGAGTTGAACCTTTCTTTTCATAGAGCAGTTTTGAAACACTCTTTTTGTAGAATCTGCAAGAGGATATTTGCATAGCTTTGAGGATTTCGTGGGAAACGGGATTGTCTTCAGGTAAAATCTAGACAGAAGCATTCTCAGAAACTTCTTTGGGATGTTTGCATTCAAGTCACAGAGTAGAACATTCCCTTTGGTAGAGCAGGTTTGAAACCCTCTTTTTGTAGTATCTGGAAGTGGACATTTGGAGCGCTTTCAGGCCCATGTTGGAAAGGGAAATATCTTCCCGTAACAACTAGGCAGAAGCATTCTCAGAAACTTATTTGAGATGTGTGTACTCAACTAAGAGAATTTAACCAACGTTTTGAAGGAGCAGTTTTGAAACACTCTTTTTCTGGAATCTGCAAGAGTATATTTGCCTAGCCGTGAGAATTTCGTTGGAAACGGGATTGTCTTCAGATAAAATCTAGACAGAAGCATTCTCAGAAACTTCTTTGGGATGTTTGCATTCAAGTCACAGAGTAGAACATTCCCTTTGGTAGAGCAGGTTTGAAACACTCTTTTTTTAGTATATGGAAGTGGACATTTGGAGCGCTTTCAGGCCTACGTTGGAAAAGGAAATATCTTCCCATAACAACTAGACAGAAGCATTCTCAGAAACTAGTTTCTGATGTGTGTCCTCAACTAACACAGTTGAACTTTTCTTTAGACAGAACAGTTTTGAAACAATCTTTTTGTGGAATCTGCAAGTGGATATTTGGCTAGATTTGAGGATTTCGTTGGAAACGGGATTACATATAAAAAGCAGACAGCAGCATTCTCAGAAAGTTCTTTGTGATGATTGCATTCAAATCACAGAATTGAACATTCCCTTTCACAGAGCAGGTTTGAAACCCTCTTTTTGTAGTGTGTGTAAGTGGACATTTGGAGCGCTTTCCGGCCTAAGGTGAAAAACGAAATATCTTCCCATAAAAACTAGACAGAAGCATTCTCAGAAACTTACTCGTGATGTGTGTCCTCAACTAAAGGAGTAGAACCTTTCTATTCATAGAGAAGTTTTGAAACGCTCTTTTTGTGGAATCTCCAAGTGGATATTTGGCTAGTTTTGAGGATTTCGTTGGAAGCGGGAATTCATACAAATTGCAGACTGCAGCGTTCTGAGAAACATCTTTGTGATGTTTGTATTCAGGACACAGAGATGAACATTCCCTATCATAGAGCAGGTTGGAATCACTCCTTTTGTAGTATCTGAAAGTGGACATTTGGAGCGCTTTCAGGCCTATGTTGAAAAAGGAAATATCTTCCCATAACAACTAGACACAAGCATTCTCAGAAACTTGTTTGTGATGTGTGCCCTCTACTGACAGAGTTGAACCTTTCTTTTCATAGAGCAGTTTTGAAACACTCTTTTTGTAGAATCCGCAAGAGGATATTTGCATAGCTTTGAGGATTTCGGGGGAAACGGGATTGTCTTCAGGTAAAATCTAGACAGAAGCATTCTCAGAAACTTCTTTGGGATGTTTGCATTCAAGTCACAGAGTAGAACATTCCCTTTGGTAGAGCAGGTTTGAAACACTCTTTTTGTAGTATCTGGAAGTGGACATTTGGAGCGCTTTCAGGCCCATGTTGGAAAGGGAAATATCTTCCCGTAACAACTAGGCAGAAGCATTCTCAGAAACTTATTTGAGATGTGTGTACTCAACTAAGAGAATTGAACCACCGTTTTGAAGGAGCAGTTTTGAAACACTCTTTTTCTGGAATCTGCAAGAGTATATTTGCTTAGCCTTGAGGATTTCGTTGGAAACGGGATTGTCTTCAGAGAAAATCTAGACAGAAGCATTCTCAGAAACTTCTTTGGGATGTTTGCATTCAAGTCACAGAGTAGAACATTCCCTTTGGTAGAGCAGGTTTGAAACACTCTTTTTGTAGTATCTGGAAGTGGACATTTGGAGCGCTTTCAGGCCTACGTTGGAAAAGGAAATATCTTCCCATAACAACTAGACAGAAGCATTCTCAGAAACTAGTTTCTGATGTGTGTCCTCAACTAACACAGTTGAACATTTCTTTAGACAGAACAGTTTTGAAACACTCTTTTTGTGGAATCTGCAAGTGGCTATTTGGCTAGATTTGAGGATTTCGTTGGAAACGGGATTACATATAAAAAGCCGTCAGCAGCATTCTCAGAAAGTTCTTTGTGATGATTGCATTCAAGTCACAGAATTGAACATTCCCTTTCACAGAGCAGGTTTGAAACACTCTTTTTGTAGTGTGTGTAAGTGGACATTTGGAGCACTTTCCGGCCTAAGGTGAAAAAGGAAATATCTTCCCATACAAACTAGACAGAAGCATTCTCAGAAACTTACTCGTGATGTGTGTCCTCAACTAAAGGAGTAGAACCTTTCTTTTCATAGAGAAGTTTTGAAACGCTCTTTTTGTGGAATCTGCAAGTGGATATTTGGCTAGTTTGGAGGATTTCGTTGGAAGCGGGAATTCATACAAATTGCAGACTGCAGCGTTCTGAGAAACATCTTTGTGATGTTTGTATTCAGGACACAGAGTTGAACATTCCCTATCATAGAGCAGGTTTGAATCACTCCTTTTGTAGTATCTGGAAGTGGACATTTGGAGCGCTTTCAGGCCTATGTTGGAAAAGGAAATATCTTCCCATAACAACTAGACAGAAGCATTCTCAGAAACTTATTTGAGATGTGTGTACTCAACTAAGAGAATTGAACCACCGTTTTGAAGGAGCAGTTTTGAAACACTCTTTTTCTGGAATCTGCAAGTGGATATTTGGCTAGCTTTGGGGGATTTCGCTGGAAGCGGGAATACATATAAAAAGCACACAGCAGCGTTCTGAGAAACTGCTTTCTGATGTTTGCATTCAAGTCAAAAGTTGAACACTCCCTTTCATAGAGCAGTCCTGAAACACTCCTTTTGTAGTATCTGGAACTGGACTTTTGGAGCGCTTTCAGGGCTAAGGTGAAAAAGGAAATATCTTCCCATAAAAACTGGACAGAAGCATTCTCAGAAACTTGTTTATGCTGTATCTACTCAACTAACAAAGTTGAACCTTTCTTTTGATAGAGCAGTTTTGAAATGCTCTTTTTGTGGAATCTGCAAGTGGATATTTGGCTAGTTTTGAGGATTTCGTTGGAAGCGGGAATTCATAAAAATTGCAGACTGCAGCGTTCTGAGAAACATCTTTGTGATGTTTGTATTCAGGACACAGAGTTGAACATTCCCTATCATAGAGCAGGTTGGAATCACTCCTTTTGTAGTATCTGGAAGTGGACATTTGGAGCGCTTTCAGGCCTATGTTGAAAAAGGAAATATCTTCCCATAACAACTAGACACAAGCATTCTCAGAAACTTGTTTGTGATGTGTGCCCTCTACTGACAGAGTTGAACCTTTCTTTTCATAGAGCAGTTTTGAAACACTCTTTTTGTAGAATCTGCAAGAGGATATTTGCATAGCTTTGAGGATTTCGTGGGAAACGGGATTGTCTTCAGGTAAAATCTAGACAGAAGCATTCTCAGAAACTTCTTTGGGATGTTTGCATTCAAGTCACAGAGTAGAACATTCCCTTTGGTAGAGCAGGTTTGAAACACTCTTTTTGTAGTATCTGGAAGTGGACATTTGGAGCGCTTTCAGGCTTATGTTGGAAAGGGAAATATCTTCCCGTAACAACTAGGCAGAAGCATTCTCAGAAACTTATTTGAGATGTGTGTACTCAACTAAGAGAATTGAACCACCGTTTTGAAGGAGCAGTTTTGAAACACTCTTTTTCTGGAATCTGCAAGAGGATATTTGCCTAGCCTTGAGGATTTCGTTGGAAACGGGATTGTCTTCAGATCAAATCTAGACAGAAGCATTCTCAGAAACTTCTTTGGGATGTTTGCATTCAAGTCACAGAGTAGAACATTCCCTTTGGTAGAGCAGCTTTGAAACACTCTTTTTTTAGTATATGGAAGTGGACATTTGGAGCGCTTTCAGGCCTACGTTGGAAAAGGAAATATCTTCCCATAACAACTAGACAGAAGCATTCTCAGAAACTAGTTTCTGATGTGTGTCCTCAACTAACACAGTTGAACATTTCTTTAGACAGAACAGTTTTGAAACACTCTTTTTGTGGAATCTGCAAGTGGCTATTTGGCTAGATTTGAGGATTTCGTTGGAAACGGGATTACATATAAAAAGCAGTCAGCAGCATTCTCAGAAAGTTCTTTGTGATGATTGCATTCAAGTCACAGAATTGAACATTCCCTTTCACAGAGCAGGTTTGAAACACTCTTTTTGTAGTGTGTGTAAGTGGACATTTGGAGCACTTACCGGCCTAAGGTGAAAAAGGAAATAATCTTCCCATAAAAACTAGACAGAAGCATTCTCAGAAACTTACTCGTGATGTGTGTCCTCAACTAAAGGAGTAGAACCTTTCTTTTCATAGAGAAGTTTTGAAACGCTCTTTTTGTGGAATCTGCAAGTGGATATTTGGCTAGTTTTGAGGATTTCGTTGGAAGCGGGAATTCATACAAATTGCAGACTGCAGCGTTCTGAGAAACATCTTTGTGATGTTTGTATTCAGGACACAGAGTTGAACATTCCCTATCATAGAGCAGGTTTGAATCACTCCTTTTCTAGTATCTGGAAGTGGACATTTGGAGCGCTTTCAGGCCTATGTTGGAAAAGGAAATATCTTCCCATAACAAATAGACAGAAGCATTCTCAGAAACTTATTTGAGATGTGTGTACTCAACTAAGAGAATTGAACCACCGTTTTGAAGGAGCAGTTTTGAAACACTCTTTTTCTGGAATCTGCAAGTGGATATTTGGCTAGCTTTGGGGATTTCGCTGGAAGCGGGAATACATATAAAAAGCACACAGCAGCGTTCTGAGAAACTGCTTTCTGATGTTTGCATTCAAGTCAAAAGTTGAACACTCCCTTTCATAGGGCAGTCCTGAAACACCCCTTTTGTAGTATCTGGAACTGGACTTTTGGAGCGATTTCAGGGCTAAGGTGAAAAAGGAAATATCTTCCCATAAAAACTGGACAGAAGCATTCTCAGAAACTTGTTTATGCTGTATCTACTCAACTAACAAAGTTGAACCTTTCTTTTGATAGAGCAGTTTTGAAATGGTCTTTTTGTGGAATCTGCAAGTGGATATTTGGCTAGTTTTGAGGATTTCGTTGGAAGCGGGAATTCATACAAATTGCAGACTGCAGCGTTCTGAGAAACATCTTTGTGATGTTTGTATTCAGGACACAGAGTTGAACATTCCCTATCATAGAGCAGGTTGGAATCACTCCTTTTGTAGTATCTGGAAGTGGACATTTGGAGCGCTTTCAGGCCTATTTTGGAAAGGGAAATATCTTCCCGTAACAACTATGCAGAAGCATTCTCAGAAACTTGTTTGTGATGTGTGCCCTCTACTGACAGAGTTGAACCTTTCTTTTCATAGAGCAGTTTTGAAACACTCTTTTTGTAGAATCTGCAAGAGGATATTTGCATAGCTTTGAGGATTTCGTGGGAAACGGGATTGTCTTCAGGTAAAATCTAGACAGAAGCATTCTCAGAAACTTCTTTGGGATGTTTGCATTCAAGTCACAGAGTAGAACATTCCCTTTGGTAGAGCAGGTTTGAAACACTCTTTTTGTAGTATCTGGAAGTGGACATTTGGAGCGCTTTCAGGCCCATGTTGGAAAGGGAAATATCTTCCCGTAACAACTAGGCAGAAGCATTCTCAGAAACTTATTTGAGATGTGTGTACTCAACTAAGAGAATTGAACCACCGTTTTGAAGGAGCAGTTTTGAAACACTCTTTTTCTGGAATCTGCAAGAGGATATTTGCCTAGCCTTGAGGATTTCGTTGGAAACGGGATTGTCTTCAGAGAAAATCTAGACAGAAACATTCTCAGAAACTTCTTTGGGATGCTTGCATTCCAGTCACAGAGTAGAACATTCCCTTTGGTAGAGCAGGTTTGAAACACTCTTTTTGTAGTATCTGGAAGTGGACATTTGGAGCGCTTTCAGGCCTACGTTGGAAAAGGAAATATCTTCCCATAACAACTAGACAGAAGCATTCTCAGAAACTAGTTTCTGATGTGTGTCCTCAACTAACACAGTTGAACATTTCTTTAGACAGAACAGTTTTGAAACACTCTTTTTGTGGAATCTGCAAGTGGCTATTTGGCTAGATTTGAGGATTTCGTTGGAAACGGGATTACATATAAAAAGCAGTCAGCAGCATTCTCAGAAAGTTCTTTGTGATGATTGCATTCAAGTCACAGAATTGAACATTCCCTTTCACAGAGCAGGTTTGAAACACTCTTTTTGTAGTGTGTGTAAGTGGACATTTGGAGCACTTACCGGCCTAAGGTGAAAAAGGAAATATCTTCCCATAAAAACTAGACAGAAGCATTCTCAGAAACTTACTCGTGATGTGTGTCCTCAACTAAAGGAGTAGAACCTTTCTTTTCATAGAGAAGTTTTGAAACGCTCTTTTTGTGGAATCTGCAAGTGGATATTTGGCTAGTTTTGAGGATTTCGTTGGAAGCGGGAATTCATACAAATTGCAGACTGCAGCGTTCTGAGAAACATCTTTGTGATGTTTGTATTCAGGACACAGAGTTGAACATTCCCTATCATAGAGCAGGTTGGAATCACTCCTTTTGTAGTATCTGGAAGTGGACATTTGGAGCGCTTTCAGGCCTATTTTGGAAAGGGAAATATCTTCCCGTAACAACTATGCAGAAGCATTCTCAGAAACTTGTTTGTGATGTGTGCCCTCTACTGACAGAGTTGAACCTTTCTTTTCATAGAGCAGTTTTGAAACACTCTTTTTGTAGAATCTGCAAGAGGATATTTGCATAGCTTTGAGGATTTCGTGGGAAACGGGATTGTCTTCAGGTAAAATCTAGACAGAAGCATTCTCAGAAACTTCTTTGGGATGTTTGCATTCAAGTCACAGAGTAGAACATTCCCTTTGGTAGAGCAGGTTTGAAACACTCTTTTTGTAGTATCTGGAAGTGGACATTTGGAGCGCTTTCAGGCCCATGTTGGAAAGGGAAATATCTTCCCGTAACAACTAGGCAGAAGCATTCTCAGAAACTTATTTGAGATGTGTGTACTCAACTAAGAGAATTGAACCACCGTTTTGAAGGAGCAGTTTTGAAACACTCTTTTTCTGGAATCTGCAAGAGTATATTTGCCTAGCCTTGAGGATTTCGTTGGAAACGGGATTGTCTTCAGAGAAAATCTAGACAGAAGCATTCTCAGAAACTTCTTTGGGATGTTTGCATTCAAGTCACAGAGTAGAACATTCCCTTTGGTAGAGCAGGTTTGAAACACTCTTTTTTTAGTATATGGAAGTGGACATTTGGATCGCTTTCAGGCCTACGTTGGAAAAGGAAATATCTTCCCATAACAACTAGACAGAAGCATTCTCAGAAACTAGTTTCTGATGTGTGTCCTCAACTAACACAGTTGAACATTTCTTTAGACAGAACAGTTTTGAAACACTCTTTTTGTGGAATCTGCAAGTGGCTATTTGGCTAGATTTGAGGATTTCGTTGGAAACGGGATTACATATAAAAAGCAGTCAGCAGCATTCTCAGAAAGTTCTTTGTGATGATTGCATTCAAGTCACAGAATTGAACATTCCCTTTCACAGAGCAGGTTTGAAACACTCTTTTTGTAGTGTGTGTAAGTGGACCTTTGGAGCACTTACCGGCCTAAGGTGAAAAAGGAAATATCTTCCCATAAAAACTAGACAGAAGCATTCTCAGAAACTTACTCGTGATGTGTGTCCTCAACTAAAGGAGTAGAACCTTTCTTTTCATAGAGAAGTTTTGAGACGCTCTTTTTGTGGAATCTGCAAGTGGATATTTGGCTAGTTTTGAGGATTTCGTTGGAAGCGGGAATTCATACAAATTGCAGACTGCAGCGTTCTGAGAAACATCTTTGTGATGTTTGTATTCAGGACACAGAGTTGAACATTCCCTATCATAGAGCAGGTTGGAATCACTCCTTTTGTAGTATCTGGAAGTGGACATTTGGAGCGCTTTCAGGCCTATGTTGGAAAAGGAAATATCTTCCCATAACAACTAGACAGAAGCATTCTCAGAAACTTATTTGAGATGTGTGTACTCAACTAAGAGAATTGAACCACCGTTTTGAAGGAGCAGTTTTGAAACTCTCTTTTTCTGGAATCTGCAAGTGGATATTTGGCTAGCTTTGGGGATTTCGCTGGAAGCGGGAATACATATAAAAAGCACACAGCAGCGTTCTGAGAAACTGCTTTCTGATGTTTGCATTCAAGTCAAAAGTTGAACACTCCCTTTCATAGAGCAGTCTTGAAACACCCGTTTTGTAGTATCTGGAACTGGACTTTTGGAGCGATTTCAGGGCTAAGGTGAAAAAGGAAATATCTTCCCATAAAAACTGGACAGAAGCATTCTCAGAAACTTGTTTATGCTGTATCTACTCAACTAACAAAGTTGAACCTTTCTTTTGATAGAGCAGTTTTGAAATGGTCTTTTTGTGGAATCTGCAAGTGGATATTTGGCTAGTTTTGAGGATTTCGTTGGAAGCGGGAATTCATACAAATTGCAGACTGCAGCGTTCTGAGAAACATCTTTGTGATGTTTGTATTCAGGACACAGAGTTGAACATTCCCTATCATAGAGCAGGTTGGAATCACTCCTTTTGTAGTATCTGGAAGTGGACATTTGGAGCGCTTTCAGGCCTATTTTGGAAAGGGAAATATCTTCCCGTAACAACTATGCAGAAGCATTCTCAGAAACTTGTTTGTGATGTGTGCCCTCTACTGACAGAGTTGAACCTTTCTTTTCATAGAGCAGTTTTGAAACACTCTTTTTGTAGAATCTGCAAGAGGATATTTGCATAGCTTTGAGGATTTCGTGGGAAACGGGATTGTCTTCAGGTAAAATCTAGACAGAAGCATTCTCAGAAACTTCTTTGGGATGTTTGCATTCAAGTCACAGAGTAGAACATTCCCTTTGGTAGAGCAGGTTTGAAACACTCTTTTTGTAGTATCTGGAAGTGGACATTTGGAGCGCTTTCAGGCCCATGTTGGAAAGGGAAATATCTTCCCGTAACAACTAGGCAGAAGCATTCTCAGAAACTTATTTGAGATGTGTGTACTCAACTAAGAGAATTGAACCACCGTTTTGAAGGAGCAGTTTTGAAACACTCTTTTTCTGGAATCTGCAAGAGTATATTTGCCTAGCCTTGAGGATTTCGTTGGAAACGGGATTGTCTTCAGAGAAAATCTAGACAGAAGCATTCTCAGAAACTTCTTTGGGATGTTTGCATTCAAGTCACAGAGTAGAACATTCCCTTTGGTAGAGCAGGTTTGAAACACTCTTTTTTTAGTATATGGAAGTGGACATTTGGATCGCTTTCAGGCCTACGTTGGAAAAGGAAATATCTTCCCATAACAACTAGACAGAAGCATTCTCAGAAACTAGTTTCTGATGTGTGTCCTCAACTAACACAGTTGAACATTTCTTTAGACAGAACAGTTTTGAAACACTCTTTTTGTGGAATCTGCAAGTGGCTATTTGGCTAGATTTGAGGATTTCGTTGGAAACGGGATTACATATAAAAAGCAGTCAGCAGCATTCTCAGAAAGTTCTTTGTGATGATTGCATTCAAGTCACAGAATTGAACATTCCCTTTCACAGAGCAGGTTTGAAACACTCTTTTTGTAGTGTGTGTAAGTGGACATTTGGAGCACTTACCGGCCTAAGGTGAAAAAGGAAATATCTTCCCATAAAAACTAGACAGAAGCATTCTCAGAAACTTACTCGTGATGTGTGTCCTCAACTAAAGGAGTAGAACCTTTCTTTTCATAGAGAAGTTTTGAAACGCTCTTTTTGTGGAATCTGCAAGTGGATATTTGGCTAGTTTTGAGGATTTCGTTGGAAGCGGGAATTCATACAAATTGCAGACTGCAGCGTTCTGAGAAACATCTTTGTGATGTTTGTATTCAGGACACAGAGTTGAACATTCCCTATCATAGAGCAGGTTGGAATCACTCCTTTTGTAGTATCTGGAAGTGGACATTTGGAGCGCTTTCAGGCCTATGTTGGAAAAGGAAATATCTTCCCATAACAACTAGACAGAAGCATTCTCAGAAACTTATTTGAGATGTGTGTACTCAACTAAGAGAATTGAACCACCGTTTTGAAGGAGCAGTTTTGAAACACTCTTTTTCTGGAATCTGCAAGTGGATATTTGGCTAGCTTTGGGGATTTCGCTGGAAGCGGGAATACATATAAAAAGCACACAGCAGCGTTCTGAGAAACTGCTTTCTGATGTTTGCATTCAAGTCAAAAGTTGAACACTCCCTTTCATAGAGCAGTCCTGAAACACTCCTTTTGTAGTATCTGGAACTGGACTTTTGGAGCGCTTTCAGGGCTAAGGTGAAAAAGGAAATATCTTCCCATAAAAACTGGACAGAAGCATTCTCAGAAACTTGTTTATGCTGTATCTACTCTACTAACAAAGTTGAACCTTTCTTTTGATAGAGCAGTTTTGAAATGCTCTTTTTGTGGAATCTGCAAGTGGATATTTGGCTAGATTTGAGGATTTCGTTGGAAGCTGGAATTCATACAAATTGCAGACTGCAGCGTTCTGAGAAACATCTTTGTGATGTTTTTATTCAGGACACAGAGTTGAACATTCCCTGTCCTAGAGCAGGTTGGAATCACTCCTTTTGTAGTATCTGGAAGTGGACATTTGGAGCGCTTTCAGGCCTATTTTGGAAAGGGAAATATCTTCCCATAACAACTATGCAGAAGCATTCTCAGAAACTTGTTTGTGATGTGTGCCCTCTACTGACAGAGTTGAACCTTTCTTTTCATAGAGCAGTTTTGAAACACTCTTTTTGTAGAATCTGCAAGAGGATATTTGCATAGCTTTGAGGATTTCGTGGGAAACGGGATTGTCTTCAGGTAAAATCTAGACAGAAGCATTCTCAGAAACTTCTTTGGGATGTTTGCATTCAAGTCACAGAGTAGAACATTCCCTTTGGTAGAGCAGGTTTGAAACACTCTTTTTGTAGTATCTGGAAGTGGACATATGGAGCGCTTTCAGGCTCATGTTGGAAAGGGAAATATCTTCCCTTAACAACTAGGCAGAAGCATTCTCAGAAACTTATTTGAGATGTGTGTACTCAACTAAGAGAATTGAACCACCGTTTTGAAGGAGCAGTTTTGAAACACTCTTTTTCTGGATTCTGCAAGAATATATTTGCCTAGCCTTGAGGATTTCGTTGGAAACTGGATTGTCTTCAGATAAAATCTAGACAGAAGCATTCTCAGAAACTTCTTTGGGATGTTTGCATTCAAGTCACAGAGTAGAACATTCTCTTTGGTAGAGCAGGTTTGAAACACTCTTTTTTTAGTATATGGAAGTGGACATTTGGAGCGCTTTCAGGCCTACTTTGGAAAAGGAAATATCTTCCCATAAGAACTAGACAGAAGCATTCTCAGAAACTAGTTTCTGATGTGTGTCCTCAACTAACACAGTTGAACTTTTCTTTAGACAGAACAGTTTTGAAACACTCTTTTTGTGGAATCTGCAAGTGGATATTTGGCTAGATTTGAGGATTTCGTTGGAAACGGGATTACATATAAAAAGCAGACAGCAGCATTCTCAGAAACTTCTTTGTGATGATTGCATTCAAGTCACAGAATTGAACATTCCCTTTCACAGAGCAGGTTTGAAACACTCTTTTTGTAGTGTGTGTAAGTGGACATTTGGAGCACTTTCCGGCCTAAGGTGAAAAAGGAAATATCTTCCCATAAAAACTAGACAGAAGCATTCTCAGAAACTTACTCGTGATGTGTGTCCTCAACTAAAGGAGTAGAACCTTTCTATTCATAGAGAAGGTTTGAAACGCTCTTTTTGTGGAATCTCCAAGTGGATATTTGGCTAGTTTTGAGGATTTCGTTGGATGCGGGAATTCATACAAATTGCAGACTGCAGCGTTCTGAGAAACATCTTTGTGATGTTTGTATTCAGGACACAGAGATGAACATTCCCTATCATACAGCAGGTTGAAATCACTCCTTTTGTAGTATCTGGAAGTGGACATTTGGAGCGCTTTCAGGCCTATGTTGAAAAAGGAAATATCTTCCCATAACAACTAGACACAAGCATTCTCAGAAACTTATTTGAGATGTGTGTACTCAACTAAGAGAATTGAACCACCGTTTTGAAGGAGCAGTTTTGAAACACTCTTTTTCTGGAATCTGCAAGTGGATATTTGGCTAGCTTTGGGGATTTCGCTGGAAGCGGGAATACATATAAAAAGCACACAGCAGCGTTCTGAGAAACTGCTTTCTGATGTTTGCATTCAAGTCAAAAGTTGAACACTCCCTTTCATAGAGCAGTCCTGAAACACTCCTTTTGTAGTATCTGGAACTGGACTTTTGGAGCGCTTTCAGGGCTAAGGTGAAAAAGGAAATATCTTCCCATAAAAACTGGACAGAAGCATTCTCAGAAACTTGTTTATGCTGTATCTACTCAACTAACAAAGTTGAACCTTTCTTTTGATAGAGCAGTTTTGAAATGCTCTTTTTGTGGAATCTGCAAGTGGATATTTGGCTAGTTTTGAGGATTTCGTTGGAAGCGGGAATTCATACAAATTGCAGACTGCAGCGTTCTGAGAAACATCTTTGTGATGTTTGTATTCAGGACAGAGAGTTGAACATTCCCTATCATAGAGCAGGTTGGAATCACTCCTTTTGTAGTATCTGGAAGTGGACATTTGGAGCGCTTTCAGGCCTATGTTGAAAAAGGAAATATCTTCCCATAACAACTAGACACAAGCATTCTCAGAAACTTGTTTGTGATGTGTGCCCTCTACTGACAGAGTTGAACCTTTCTTTTCATAGAGCAGTTTTGAAACACTCTTTTTGTAGAATCTGCAAGAGGATATTTGCATAGCTTTGAGGATTTCGTGGGAAACGGGATTGTCTTCAGGTAAAATCTAGACAGAAGCATTCTCAGAAACTTCTTTGGGATGTTTGCATTCAAGTCACAGAGTAGAACATTCCCTTTGGTAGAGCAGGTTTGAAACACTCTTTTTGTAGTATCTGGAAGTGGACATTTGGAGCGCTTTCAGGCCTATGTTGGAAAGGGAAATATCTTCCCGTAACAACTAGGCAGAAGCATTCTCAGAAACTTATTTGAGATGTGTGTACTCAACTAAGAGAATTGAACCACCGTTTTGAAGGAGCAGTTTTGAAACACTCTTTTTCTGGAATCTGCTAGAGTATATTTGCCTAGCTTTGAGGATTTCGTTGGAAACGGGATTGTCTTCAGCTAAAATCTAGACAGAAGCATTCTCAGAAACTTCTTTGGGATGTTTGCATTCAAGTCACAGAGTAGAACATTCCCTTTGGTAGAGCAGGTTTGAAACACTCTTTTTGTAGTATCTGGAAGTGGACATTTGGAGCGCTTTCAGGCCTATGTTGGAAAGGGAAATATCTTCCCGTAACAACTAGGCAGAAGCATTCTCAGAAACTTATTTGAGATGTGTGTACTCAACTAAGAGAATTGAACCACCGTTTTGAAGGAGCAGTTTTGAAACACTCTTTTTCTGGAATCTGCAAGAGGATATTTGCCTAGCCTTGAGGATTTCGTTGGAAACGGGATTTTCTTCAGATCAAATCTAGACGGAAGCATTCTCAGAAACTTCTTTGGGATGTTTGCATTCAAGTCACAGAGTAGAACATTCCCTTTGGTAGAGCAGGTTTGAAACACTCTTTTTTTAGTATATGGAAGTGGACATTTGGAGCGCTTTCAGGCCTACGTTGGAAAAGGAAATATCTTCCCATAACAACTAGACAGAAGCATTCTCAGAAACTAGTTCCTGATGTGTGTCCTCAACTAACACAGTTGAACATTTCTTTAGACAGAACAGTTTTGAAACTCTCTTTTTCTGGAATCTGCAAGTGGCTATTTGGCTAGATTTGAGGATTTCGTTGGAAACGGGATTACATATAAAAAGCAGACAGCGGCATTCTCAGAAAGTTCTTTGTGATGATTGCATTCAAGTCACAGAATTGAACATTCCCTTTCACAGAGCAGGTTTGAAACACTCTTTTTGTAGTGTGTGTAAGCAGACATTTGCAGCGCTTTCCGGCCTAAGGTGAAAAAGGAAATATCTTCCCATAAAAACTAGACAGAAGCATTCTCAGAAACTTACTCGTGATGTGTGTACTCAACTAAAGGAGTAGAAACTTTCTTTTCATAGAGAAGTTTTGAAACGCTCTTTTTGTGGAATCTGCAAGTGGATATTTGGCTAGTTTTGAGGATTTCGTTGGAAGCGGGAATTCATACAAATTGCAGACTGCAGCGTTCTGAGAAACATCTTTGTGATGTTTGTATTCAGGACACAGAGTTGAACATTCCCTATCATAGAGCAGGTTTGAATCACTCCTTTTGTAGTATCTGGAAGTGGACATTTGGAGCGCTTTCAGGCCTATGTTGGAAAAGGAAATATCTTCCCATAACAACTAGACAGAAGCATTCTCAGAAACTTATTTGAGATGTGTGTACTCAACTAAGAGAATTGAACCACCGTTTTGAAGAAGCAGTTTTGAAACACTCTTTTTCTGGAATCTGCAAGTGGATATTTGGCTAGCTTTGGGGATTTCGCTGGAAGCGGGAATACATATAAAAAGCACACAGCAGAATTCTCAGAAAGTTCTTTCTGATGTTCGCATTCAAGTCAAAAGTTGAACACTCCCTTTCATACAGCAGTCTTGAAACTCCCCTTTTGTGGTATCTGGAAGTGGACATTTGGAGTGCTTTCAGGGCTAAGGTGAAAAAGGAAATATCTTCCCATAAAAACTGGACAGATAAGCATTCTCAGAAACTTATTTGAGATGTGTGTACTCAACTAAGAGAATTGAACCACCGTTTTGAAGGAGCAGTTTTGAAACACTCTTTTTCTGGAATCTGCAAGTGGATATTTGGCTAGCTTTGGGTATTTCGCTGGAAGCGGGAATACATATAAAAAGCACACAGCAGCGTTCTGAGAAACTGCTTTCTGATGTTTGCATTCAAGTCAAAAGTTGAACACTCCCTTTCATAGAGCAGTCTTGAAACACCCCTTTTGTAGTATCTGGAACTGGACTTTTGGAGCGATTTCAGGGCTAAGGTGAAAAAGGAAATATCTTCCCATAAAAACTGGACAGAAGCATTCTCAGAAACTTGTTTATGCTGTATCTACTCAACTAACAAAGTTGAACCTTTCTTTTGATAGAGCAGTTTTGAAATGCTCTTTTTGTGGAATCTGCAAGTGGATATTTGGCTAGTTTTGAGGATTTCGCTGGAAGCGGGAATTCATACAAATTGCAGACTGCAGCGTTCTGAGAAACATCTTTGTGATGTTTGTATTCAGGACACAGAGTTGAACATTCCCTATCATAGAGCAGGTTTGAATCACTCCTTTTGTAGTAACTGGAAGTGGACATTTGGAGCGCTTTCAGGCCTATGTTGGAAAAGGAAATATCTTCCCATAACAACTAGACAGAAGCATTCTCAGAAACTTGTTTGTGATGTGTGCCCTCTACTGACAGAGTTGAACCTTTCTTTTCATAGAGCAGTTTTGAAACACTCTTTTTGTAGAATCCGCAAGAGGATATTTGCATAGCTTTGAGGATTTCGTGGGAAACGGGATTGTCTTCAGGTAAAATCTAGACAGAAGCATTCTCAGAAACTTCTTTGGGATGTTTGCATTCAAGTCACAGAGTAGAACATTCCCTTTGGTAGAGCAGGTTTGAAACACTCTTTTTGTAGTATCTGGAAGTGGACATTTGGAGCGCTTTCAGGCCCATGTTGGAAAGGGAAATATCTTCCCGTAACAACTAGGCAGAAGCATTCTCAGAAAATTATTTGAGATGTGTGTACTCAACTAAGAGAATTGAACCACCGTTTTGAAGGAGCAGTTTTGAAACCCTCTTTTTCTGGAATCTGCAAGAGTATATTTGCCTAGCCTTGAGGATTTCGTTGGAAACGGGATTGTCTTCAGATAAAATCTAGACAGAAGCATTCTCAGAAACTTCTTTGGGATGTTTGCATTCAAGTCACAGAGTAGAACATTCCCTTTGGTAGAGCAGGTTTGAAACACTCTTTTTTTAGTATATGGAAGTGGACATTTGGAGCGCTTTCAGGCCTACGTTGGAAAAGGAAATATCTTCCCATAACAACTAGACAGAAGGATTCTCAGAAACTAGTTTCTGATGTGTGTCCTCAACTAACACAGTTGTACATTTCTTTATACAGAACAGTTTTGAAACACTCTTTTTGTGGAATCTGCAAGTGGATATTGGGCTAGATTTGAGGATTTCGTTGGAAACGGGATTACATATAAAAAGCAGACAGCAGCATTCTCAGAAAGTTCTTTGTGATGATTGCATTCAAGTCACAAAATTGAACATTCCCTTTCACAGAGCAGGTTTGAAACACTCTTTTTGTAGTGTGTGTAATTGGACATTTGGAGCGCTTTCCGGCCTAAGGTGAAAAAGGAAATATCTTCCCATAAAAACTAGACAGAAGCATTCTCAGAAACTTACTCGTGATGTGTGTCCTCAACTAAAGGAGTAGAACCTTTCTATTCATAGAGAAGTTTTGAAACGCTCTTTTTGTGGAATCTCCAAGTGGATATTTGGCTAGTTTTGAGGATTTCGTTGGAAGCGGGAATTCATCCAAATTGCAGACTGCAGCGTTCTGAGAAACATCTTTGTGATGTTTGTATTCAGGACACAGAGATGAACATTCCCTATCATAGAGCAGGTTGGAATCACTCCTTTTGTAGTATCTGGAAGTGGACATTTGGAGCGCTTTCAGGCCTATGTTGAAAAAGGAAATATCTTCCCATAACAACTAGACACAAGCATTCCCAGAAACTTATTGGAGATGTGTGTACTCAACTATGAGAATTGAACCACCGTTTTGAAGGAGCAGTTTGGAAACACTCTTTTTCTGGAATCTGCAAGTGGATATTTGGCTAGCTTTGGGGATTTCGCTGTAAGCGGGAATACATATAAAAAGCACACAGCAGCGTTCTGAGAAACTGCTTTCTGATGTTTGCATTCAAGTCAAAAGTTGAACACTCCCTTTCATAGAGCAGTCTTGAAACACCCCTTTTGTAGTATCTGGAACTGGACATTTGGAGCGCCTTCAGGGCTAAGGTGAAAAAGGAAATATCTTCCCATAAAAACTGGACAGAAGCATTCTCAGAAACTTGTTTATGCTGTATCTACTCAACTAACAAAGTTGAACCTTTCTTTTGATAGAGCAGTTTTGAAATGCTCTTTTTGTGGAATCTGCAAGTGGATATTTGGCTAGTTTTGAGGATTTCGTTGGAAGCGGGAATTCATACAAATTGCAGACTGCAGCGTTCTGAGAAACATCTTTGTGATGTTTGTATTCAGGACACAGAGTTGAACATTCCCTATCATAGAGCAGGTTGGAATCACTCCTTTTGTAGTATCTGGAAGTGGACATTTGGAGCGCTTTCAGGCCTATTTTGGAAAGGGAAATATCTTCCCGTAACAACTATGCAGAAGCATTCTCAGAAACTTATTTGAGATGTGTGTACTCAACTAAGAGAATTGAACCACCGTTTTGAAGGAGCAGTTTTGAAACACTCTTTTTCTGGAATCTGCAAGAGTATATTTGCCTAGCCTTGAGGATTTCGTTGGAAACGGGATTGTCTTCAGAGAAAATCTAGACAGAAGCATTCTCAGAAACTTCTTTGGGATGTTTGCATTCAAGTCACAGAGTAGAACATTCCCTTTGGTAGAGCAGGTTTGAAACACTCTTTTTTTAGTATATGGAAGTGGACATTTGGAGCGCTTTCAGGCCTACGTTGGAAAAGGAAATATCTTCCCATAACAACTAGACAGAAGCATTCTTCAGAAACTAGTTTCTGATGTGTGTCCTCAACTAACACAGTTGTACATTTCTTTACACAGAACAGTTTTGAAACACTCTTTTTGTGGAATCTGCAAGTGGATATTGGGCTAGATTTGAGGATTTCGTTGGAAACGGGATTACATATAAAAAGCAGTCAGCCAGCATTCTCAGAAAGTTCTTTGTGATGATTGCATTCAAGTCACAGTAATTGAACATTCCCTTTCACAGTAGCAGGTTTGAAACACTCTTTTTGTAGTGTGTGTAAGTGGACATTTGGAGCACTTTCCGGCCTAAGGTGAAAAAGGAAATATCTTCCCATAAAAACTAGACAGAGCATTCTCAGAAACTTACTCGTGATGTGTGTCCTCAACTAAAGGAGTAGAACCTTTCTTTTCATAGAGAAGTTTTGAAACGCTCTTTTTGTGGAATCTGCAAGTGGATATTTGGCTAGTTTGGAGGATTTCGTTGGAAGCGGGAATTCATACAAATTGCAGACTGCAGCGTTCTGAGAAACATCTTTGTGATGTTTGTATTCAGGACACAGAGTTGAACATTCCCTATCATAGAGCAGGTTTGAATCACTCCTTTCGTAGTATCTGGAAGTGGACATTTGGAGTGCTTTCAGGCCTATGTTGGAAAAGGAAATATCTTCCCATAACAACTAGACAGAAGCATTCTCAGAAACTTATTTGAGATGTGTGTACTCAACTAAGAGAATTGAACCACCCTTTTGAAGGAGCAGTTTTGAAACACTCTTTTTCTGGAATCTGCAAGTGGATATTTGGCTAGCTTTGGGGATTTCGCTGGAAGCGGGAATACATATAAAAAGCACACAGCAGCGTTCTGAGAAACTGCTTTCTGATGTTTGCATTCAAGTCAAAAGTTGAACACTCCCTTTCATAGAGCAGTCTTGAAACACCCCTTTTGTAGTATCTGGAACTGGACTTTTGGAGCGATTTCAGGGCTAAGGTGAAAAAGGAAATATCTTCCCATAAAAACTGGACAGAAGCATTCTCAGAAACTTGTTTATGCTGTATCTACTCAACTAACAAAGTTGAACCTTTCTTTTGATAGAGCAGTTTTGAAATGGTCTTTTTGTGGAATCTGCAAGTGGATATTTGGCTAGTTTTGAGGATTTCGTTGGAAGCGGGAATTCATACAAATTGCAGACTGCAGCGTTCTGAGAAACATCTTTGTGATGTTTGTATTCAGGACACAGAGTTGAACATTCCCTATCATAGAGCAGGTTGGAATCACTCCTTTTGTAGTATCTGGAAGTGGACATTTGGAGCGCTTTCAGGCCTATTTTGGAAAGGGAAATATCTTCCCGTAACAACTATGCAGAAGCATTCTCAGAAACTTGTTTGTGATGTGTGCCCTCTACTGACAGAGTTGAACCTTTCTTTTCATAGAGCAGTTTTGAAACACTCTTTTTGTAGAATCTGCAAGAGGATATTTGCATAGCTTTGAGGATTTCGTGGGAAACGGGATTGTCTTCAGGTAAAATCTAGACAGAAGCATTCTCAGAAACTTCTTTGGGATGTTTGCATTCAAGTCACAGAGTAGAACATTCCCTTTGGTAGAGCAGGTTTGAAACACTCTTTTTGTAGTATCTGGAAGTGGACATTTGGAGCGCTTTCAGGCCCATGTTGGAAAAGGAAATATCTTCCCGTAACAACTAGGCAGAAGCATTCTCAGAAACTTATTTGAGATGTGTGTACTCAACTAAGAGAATTGAACCACCGTTTTGAAGGAGCAGTTTTGAAACACTCTTTTTCTGGAATCTGCAAGAGTATATTTGCCTAGCCTTGAGGATTTCGTTGGAAACGGGATTGTCTTCAGAGAAAATCTAGACAGAAGCATTCTCAGAAACTTCTTTGGGATGTTTGCATTCAAGTCACAGAGTAGAACATTCCCTTTGGTAGAGCAGGTTTGAAACACTCTTTTTTTAGTATATGGAAGTGGACATTTGGAGCGCTTTCAGGCCTACGTTGGAAAAGGAAATATCTTCCCATAACAACTAGACAGAAGCATTCTCAGAAACTAGTTTCTGATGTGTGTCCTCAACTAACACAGTTGTACATTTCTTTACACAGAACAGTTTTGAAACACTCTTTTTGTGGAATCTGCAAGTGGATATTGGGCTAGATTTGAGGATTTCGTTGGAAACGGGATTACATATAAAAAGCAGTCAGCAAGCATTCTCAGAAAGTTCTTTGTGATGATTGCATTCAAGTCACAGAATTGAACATTCCCTTTCACAGAGCAGGTTTGAAACACTCTTTTTGTAGTGTGTGTAAGTGGACATTTGGAGCGCTTTCCGGCCTAAGGTGAAAAAGGACATATCTTCCCATAAAAACTAGACAGAAGCATTCTCAGAAACTTACTCGTGATGTGTGTCCTCAACTAAAGGAGTAGAACCTTTCTTTTCATAGAGAAGTTTTGAAACGCTCTTTTTGTGGAATCTGCAAGTGGATATTTGGCTAGTTTGGAGGATTTCGTTGGAAGCGGGAATTCATACAAATTGCAGACTGCAGCGTTCTGAGAAACATCTTTGTGATGTTTGTATTCAGGACACAGAGTTGAACATTCCCTATCATAGAGCAGGTTGGAATCACTCCTTTTGTAGTATCTGGAAGTGGACATTTGGAGCGCTTTCAGGCCTATGTTGGAAAAGGAAATATCTTCCCATAACAACTAGACAGAAGCATTCTCAGAAACTTATTTGAGATGTGTGTACTCAACTAAGAGAATTGAACCACCGTTTTGAAGGAGCAGTTTTGAAACACTCTTTTTCTGGAATCTGCAAGTGGATATTTGGCTAGCTTTGGGGATTTCGCTGGAAGCGGGAATACATATAAAAAGCACACAGCAGCGTTCTGAGAAACTGCTTTCTGATGTTTGCATTCAAGTCAAAAGTTGAACACTCCCTTTCATAGAGCAGTCCTGAAACACTCCTTTTGTAGTGTCTGGAACTGGACTTTTGGAGCGCTTTCAGGGCTAAGGTGAAAAAGGAAATATCTTCCCATAAAAACTGGACAGAAGCATTCTCAGAAACTTGTTTATGCTGTATCTACTCAACTAACAAAGTTGAACCTTTCTTTTGATAGAGCAGTTTTGAAATGCTCTTTTTGTGGAATCTGCAAGTGGATATTTGGCTAGTTTTGAGGATTTCGTTGGAAGCGGGAATTCATACAAATTGCAGACTGCAGCGTTCTGAGAAACATCTTTGTGATGTTTGTATTCAGGACACAGAGTTGAACATTCCCTATCATAGAGCAGGTTGGAATCACTCCTTTTGTAGTATCTGGAAGTGGACATTTGGAGCGCTTTCAGGCCTATGTTGGAAAAGGAAATATCTTCCCATAACAACTAGACAGAAGCATTCTCAGAAACTTATTTGAGATGTGTGTACTCAACTAAGAGAATTGAACCACCGTTTTGAAGGAGCAGTTTTGAAACACTCTTTTTCTGGAATCTGCAAGTGGATATTTGGCTAGCTTTGGGGATTTCGCTGGAAGCGGGAATACATATAAAAAGCACACAGCAGCGTTCTGAGAAACTGCTTTCTGATGTTTGCATTCAAGTCAAAAGTTGAACACTCCCTTTCATAGAGCAGTCCTGAAACACTCCTTTTGTAGTATCTGGAACTGGACTTTTGGAGCGCTTTCAGGGCTAAGGTGAAAAAGGAAATATCTTCCCATAAAAACTGGACAGAAGCATTCTCAGAAACTTACTCGTATTGTGTGTCCTCAACTAAAGGAGTAGAACCTTTCTTTTCATAGAGAAGTTTTGAAACGCTCTTTTTGTGGAATCTGCAAGTGGATATTTGGCTAGTTTTGAGGATTTCGTTGGAAGCGGGAATTCATACAAATTGCAGACTGCAGCGTTCTGAGAAACATCTTTGTGATGTTTGTATTCAGGACAGAGAGTTGAACATTCCCTATCATAGAGCAGGTTGGAATCACTCCTTTTGTAGTATCTGGAAGTGGACATTTGGAGCGCTTTCAGGCCTATGTTGAAAAAGGAAATATCTTCCCATAACAACTAGACACAAGCATTCTCAGAAACTTATTTGAGATGTGTGTACTCAACTAAGAGAATTGAACCACCGTTTTGAAGGAGCAGTTTTGAAACACTCTTTTTCTGGAATCTGCAAGTGGATATTTGGCTAGCTTTGGGGATTTCGCTGGAAGCGGGAATACATATAAAAAGCACACAGCAGCGTTCTGAGAAACTGCTTTCTGATGTTTGCATTCAAGTCAAAAGTTGAACACTCCCTTTCATAGTGCAGTCTGAAACACTCCTTTTGTAGTATCTGGAACTGGACTTTTGGAGCGCTTTCAGGGCTAAGGTGAAAAAGGAAATATCTTCCCATAAAAACTGGACAGAAGCATTCTCAGAAACTTGTTTATGCTGTATCTACTCAACTAACAAAGTTGAACCTTTCTTTTGATAGAGCAGTTTTGAAATGGTCTTTTTGTGGAATCTGCAAGTGGATATTTGGCTAGTTTTGAGGATTTCGTTGGAAGCGGGAATTCATACAAATTGCAGACTGCAGCGTTCTGAGAAACATCTTTGTGATGTTTGTATTCAGGACACAGAGTTGAACATTCCCTATCATAGAGCAGGTTGGAATCACTCCTTTTGTAGTATCTGGAAGTGGACATTTGGAGCGCTTTCAGGCCTATTTTGGAAAGGGAAATATCTTCCCATAACAACTATGCAGAAGCATTCTCAGAAACTTGTTTGTGATGTGTGCCCTCTACTGACAGAGTTGAACCTTTCTTTTCATAGGGCAGTTTTGAAACACTCTTTTTGTAGAATCTGCAAGAGGATATTTGCATAGCTTTGAGGATTTCGTGGGAAACGGGATTGTCTTCAGGTAAAATCTAGACAGAAGCATTCTCAGTAAACTTCTTTGGGATGTTTGCATTCAAGTCACAGAGTAGAACATTCCCTTTGGTAGAGCAGGTTTGAAACACTCTTTTTGTAGTATCTGGAAGTGGACATTTGGAGCGCTTTCAGGCCTATGTTGGAAAGGGAAATATCTTCCGGTAACAACTAGGCAGAAGCATTCTCAGAAACTTATTTGAGATGTGTGTACTCAACTAAGAGAATTGAACCACCGTTTTGAAGGAGCAGTTTTGAAACACTCTTTTTCTGGAATCTGCAAGAGGATATTTGCATAGATTTGAGGATTTCGTTGGAAACGGGATTGTCTTCAGATCCAATCTAGACAGAAGCATTCTCAGAAACTTCTTTGGGATGTTTGCATTCAAGTCACAGAGTAGAACATTCCCTTTGGTAGAGCAGGTTTGAAACACTCTTTTTTTAGTATATGGAAGTGGACATTTGGAGCGCTTTCAGGCCTACGTTGGAAAAGGAAATATCTTCCCATAACAACCAGACAGAAGCATTCTCAGAAACTAGTTTCTGATGTGTGTCCTCAACAAACACATTGAACATTTCTTTAGACAGAACAGTTTTGAAACACTCTTTTTGTGGAATCTGCAAGTGGCTATTTGGTTAGATTTGAGGATTTCGTTGGAAACGGGATTACATATAAAAAGCAGTCAGCAGCATTCTCAGAAAGTTCTTTGTGATGATTGCATTCAAGTCACAGAATTGAACATTCCCTTTCACAGAGCAGGTTTGAAACACTCTTTTTGTAGTGTGTGTAAGTGGACATTTGGAGCGCTTTCCGGCCTAAGGTGAAAAAGGAAATATCTTCCCATAAAAACTAGACAGAAGCATTCTCAGAAACTTACTCGTGATGTGTGTCCTCAACTAAAGGAGTAGAACCTTTCTATTCATAGAGAAGGTTTGAAACGCTCTTTTTGTGGAATCTCCAAGTGGATATTTGGCTAGTTTTGAGGATTTCGTTGGATGCGGGAATTCATACAAATTGCAGACTGCAGCGTTCTGAGAAACATCTTTGTGATGTTTGTATTCAGGACACAGAGATGAACATTCCCTATCATAGAGCAGGTTGGAATCACTCCTTTTGTAGTATCTGGAAGTGGACATTTGGAGCGCTTTCAGGCCTGTGTTGAAAAAGGAAATATCTTCCCATAACAACTAGACACAAGCATTCTCAGAAACTTGTTTGTGATGTGTGCCCTCTGCTGACAGAGTTGAACCTTTCTTTTCATAGAGCAGTTTTGAAACACTCTTTTTGTAGAATCTGCAAGAGGATATTTGCATAGCTTTGAGGATTTCGTGGGAAACGGGATTGTCTTCAGGTAAAATCTAGACAGAAGCATTCTCAGAAACTTCTTTGGGATGTTTGCATTCAAGTCACAGAGTAGAACATTCCCTTTGGTAGAGCATGTTTGAAACCCTCTTTTTGTAGTATCTGGAAGTGGACATTTGGAGCGCTTTCAGGCCCATGTTGGAAAGGGAAATATCTTCCCGTAACAACTAGGCAGAAGCATTCTCAGAAACTTATTTGAGATGTGTGTACTCAACTAAGAGAATTGAACCACCGTTTTGAAGGAGCAGTTTTGAAACACTCTTTTTCTGGAATCTGCAAGAGTATATTTGCCTAGCCTTGAAGATTTCGTTGGAAACGGGATTGTCTTCAGATAAAATCTAGACAGAAGCATTCTCAGAAACTTCTTTGGGATGTTTGCATTCAAGTCACAGAGTAGAACATTCCCTTTGGTAGAGCAGGTTTGAAACACTCTTTTTTTAGTATATGGAAGTGGACATTTGGAGCGCTTTCAGGCCTATGTTGGAAAAGGAAATATCTTCCCATAACAACTAGACAGAAGCATTCTCAGAAACTAGTTTCTGATGTGTGTCCTCAACTAACACAGTTGTACATTTCTTTATACAGAACAGTTTTGAAACACTCTTTTTGTGGAATATGCAAGTGGATATTGGGCTAGATTTGAGGATTTCGTTGGAAACGGGATTACATATAAAAAGCAGACAGCAGCATTCTCAGAAAGTTCTTTGTGATGATTGCATTCAAGTCACAGAATTGAACATTCCCTTTCACAGAGCAGGTTTGAAACACTCTTTTTGTAGTGTGTGTAAGTGGACATTTGGAGCGCTTTCCGGCCTAAGGTGAAAAAGGAAATATCTTCCCATAAAAACTAGACAGAAGCATTCTCAGAAACTTACTCGTGATGTGTTTCCTCAACTAAAGGAGTAGAACCTTTCTATTCATAGAGAAGTTTTGAAACTCTCCTTTTGTGGAATCTCCAAGTGGATATTTGGCTAGTTTTGAGGATTTCGTTGGAAGCGGGAATTCATCCAAATTGCAGACTGCAGCGTTCTGAGAAACATCTTTGTGATGTTTGTATTCAGGACACAGAGATGAACATTCCCTATCATAGAGCAGGTTGGAATCACTCCTTTTGTAGTATCTGGAAGTGGACATTTGGAGCGCTTTCAGGCCTATGTTGAAAAAGGAAATATCTTCCCATAACAACTAGACACAAGCATTCTCAGAAACTTATTTGAGATGTGTGTACTCAACTAAGAGAATTGAACCACCGTTTTGAAGGAGCAGTTTTGAAACACTCTTTTTCTGGAATCTGCAAGTGGATATTTGGCTAGCTTTGGGGATTTCGCTGGAAGCGGGAATACATATAAAAAGCACACAGCAGCGTTCTGAGAAACTGCTTTCTGATGTTTGCATTCAAGTCAAAAGTTGAACACTCCCTTTCATAGAGCAGTCCTGAAACACTCCTTTTGTAGTATCTGGAACTGGACTTTTGGAGCGCTTTCAGGGCTAAGGTGAAAAAGGAAATATCTTCCCATAAAAACTGGACAGAAGCATTCTCAGAAACTTGTTTATGCTGTATCTACTCAACTAACAAAGTTGAACCTTTCTTTTGATAGAGCAGTTTTGAAATGCTCTTTTTGTGGAATCTGCAAGTGGATATTTGGCTAGTTTTGAGGATTTTCGTTGGAAGCCGGAATTCATACAAATTGCAGACTGCAGCGTTCTGAGAAACATCTTTGTGATGTTTGTATTCAGGACAGAGAGTTGAACATTCCCTATCATAGAGCAGGTTGGAATCACTCCTTTTTTAGTATCTGGAAGTGGACATTTGGAGCGCTTTCAGGCCTATGTTGAAAAAGGAAATATCTTCCCATAACAACTAGACAGAAGCATTCTCAGAAACTTGTTTGTGATGTGTGCCCTCTACTGACACAGTTGAACCTTTCTTTTCATAGAGCAGTTTCGAAACACTCTTTTTGTAGAATCTGCAAGAGGATATTTGCATAGCTTTGAGGATTTCGTGGGAAACGGGATTGTCTTCAGGTAAAATCTAGACAGAAGCATTCTCAGAAACTACTTTGGGATGTTTGCATTCAAGTCACAGAGTAGAACATTCCCTTTGGTAGAGCAGGTTTGAAACACTCTTTTTGTAGTGTGTGTAAGTGGACATTTGGAGCGCTTTCAGGCCTACGTTGGAAAAGGAAATATCTTCCCATAACAACTAGACAGAAGCATTCTCAGAAACTAGTTTCTGATGTGTGTCCTCAACTAACACAGTTGAACATTTCTTTAGCAGAACAGTTTTGAAACACTCTTTTTGTGGAATCTGCAAGTGGATATTTGGCTAGATTTGAGGATTTCGTTGGAAACGGGATTACATATAAAAAGCAGACAGCAGCATTCTCAGAAACTTCTTTGTGATGATTGCATTCAAGTCACAGAATTGAACATTCCCTTTCACAGAGCAGGTTTGAAACACTCTTTTTGTAGTGTGTGTAAGTGGACATTTGGAGCGCTTTCCGGCCTAAAGTGAACAAGGAAATATCTTCCCATAAAAACTAGACAGAAGCATTCTCAGAAACTTACTCGTGATGTGTGTCCTCAACTAAAGAAGTAGAACCTTTCTTTTCATAGAGAAGTTTTGAAACGCTCTTTTTGTGGAATCTGCAAGTGGATATTTGGCTAGTTTGGAGGATTTCGTTGGAAGCGGGAATTCATACAAATTGCAGACTGCAGCGTTCTGAGAAACATCTTTGTGATGTTTGTATTCAGGACACAGAGTTGAACATTCCCTATCATAGAGCAGGTTGGAATCACTCCTTTTGTAGTATCTGGAAGTGGACATTTGGAGCGCTTTCAGGCCTATGTTGAAAAAGGAAATATCTTCCCATAACAACTAGACAGAAGCATTCTCAGAAACTTATTTGAGATGTGTGTACTCAACTAAGAGAATTGAACCACCGTTTTGAAGGAGCAGTTTTGAAACACTCTTTTTCTGGAATCTGCAAGTGGATATTTGGCTAGCTTTGGGGATTTCGCTGGAAGCGGGAATACATATAAAAAGCACACAGCAGCGTTCTGAGAAACTGCTTTCTGATGTTTGCATTCAAGTCAAAAGTTGAACACTCCCTTTCATAGAGCAGTCCTGAAACACCCCTTTTGTAGTATCTGGAACTGGACTTTTGGAGCGCTTTCAGGGCTAAGGTGAAAAAGGAAATATCTTCCCATAAAAACTGGACAGAAGCATTCTCAGAAACTTGTTTATGCTGTATCTACTCAACTAACAAAGTTGAACCTTTCTTTTGATAGAGCAGTTTTGAAATGGTCTTTTTGTGGAATCTGCAAGTGGATATTTGGCTAGTTTTGAGGATTTCGTTGGAAGCGGGAATTCATACAAATTGCAGACTGCAGCGTTCTGAGAAACATCTTTGTGATGTTTGTATTCAGGACACAGAGTTGAACATTCCCTATCATAGAGCAGGTTGGAATCACTCCTTTTGTAGTATCTGGAAGTGGACATTTGGAGCGCTTTCAGGCCTATTTTGGAAAGGGAAATATCTTCCCGTAACAACTATGCAGAAGCATTCTCAGAAACTTGTTTGTGATGTGTGCCCTCTACTGACAGAGTTGAACCTTTCTTTTCATAGAGCAGTTTTGAAACACTCTTTTTGTAGAATCTGCAAGAGGATATTTGCATAGCTTTGAGGATTTCGTGGGAAACGGGATTGTCTTCAGGTAAAATCTAGACAGAAGCATTCTCAGAAACTTCTTTGGGATGTTTGCATTCAAGTCACAGAGTAGAACATTCCCTTTGGTAGAGCAGGTTTGAAACACTCTTTTTGTAGTATCTGGAAGTGGACATTTGGAGCGCTTTCAGGCCCATGTTGGAAAGGGAAATATCTTCCCGTAACAACTAGGCAGAAGCATTCTCAGAAACTTATTTGAGATGTGTGTACTCAACTAAGAGAATTGAACCACCGTTTTGAAGGAGCAGTTTTGAAACACTCTTTTTCTGGAATCTGCAAGAGTATATTTGCCTAGCCTTGAGGATTTCGTTGGAAACGGGATTGTCTTCAGAGAAAATCTAGACAGAAGCATTCTCAGAAACTTCTTTGGGATGCTTGCATTCAAGTCACAGAGTAGAACATTCCCTTTGGTAGAGCAGGTTTGAAACACTCTTTTTGTAGTATCTGGAAGTGGACATTTGGAGCGCTTTCAGGCCTACGTTGGAAAAGGAAATATCTTCCCATAACAACTAGACAGAAGCATTCTCAGAAACTAGTTTCTGATGTGTGTCCTCAACTAACACAAGTTGAACATTTCTTTAGACAGAACAGTTTTGAAACACTCTTTTTGTGGAATCTGCAAGTGGCTATTTGGCTAGATTTGAGGATTTCGTTGGAAACGGGATTACATATAAAAAGCAGTCAGCAGCATTCTCAGAAAGTTCTTTGTGATGATTGCATTCAAGTCACAGAATTGAACATTCCCTTTCACAGAGCAGGTTTGAAACACTCTTTTTGTAGTGTGTGTAAGTGGACATTTGGAACCCTTACCGGCCTAAGGTGAAAAAGGAAATATCTTCCCATAAAAACTAGACAGAAGCATTCTCAGAAACTTACTCGTGATGTGTGTCCTCAACTAAAGGAGTAGAACCTTTCTTTTCATAGAGAAGTTTTGAAACGCTCTTTTTGTGGAATCTGCAAGTGGATATTTGGCTAGTTTTGAGGATTTCGTTGGAAGCGGGAATTCATACAAATTGCAGACTGCAGCGTTCTGAGAAACATCTTTGTGATGTTTGTATTCGGGACACAGAGATGAACATTCCCTATCATAGAGCAGGTTGGAATCACTCCTTTTGTAGTATCTGGAAGTGGACATTTGGAGCGCTTTCAGGCCTATGTTGAAAAAGGAAATATCTTCCCATAACAACTAGACACAAGCATTCTCAGAAACTTGTTTGTGATGTGTGCCCTCTACTGACAGAGTTGAACCTTTCTTTTCATAGAGCAGTTTTGAAACACTCTTTTTGTAGAATCCGCAAGAGGATATTTGCATAGCTTTGAGGATTTCGTGGGAAACGGGATTGTCTTCAGGTAAAATCTAGACAGAAGCATTCTCAGAAACTTCTTTGGGATGTTTGCATTCAAGTCACAGAGTAGAACATTCCCTTTGGTAGAGCAGGTTTGAAACACTCTTTTTGTAGTATCTGGAAGTGGACATTTGGAGCGCTTTCAGGCCCATGTTGGAAAGGGAAATATCTTCCCGTAACAACTAGGCAGAAGCATTCTCAGAAACTTATTTGAGATGTGTGTACTCAACGAAGAGAATTGAACCACAGTTTTGAAGGAGCAGTTTTGAAACACTCTTTTTCTGGAATCTGAAAGAGTATATTTGCCTAGCCTTGAGGATTTCGTTGGAAACGGGATTGTCTTCAGATAAAATCTAGACAGAAGCATTCTCAGAAACTTCTTTGGGATGTTTGCATTCAAGTCACAGAGTAGAACATTCCCTTTGGTAGAGCAGGTTTGAAACACTCTTTTTTTAGTATATGGAAGTGGACATTTGGAGCGCTTTCAGGCCTACGTTGGAAAAGGAAATATCTTCCCATAACAACTAGACAGAAGCATTCTCAGAAACTAGTTTCTGATGTGTGTCCTCAACTAACACAGTTGTACATTTCTTTAGACAGAACAGTTTTGAAACACTCTTTTTGTGGAATCTGCAAGTGGATATTGGGCTAGATTTGAGGATTTCGTTGGAAACGGGATTACATATAAAAAGCAGTCAGCAGCATTCTCAGAAAGTTCTTTGTGATGATTGCATTCAAGTCACAGAATTGAACATTCCCTTTCACAGAGCAGGTTTGAAACACTCTTTTTGTAGTGTGTGTAAGTGGACATTTGGAGCGCTTTCCGGCCTAAGGGAAAAAAGAAATATCTTCCCATAAAAACTAGACAGAAGCATTCTCAGAAACTTACTCGTGATGTGTGTCCTCAACTAAAGGAGTAGAACCTTTCTTTTCATAGAGAAGTTTTGAAACGCTCTTTTTGTGGAATCTGCAAGTGGATATTTGGCTAGTTTTGAGGATTTCGTTGGAAGCGGGAATTCATACAAATTGCAGACTGCAGCGTTCTGAGAAACATCTTTGTGATGTTTGTATTCAGGACACAGAGTTGAACATTCCCTATCATAGAGCAGGTTTGAATCACTCCTTTTGTAGTATCTGGAAGTGGACATTTGGAGCGCTTTCAGGCCTATGATGGAAAAGGAAATATCTTCCCATAACAGCTAGACAGAAGCATTCTCAGAAACTTATTTGAGATGTGTGTACTCAACTAAGAGAATTGAACCACCGTTTTGAAGGAGCAGTTTTGAAACACTCTTTTTCTGGAATCTGCAAGTGGATATTTGGCTAGCTTTGGGGATTTCGCTGGAAGCGGGAATACATATAAAAAGCACACAGCAGCGTTCTGAGAAACTGCTTTCTGATGTTTGCATTCAAGTCAAAAGTTGAACACTCCCTTTCATAGTGCAGTCCTGAAACACTCCTTTTGTAGTATCTGGAACTGGACTTTTGGAGCGCTTTCAGGGCTAAGGTGAAAAAGGAAATATCTTCCCATAAAAACTGGACAGAAGCATTCTCAGAAACTTGTTTATGCTGTATCTACTCAACTAACAAAGTTGAACCTTTCTTTTGATAGAGCAGTTTTGAAATGCTCTTTTTGTGGAATCTGCAAGTGGATATTTGGCTAGTTTTGAGGATTTCGTTGGAAGCGGGAATTCATACAAATTGCAGACTGCAGCGTTCTGAGAAACATCTTTGTGATGTTTGTATTCAGGACACAGAGTTGAACATTCCCTATCATAGAGCAGGTTGGAATCACTCCTTTTGTAGTATCTGGAAGTGGACATTTGGAGCGCTTTCAGGCCTATTTTGGAAAGGGAAATATCTTCCCGTAACAACTATGCAGAAGCATTCTCAGAAACTTGTTTGTGATGTGTGCCCTCTACTGACAGAGTTGAACCTTTCTTTTCATAGAGCAGTTTTGAAACACTCTTTTTGTAGAATCTGCAAGAGGATATTTGCATAGCTTTGAGGATTTCGTGGGAAACGGGATTGTCTTCAGGTAAAATCTAGACAGAAGCATTCTCAGAAACTTCTTTGGGATGTTTGCATTCAAGTCACAGAGTAGAACATTCCCTTTGGTAGAGCAGGTTTGAAACACTCTTTTTGTAGTATCTGGAAGTGGACATTTGGAGCGCTTTCAGGCCCATGTTGGAAAGGGAAATATCTTCCCGTAACAACTAGGCAGAAGCATTCTCAGAAACTTATTTGAGATGTGTGTACTCAACTAAGAGAATTGAACCACCGTTTTGAAGGAGCAGTTTTGAAACACTCTTTTTCTGGAATCTGCAAGAGTATATTTGCCTAGCCTTGAGGATTTCGTTGGAAACGGGATTGTCTTCAGAGAAAATCTAGACAGAAGCATTCTCAGAAACTTCTTTGGGATGCTTGCATTCAAGTCACAGAGTAGAACATTCCCTTTGGTAGAGCAGGTTTGAAACACTCTTTTTGTAGTATCTGGAAGTGGACATTTGGAGCGCTTTCAGGCCTACGTTGGAAAAGGAAATATCTTCCCATAACAACTAGACAGAAGCATTCTCAGAAACTAGTTTCTGATGTGTGTCCTCAACTAACACAGTTGAACATTTCTTTAGACAGAACAGTTTTGAAACACTCTTTTTGTGGAATCTGCAAGTGGCTATTTGGCTAGATTTGAGGATTTCGTTGGAAACGGGATTACATATAAAAAGCAGTCAGCGGCATTCTCAGAAAGTTCTTTGTGATGATTGCATTCAAGTCACAGAATTGAACATTCCCTTTCACAGAGCAGGTTTGAAACACTCTTTTTGTAGTGTGTGTAAGTGGACATTTGGAGCACTTACCGGCCTAAGGTGAAAAAGGAAATAATCTTCCCATAAAAACTAGACAGAAGCATTCTCAGTAAACTTACTCGTGATGTGTGTCCTCAACTAAAGGAGTAGAACCTTCCTTTTCATAGAGAAGTTTTGAAACGCTCTTTTTGTGGAATCTGCAAGTGGATATTTGGCTAGTTTTGAGGATTTCGTTGGAAGCGGGAATTCATACAAATTGCAGACTGCAGCGTTCTGAGAAACATCTTTGTGATGTTTGTATTCAGGACACAGAGTTGAACATTCCCTATCATAGAGCAGGTTTGAATCACTCCTTTTGTAGTATCTGGAAGTGGACATTTGGAGCGCTTTCAGGCCTATGTTGGAAAAGGAAATATCTTCCCATAACAACTAGACAGAAGCATTCTCAGAAACTTATTTGAGATGTGTCTACTCAACTAAGAGAATTGAACCACCGTTTTGAAGGAGCAGTTTTGAAACACTCTTTTTCTGGAATCTGCAAGTGGATATTTGGCTAGCTTTGGGGATTTCGCTGGAAGCGGGAATACATATAAAAAGCACAAAGCAGCGTTCTGAGAAACTGCTTTCTGATGTTTGCATTCAAGTCAAAAGTTGAACACTCCCTTTCATAGAGCAGTCTTGAAACACCCCTTTTGTAGTATCTGGAACTGGACTTTTGGAGCGATTTTAGGGCTAAGGTGAAAAAGGAAATATCTTCCCATAAAAACTGGACAGAAGCATTCTCAGAAACTTGTTTATGCTGTATCTACTCAACTAACAAAGTTGAACCTTTCTTTTGATAGAGCAGTTTTGAAATGGTCTTTTTGTGGAATCTGCAAGTGGATATTTGGCTAGTTTTGAGGATTTCGTTGGAAGCGGGAATTCATACAAATTGCAGACTGCAGCGTTCTGAGAAACATCTTTGTGATGTTTGTATTCAGGACACAGAGTTGAACATTCCCTATCATAGAGCAGGTTGGAATCACTCCTTTTGTAGTATCTGGAAGTGGACATTTGGAGCGCTTTCAGGCCTATTTTGGAAAGGGAAATATCTTCCCGTAACAACTATGCAGAAGCATTCTCAGAAACTTGTTTGTGATGTGTGCCCTCTACTGACAGAGTTGAACCTTTCTTTTCATAGAGCAGTTTTGAAACACTCTTTTTGTAGAATCTGCAAGAGGATATTTGCATAGCTTTGAGGATTTCGTGGGAAACGGGATTGTCTTCAGGTAAAATCTAGACAGAAGCATTCTCAGAAACTTCTTTGGGATGTTTGCATTCAAGTCACAGAGTAGAACATTCCCTTTGGTAGAGCAGGTTTGAAACACTCTTTTTGTAGTATCTGGAAGTGGACATTTGGAGCGCTTTCAGGCCCATGTTGGAAAGGGAAATATCTTCCCGTAACAACTAGGCAGAAGCATTCTCAGAAACTTATTTGAGATGTGTGTACTCAACTAAGAGAATTGAACCACCGTTTTGAAGGAGCAGTTTTGAAACACTCTTTTTCTGGAATCTGCAAGAGTATATTTGCCTAGCCATGAGGATTTCGTTGGAAACGGGATTGTCTTCAGAGAAAATCTAGACAGAAGCATTCTCAGAAACTTCTTTGGGATGTTTGCATTCAAGTCACAGAGTAGAACATTCCCTTTGGTAGAGCAGGTTTGAAACACTCTTTTTTTAGTATATGGAAGTGGACATTTGGAGCGGTTTCAGGCCTACGTTGGAAAAGGAAATATCTTCCCATAACAACTAGACAGAAGCATTCTCAGAAACTAGTTTCTGATGTGTGTCCTCAACTAACACAGTTGAACATTTCTTTAGACAGAACAGTTTTGAAACACTCTTTTTGTGGAATCTGCAAGTGGCTATTTGGCTAGATTTGAGGATTTCGTTGGAAACGGGATTACATATAAAAAGCAGTCAGCAGCATTCTCAGAAAGTTCTTTGTGATGATTGCATTCAAGTCACAGAATTGAACATTCCCTTTCACAGAGCAGGTTTGAAACACTCTTTTTGTAGTGTGTGTAAGTGGACATTTGGAGCGCTTTCCGGCCTAAGGTGAAAAAGGAAATATCTTCCCATAAAAACTAGACAGAAGCATTCTCAGAAACTTACTCGTGATGTGTGTCCTCAACTAAAGGAGTAGAACCTTTCTTTTCATAGAGAAGTTTTGAAACGCTCTTTTTGTGGAATCTGCAAGTGGATATTTGGCTAGTTTGGAGGATTTCGTTGGAAGCGGGAATTCATACAAATTGCAGACTGCAGCGTTCTGAGAAACATCTTTGTGATGTTTGTATTCAGGACACAGAGTTGAACATTCCCTATCATAGAGCAGGTTTGAATCACTCCTTTTGTAGTATCTGGAAGTGGACATTTGGAGCGCTTTCAGGCCTATGTTGGAAAAGGAAATATCTTCCCATAACAACTAGACAGAAGCATTCTCAGAAACTTATTTGAGATGTGTGTACTCAACTAAGAGAATTGAACCACCGTTTTGAAGGAGCAGTTTTGAAACACTCTTTTTCTGGAATCTGCAAGTGGATATTTGGCTAGCTTTGGGGATTTCGCTGGAAGCGGGAATACATATAAAAAGCACACAGCAGCGTTCTGAGAAACTGCTTTCTGATGTTTGCATTCAAGTCAAAAGTTGAACACTCCCTTTCATAGAGCAGTCCTGAAACACTCCTTTTGTAGTATCTGGAACTGGACTTTTGGAGCGCTTTCAGGGCTAAGGTGAAAAAGGAAATATCTTCCCATAAAAACTGGACAGAAGCATTCTCAGAAACTTGTTTATGCTGTATCTACTCAACTAACAAAGTTGAACCTTTCTTTTGATAGAGCAGTTTTGAAATGCTCTTTTTGTGGAATCTGCAAGTGGATATTTGGCTAGTTTTGAGGATTTCATTGGAAGCGGGAATTCATACAAATTGCAGACTGCAGCGTTCTGAGAAACATCTTTGTGATGTTTGTATTCAGGACAGAGAGTTGAACATTCCCTATCATAGAGCAGGTTGGAATCACTCCTTTTGTAGTATCTGGAAGTGGACATTTGGAGCGCTTTCAGGCCTATGTTGAAAAAGGAAATATCTTCCCATAACAACTAGACACAAGCATTCTCAGAAACTTGTTTGTGATGTGTGCCCTCTACTGACAGAGTGGAACCTTTCTTTTCATAGAGCAGTTTTGAAACACTCTTTTTGTAGAATCCGCAAGAGGATATTTGCATAGCTTTGAGGATTTCGTGGGAAACGGGATTGTCTTCAGGTAAAATCTAGACAGAAGCATTCTCAGAAACTTCTTTGGGATGTTTGCATTCAAGTCACAGAGTAGAACATTCCCTTTGGTAGAGCAGGTTTGAAACACTCTTTTTGTAGTATCTGGAAGTGGACATTTGGAGCGCTTTCAGGCCCATGTTGGAAAGGGAAATATCTTCCCGTAACAAATAGGCAGAAGCATTCTCAGAAACTTATTTGAGATGTGTGTACTCAACTAAGAGAATTGAACCACCGTTTTGAAGGAGCAGTTTTGAAACACTCTTTTTCTGGAATCTGCAAGAGTATATTTGCCTAGCCTTGAGGATTTCGTTGGAAACGGGATTGTCTTCAGAGAAAATCTAGACAGAAGCATTCTCAGAAACTTCTTTGGGATGTTTGCATTCAAGTCACAGAGTAGAACATTCCCTTTGGTAGAGCAGGTTTGAAACACTCTTTTTTTAGTATATGGAAGTGGACATTTGGAGCGCTTTCAGGCCTACGTTGGAAAAGGAAATATCTTCCCATAACAACTAGACAGAAGCATTCTCAGAAACTAGTTTCTGATGTGTGTCCTCAACTAACACAGTTGAACATTTCTTTAGACAGAACAGTTTTGAAACACTCTTTTTGTGGAATCTGCAAGTGGCTATTTGGCTAGATTTGAGGATTTCGTTGGAAACGGGATTACATATAAAAAGCAGTCAGCAGCATTCTCAGAAAGTTCTTTGTGATGATTGCATTCAAGTCACAGAATTGAACATTCCCTTTCACAGAGCAGGTTTGAAACACTCTTTTTGTAGTGTGTGTAAGTGGACATTTGGAGCACTTACCGGCCTAAGGTGAAAAAGGAAATATCTTCCCATAAAAACTAGACAGAAGCATTCTCAGAAACTTACTCGTGATGTGTGTCCTCAACTAAAGGAGTAGAACCTTTCTTTTCATAGAGAAGTTTTGAAACGCTCTTTTTGTGGAATCTGCAAGTGGATATTTGGCTAGTTTTGAGGATTTCGTTGGAAGCGGGAATTCATACAAATTGCAGACTGCAGCGTTCTGAGAAACATCTTTGTGATGTTTGTATTCAGGACACAGAGTTGAACATTCCCTATCATAGAGCAGGTTGGAATCACTCCTTTTGTAGTATCTGGAAGTGGACATTTGGAGCGCTTTCAGGCCTATGTTGGAAAAGGAAATATCTTCCCATAACAACTAGACAGAAGCATTCTCAGAAACTTATTTGAGATGTGTGTACTCAACTAAGAGAATTGAACCACCGTTTTGAAGGAGCAGTTTTGAAACTCTCTTTTTCTGGAATCTGCAAGTGGATATTTGGCTAGCTTGGGGATTTCGCTGGAAGCGGGAATACATATAAAAAGCACACAGCAGCGTTCTGAGAAAACTGCTTTCTGATGTTTGCATTCAAGTCAAAAGTTGAACACTCCCTTTCATAGTGCAGTCCTGAAACACTCCTTTTGTAGTATCTGGAACTGGACTTTTGGAGCGCTTTCAGGGCTAAGGTGAAAAAGGAAATATCTTCCCATAAAAACTGGACAGAAGCATTCTCAGAAACTTGTTTATGCTGTATCTACTCAACTAACAAAGTTGAACCTTTCTTTTGATAGAGCAGTTTTGAAATGGTCTTTTTGTGGAATCTGCAAGTGGATATTTGGCTAGTTTTGAGGATTTCGTTGGAAGCGGGAATTCATACAAATTGCAGACTGCAGCGTTCTGAGAAACATCTTTGTGATGTTTGTATTCAGGACACAGAGTTGAACATTCCCTATCATAGAGCAGGTTGGAATCACTCCTTTTGTAGTATCTGGAAGTGGACATTTGGAGCGCTTTCAGGCCTATTTTGGAAAGGGAAATATCTTCCCGTAACAACTATGCAGAAGCATTCTCAGAAACTTGTTTGTGATATGTGCCCTCTACTGACAGAGTTGAACCTTTCTTTTCATAGAGCAGTTTTGAAACACTCTTTTTGTAGAATCTGCAAGAGGATATTTGCATAGCTTTGAGGATTTCGTGGGAAACGGGATTGTCTTCAGGTAAAATCTAGACAGAAGCATTCTCAGAAACTTCTTTGGGATGTTTGCATTCAAGTCACAGAGTAGAACATTCCCTTTGGTAGAGCAGGTTTGAAACACTCTTTTTGTAGTATCTGGAAGTGGACATTTGGAGCGCTTTCAGGCCCATGTTGGAAAGGGAAATATCTTTCCCGTAACAACTAGGCAGAAGCATTCTCAGAAACTTATTTGAGATGTGTGTACTCAACTAAGAGAATTGAACCACCCTTTTGAAGGAGCAGTTTTGAAACACTCTTTTTCTGGAATCTGCAAGAGTATATTTGCCTAGCTTTGAGGATTTCGTTGGAAACGGGATTGTCTTCAGATCAAATCTAGACAGAAGCATTCTCAGAAACTTCTTTGGGATGTTTGCATTCAAGTCACAGAGTAGAACATTCCCTTTGGTAGAGCAGGTTTGAAACACCCTTTTTTTAGTATATGGAAGTGGACATTTTGAGCGCTTTCAGGCCTACGTTGGAAAAGGAAATATCTTCCCATAACAACTAGACAGAAGCATTCTCAGAAACTAGTTTCTGATGTGTGTCCTCAACTAACACAGTTGAACATTTCTTTAGACAGAACAGTTTTGAAACACTCTTTTTGTGGAATCTGCAAGTGGATATTTGGCTAGATTTGAGGATTTCGTTGGAAACGGGATTACATATAAAAAGCAGACAGCAGCATTCTCAGAAACTTCTTTGTGATGATTGCATTCAAGTCACAGAATTGAACATTCCCTTTCACAGAGCAGGTTTGAAACACTCTTTTTGTAGTGTGTGTAAGTGGACATTTGGAGCGCTTTCCGGCCTAAGGTGAACAAGGAAAATATCTTCCCATAAAAACTAGACAGAAGCATTCTCAGAAACTTACTCGTGATGTGTGTCCTCAACTAAAGGAGTAGAACCTTTCTTTTCATAGAGAAGTTTTGAAACGCTCTTTTTGTGGACTCTGCAAGTGGATGTTTGGCTAGGTTTGAGGATTTCGTTGGAAGCGGGAATTCATACAAATTGCAGACTGCAGCGTTCTGAGAAACATCTTTGTGATGTTTGTATTCAGGACACAGAGTTGAACATTCCCTATCATAGAGCAGGTTGGAATCACTCCTTTTGTAGTATCTGGAAGTGGACATTTGGAGCGCTTTCAGGCCTATGTTGGAAAAGGAAATATCTTCCCATAACAACTAGACAGAAGCATTCTCAGAAACTTATTTGAGATGTGTGTACTCAACTAAGAGAATTGAACCACCGTTTTGAAGGAGCAGTTTTGAAACTCTCTTTTTCTGGAATCTGCAAGTGGATATTTGGCTAGCTTTGGGGATTTCGCTGGAAGCGGGAATACATATAAAAAGCACACAGCAGCGTTCTGAGAAACTGCTTTCTGATGTTTGCATTCAAGTCAAAAGTTGAACACTCCCTTTCATAGAGCAGTCTTGAAACACCCCTTTTGTAGTATCTGGAACTGGACTTTTGGAGCGATTTCAGGGCTAAGGTGAAAAAGGAAATATCTTCCCATAAAAACTGGACAGAAGCATTCTCAGAAACTTGTTTATGCTGTATCTACTCAACTAACAAAGTTGAACCTTTCTTTTGATAGAGCAGTTTTGAAATGGTCTTTTTGTGGAATCTGCAAGTGGATATTTGGCTAGTTTTGAGGATTTCGTTGGAAGCGGGAATTCATACAAATTGCAGACTGCAGCGTTCTGAGAAACATCTTTGTGATGTTTGTATTCAGGACACAGAGTTGAACATTCCCTATCATAGAGCAGGTTGGAATCACTCCTTTTGTAGTATCTGGAAGTGGACATTTGGAGCGCTTTCAGGCCTATTTTGGAAAGGGAAATATCTTCCCGGTAACAACTATGCAGAAGCATTCTCAGAAACTTGTTTGTGATGTGTGCCCTCTACTGACACAGTTGATCCTTTCTTTTCATAGAGCAGTTTCGAAACACTCTTTTTGTAGAATCTGCAAGAGGATATTTGCCTAGCTTTGAGGATTTCGTGGGAAACGGCATTGTCTTCAGGTAAAATCTAGACAGAAGCATTCTCAGAAACTTCTTTGGGATGTTTGCATTCAAGTCACAGAGTAGAACATTCCCTTTGGTAGAGCAGGTTTGAAACACTCTTTTTGTAGTATCTGGAAGTGGGACATTTGGAGCGCTTTCAGGCCTATGTTGGAAAGGGAAATATCTTCCCGTAACAACTAGGCAGAAGCATTCTCAGAAACTTATTTGAGATGTGTGTACTCAACTAAGAGAATTGAACCACCGTTTTGAAGGAGCAGTTTTGAAACACTCTTTTTCTGGAATCTGCAAGAGGATATTTGCCTAGCCTTGAGGATTTCGTTGGAAACGGGATTGTCTTCAGATCAAATCTAGACAGAAGCATTCTCAGAAACTTCTTTGGGATGTTTGCATTCAAGTCACAGAGTAGAACATTCCCTTTGGTAGAGCAGGTTTGAAACACTCTTTTTTTAGTATATGGAAGTGGACATTTGGAGCGCTTTCAGGCCTACGTTGGAAAAGGAAATATCTTCCCATAACAACTAGACAGAAGCATTCTCAGAAACTAGTTTCTGATGTGTGTCCTCAACTAACACAGTTGAACATTTCTTTAGACAGAACAGTTTTGAAACTCTCTTTTTGTGGAATCTGCAAGTGGCTATTTGGCTAGATTTGAGGATTTCGTTGGAAACGGGATTACATATAAAAAGCAGACAGCAGCATTCTCAGAAAGTTCTTTGTGATGATTGCATTCAAGTCACAGAATTGAACATTCCCTTTCACAGAGCAGGTTTGAAACACTCTTTTTATAGTGTGTGTAAGTGGACATTTGGAGCACTTTCCGGCCTAAGGTGAAAAAGGAAATATCTTCCCATAAAAACTAGACAGAAGCATTCTCAGAAACTTACTCGTGATGTGTGTCCTCAACTAAAGGAGTAGAACCTTTCTTTTCATAGAGAAGTTTTGAAACGCTCTTTTTGTGGAATCTGCAAGTGGATATTTGGCTAGTTTGGAGGATTTCGTTGGAAGCGGGAATTCATACAAATTGCAGACTGCAGCGTTCTGAGAAACATCTTTGTGATGTTTGTATTCAGGACACAGAGTTGAACATTCCCTATCATAGAGCAGGTTGGAATCACTCCTTTTGTAGTATCTGGAAGTGGACATTTGGAGCGCTTTCAGGCCTATGTTGAAAAAGGAAATATCTTCCCATAACAACTAGACACAAGCATTCTCAGAAACTTGTTTGTGATGTGTGCCCGCTACTGACAGAGTTGAACCTTTCTTTTCATAGAGCAGTTTTGAAACACTCTTTGTGTAGAATCTGCAAGAGGATATTTGCATAGCTTTGAGGATTTCGTGGGAAACGGGATTGTCTTCAGGTAAAATCTAGACAGAAGCATTCTCAGAAACTTCTTTGGGATGTTTGCATTCAAGTCACAGAGTAGAACATTCCCTTTGGTAGAGCAGGTTTGAAACACTCTTTTTGTAGTATCTGGAAGTGGACATTTGGAGCGCTTTCAGGACCATGTTGGAAAGGGAAATATCTTCCCGTAACAACTAGGCAGAAGCATTCTCAGAAACTTATTTGAGATGTGTGTACTCAACTAAGAGAATTGAACCACCGTTTTGAAGGAGCAGTTTTGAAACCCTCTTTTTCTGGAATCTGCAAGAGTATATTTGCCTAGCCTTGAGGATTTCGTTGGAAACGGGATTGTCTTCAGATAAAATCTAGACAGAAGCATTCTCAGAAACTTCTTTGGGATGTTTGCATTCAAGTCACAGAGTAGAACATTCCCTTTGGTAGAGCAGGTTTGAAACACTCTTTTTTTAGTATATGGAAGTGGACATTTGGAGCGCTTTCAGGCCTACGTTGGAAAAGGAAATATCTTCCCATAACAACTAGACAGAAGCATTCTCAGAAACTAGTTTCTGATGTGTGTCCTCAACTAAAACAGTTGTACATTTCTTTACACAGAACAGTTTTGAAACACTCTTTTTGTGGAATCTGCAAGTGGATATTGGGGTAGATTTGAGGATTTCGTTGGAAACGGGATTACATATAAAAAGCAGACAGCAGCATTCTCAGAAAGTTCTTTGTGATGATTGCATTCAAGTCACAGAATTGAACATTCCCTTTCACAGAGCAGGTTTGAAACACTCTTTTTGTAGTGTGTGTAAGTGGACATTTGGAGCGCTTTCCGGCCTAAGGTGAAAAAGGACATATCTTCCCATAAAAACTAGACAGAAGCATTCTCAGAAACTTACTCGTGATGTGTGTCCTCAACTAAAGGAGTAGAACCTTTCTATTCATAGAGAAGTTTTGAAACGCTCTTTTTGTGGAATCTCCAAGTGGATATTTGGCTAGTGTTGAGGATTTCGTTGGAAGCGGGAATTCATACAAATTGCAGACTGCAGCGTTCTGAGAAACATCTTTGTGATGTTTGTATTCAAGACACAGAGATGAACATTCCCTATCATAGAGCATGTTGGAATCACTCCTTTTGTAGTATCTGGAAGTGGACATTTGGAGCGCTTTCAGGCCTATGTTGAAAAAGGAAATATCTTCCCATAACAACTAGACACAAGCATTCTCAGAAACTTGTTTGTGATGTGTGCCCTCTACTGACAGAGTTGAACCTTTCTTTTCATAGAGCAGTTTTGAAACACTCTTTTTGTAGAATCCGCAAGAGGATATTTGCATAGCTTTGAGGATTTCGTGGGAAACGGGATTGTCTTCAGGTAAAATCTAGACAGAAGCATTCTCAGAAACTTCTTTGGGATGTTTGCATTCAAGTCACAGAGTAGAACATTCCCTTTGGTAGAGCAGGTTTGAAACACTCTTTTTGTAGTATCTGGAAGTGGACATTTGGAGCGCTTTCAGGCCTATGTTGGAAAGGGAAATATCTTCCCGTAACAACTAGGCAGAAGCATTCTCAAAAACTTATTTGAGATGTGTGTACTCAACTAAGAGAATTGAACCACCGTTTTGAAGGAGCAGTTTTGAAACACTCTTTTTCTGGAATCTGCAAGAGGATATTTGCCTAGCCTTGAGGATTTCGTTGGAAACGGGATTGTCTTCAGATCAAATCTAGACAGAAGCATTCTCAGAAACTTCTTTGGGATGTTTGCATTCAAGTCACAGAGTAGAACATTCCCTTTGGTAGAGCAGGTTTGAAACACTCTTTTTTTAGTATATGGAAGTGGACATTTGGAGCGCTTTCAGGCCTACGTTGGAAAAGGAAATATCTTCCCATAACAACTAGACAGAAGCATTCTCAGAAACTAGTTTCTGATGTGTGTCCTCAACTAACACAGTTGAACATTTCTTTAGACAGAACAGTTTTGAAACTCTCTTTTTGTGGAATCTGCAAGTGGCTATTTGGCTAGATTTGAGGATTTCGTTGGAAACGGGATTACATATAAAAAGCAGACAGCAGCATTCTCAGAAAGTTCTTTGTGATGATTGCATTCAAGTCACAGAATTGAACATTCCCTTTCACAGAGCAGGTTTGAAACACTCTTTTTGTAGTGTGTGTAAGTGGACATTTGGAGCACTTTCCGGCCTAAGGTGAAAAAGGAAATATCTTCCCATAAAAACTAGACAGAAGCATTCTCAGAAACTTACTCGTGATGTGTGTCCTCAACTAAAGGAGTAGAACCTTTCTTTTCATAGAGAAGTTTTGAAACGCTCTTTTTGTGGAATCTGCAAGTGGATATTTGGCTAGTTTGGAGGATTTCGTTGGAAGCGGGAATTCATACAAATTGCAGACTGCAGAGTTCTGAGAAACATCTTTGTGATGTTTGTATTCAAGACACAGAGATGAACATTCCCTATCATAGAGCATGTTGGAATCACTCCTTTTGTAGTATCTGGAAGTGGACATTTGGATCGCTTTCAGGCCTATGTTGAAAAAGGAAATATCTTCCCATAACAACTAGTCACAAGCATTCCCAGCAAACTTATTTGAGATGTGTGTACTCAACTAAGAGAATTGAACCACCGTTTTGAAGGAGCAGTTTGGAAACACTCTTTTTCTGGAATCTGCAAGTGGATATTTGGCTAGCTTTGGGGATTTCGCTGGAAGCGGGAATACATATAAAAAGCACACAGCAGCGTTCTGAGAAACTGCTTTCTGATGTTTGCATTCAAGTCAAAAGTTGAACACTCCCTTTCATAGAGCAGTCTTGAAACACCCCTTTTGTAGTATCTGGAACTGGAAATTTGGAGCGCTTTCAGGGCTAAGGTGAAAAAGGAAATATCTTCCCATAAAAACTGGACAGAAGCATTCTCAGAAACTTGTTTATGCTGTATCTACTCAACTAACAAAGTTGAACCTTTCTTTTGATAGAGCAGTTTTGAAATGGTCTTTTTGTGGAATCTGCAAGTGGATATTTGGCTAGTTTTGAGGATTTCGTTGGAAGCGGGAATTCATACAAATTGCAGACTGCAGCGTTCTGAGAAACATCTTTGTGATGTTTGTATTCAGGACACAGAGTTGAACATTCCCTATCATAGAGCAGGTTGGAATCACTCCTTTTGTAGTATCTGGAAGTGGACATTTGGAGCGCTTTCAGGCCTATTTTGGAAAGGGAAATATCTTCCCGTAACAACTATGCAGAAGCATTCTCAGAAACTTGTTTGTGATGTGTGCCCTCTACTGACAGAGTTGAACCTTTCTTTTCATAGAGCAGTTTTGAAACACTCTTTTTGTAGAATCTGCAAGAGGATATTTGCATAGCTTTGAGGATTTCGTGGGAAACGGGATTGTCTTCAGGTAAAATCTAGACAGAAGCATTCTCAGAAACTTCTTTGGGATGTTTGCATTCAAGTCACAGAGTAGAACATTCCCTTTGGTAGAGCAGGTTTGAAACACTCTTTTTGTAGTATCTGGAAGTGGACATTTGGAGCGCTTTCAGGCCCATGTTGGAAAGGGAAATATCTTCCCGTAACAACTAGGCAGAAGCATTCTCAGAAACTTATTTGAGATGTGTGTACTCAACTAAGAGAATTGAACCACCGTTTTGAAGGAGCAGTTTTGAAACACTCTTTTTCTGGAATCTGCAAGAGTATATTTGCCTAGCCTTGAGGATTTCGTTGGAAACGGGATTGTCTTCAGAGAAAATCTAGACAGAAGCATTCTCAGAAACTTCTTTGGGATGTTTGCATTCAAGTCACAGAGTAGAACATTCCCTTTGGTAGAGCAGGTTTGAAACACTCTTTTTTTAGTATATGGAAGTGGACATTTGGATCGCTTTCAGGCCTACGTTGGAAAAGGAAATATCTTCCCATAACAACTAGACAGAAGCATTCTCAGAAACTAGTTTCTGATGTGTGTCCTCAACTAACACAGTTGAACATTTCTTTAGACAGAACAGTTTTGAAACCCTCTTTTTGTGGAATCTGCAAGTGGCTATTTGGCTAGATTTGAGGATTTCGTTGGAAACGGGATTACATATAAAAAGCAGTCAGCAGCATTCTCAGAAAGTTCTTTGTGATGATTGCATTCAAGTCACAGAATTGAACATTCCCTTTCACAGAGCAGGTTTGAAACACTCTTTTTGTAGTGTGTGTAAGTGGACATTTGGAGCACTTACCGGCCTAAGGTGAAAAAGGAAATATCTTCCCATAAAAACTAGACAGAAGCATTCTCAGAAACTTACTCGTGATGTGTGTCCTCAACTAAAGGAGTAGAACCTTTCTTTTCATAGAGAAGTTTTGAAACGCTCTTTTTGTGGAATCTGCAAGTGGATATTTGGCTAGTTTGGAGGATTTCGTTGGAAGCGGGAATTCATACAAATTGCAGACTGCAGCGTTCTGAGAAACATCTTTGTGATGTTTGTATTCAGGACACAGAGTTGAACATTCCCTATCATAGAGCAGGTTTGAATCACTCCTTTTGTAGTATCTGGAAGTGGACATTTGGAGCGCTTCAGGCCTATGTTGGAAAAGGAAATATCTTCCCATAACAACTAGACAGAAGCATTCTCAGAAACTTATTTGAGATGTGTGTACTCAACTAAGAGAATTGAACCACCGTTTTGAAGGAGCAGTTTTGAAACACTCTTTTTCTGGAATCTGCAAGTGGATATTTGGCTAGCTTTGGGGATTTCGCTGGAAGCGGGAATACATATAAAAAGCACACAGCAGCGTTCTGAGAAACTGCTTTCTGATGTTTGCATTCAAGTCAAAAGTTGAACACTCCCTTTCATAGAGCAGTCTTGAAACACCCCTTTTGTAGTATCTGGAACTGGACTTTTGGAGCGATTTCAGGGCTAAGGTGAAAAAGGAAATATCTTCCCATAAAAACTGGACAGAAGCATTCTCAGAAACTTGGTTATGCTGTATCTACTCAACTAACAAAGTTGAACCTTTCTTTTGATAGAGCAGTTTTGAAATGGTCTTTTTGTGGAATCTGCAAGTGGATATTTGGCTAGTTTTGAGGATTTCGTTGGAAGCGGGAATTCATACAAATTGCAGACTGCAGCGTTCTGAGAAACATCTTTGTGATGTTTGTATTCAGGACACAGAGTTGAACATTCCCTATCATAGAGCAGGTTGGAATCACTCCTTTTGTAGTATCTGGAAGTGGACATTTGGAGCGCTTTCAGGCCTATTTTGGAAAGGGAAATATCTTCCCGTAACAACTATGCAGAAGCATTCTCAGAAACTTGTTTGTGATGTGTGCCCTCTACTGACAGAGTTGAACCTTTCTTTTCATAGAGCAGTTTTGAAACACTCTTTTTGTAGAATCTGCAAGAGGATATTTGCATAGCTTTGAGGATTTCGTGGGAAACGGGATTGTCTTCAGGTAAAATCTAGACAGAAGCATTCTCAGAAACTTCTTTGGGATGTTTGCATTCAAGTCACAGAGTAGAACATTCCCTTTGGTAGAGCAGGTTTGAAACACTCTTTTTGTAGTATCTGGAAGTGGACATTTGGAGCGCTTTCAGGCCCATGTTGGAAAGGGAAATATCTTCCCGTAACAACTAGGCAGAAGCATTCTCAGAAACTTATTTGAGATGTGTGTACTCAACTAAGAGAATTGAACCACCGTTTTGAAGGAGCAGTTTTGAAACACTCTTTTTCTGGAATCTGCAAGAGTATATTTGCCTAGCCTTGAGGATTTCGTTGGAAACGGGATTGTCTTCAGAGAAAATCTAGACAGAAGCATTCTCAGAAACTTCTTTGGGATGTTTGCATTCAAGTCACAGAGTAGAACATTCCCTTTGGTAGAGCAGGTTTGAAACACTCTTTTTTTAGTATATGGAAGTGGACATTTGGATCGCTTTCAGGCCTACGTTGGAAAAGGAAATATCTTCCCATAACAACTAGACAGAAGCATTCTCAGAAACTAGTTTCTGATGTGTGTCCTCAACTAACACAGTTGAACATTTCTTTAGACAGAACAGTTTTGAAACACTCTCTTTGTGGAATCTGCAAGTGGATATTTGGCTAGATTTGAGGATTTCCGTTGGAAACGGGATTACATATAAAAAGCAGACAGCAGCATTCTCAGAAAGTTCTTTGTGATGATTGCATTCAAGTCACAGAATTGAACATTCCCTTTCACAGAGCAGGTTTGAAACACTCTTTTTGTAGTGTGTGTAAGTGGACATTTGGAGCACTTTCCGGCCTAAGGTGAAAAAGGAAATATCTTCCCATAAAAACTAGACAGAAGCATTCTCAGAAACTTACTCGTGATGTGTGTCCTCAACTAAAGGAGTAGAACCTTTCTTTTCATAGAGAAGTTTTGAAACGCTCTTTTTGTGGAATCTGCAAGTGGATATTTGGCTAGTTTGGAGGATTTCGTTGGAAGCGGGAATTCATACAAATTGCAGACTGCAGCGTTCTGAGAAACATCTTTGTGATGTTTGTATTCAGGACACAGATTTGAACATTCCCTATCATAGAGCAGGTTGGAATCACTCCTTTTGTAGTATCTGGAAGTGGACATTTGGAGCGCTTTCAGGCCTATGTTGGAAAAGGAAATATCTTCCCATAACAACTAGACAGAAGCATTCTCAGAAACTTATTTGAGATGTGTGTACTCAACTAAGAGAATTGAACCACCGTTTTGAAGGAGCAGTTTTGAAACACTCTTTTTCTGGAATCTGCAAGTGGATATTTGGCTAGCTTTGGGGATTTCGCTGGAAGCGGGAATACATATAAAAAGCACACAGCAGCGTTCTGAGAAACTGCTTTCTGATGTTTGCATTCAAGTCAAAAGTTGAACACTCCCTTTCATAGAGCAGTCCTGAAACACTCCTTTTGTAGTATCTGGAACTGGACTTTTGGAGCGCTTTCAGGGCTAAGGTGAAAAAGGAAATATCTTCCCATAAAAACTGGACAGAAGCATTCTCAGAAACTTGTTTATGCTGTATCTACTCAACTAACAAAGTTGAACCTTTCTTTTGATAGAGCAGTTTTGAAATGCTCTTTTTGTGGAATCTGCAAGTGGATATTTGGCTAGTTTTGAGGATTTCGCTGGAAGCGGGAATTCATACAAATTGCAGACTGCAGCGTTCTGAGAAACATCTTTGTGATGTTTGTATTCAGGACAGAGAGTTGAACATTCCCTATCATAGAGCAGGTTGGAATCACTCCTTTTGTAGTATCTGGAAGTGGACATTTGGAGCGCTTTCAGGCCTATGTTGAAAAAGGAAATATCTTCCCATAACAACTAGACACAAGCATTCTCAGAAACTTGTTTGTGATGTGTGCCCTCTACTGACAGAGTTGAACCTTTCTTTTCATAGAGCAGTTTTGAAACACTCTTTTTGTAGAATCTGCAAGAGGATATTTGCATAGCTTTGAGGATTTCGTGGGAAACGGGATTGTCTTCAGGTAAAATCTAGACAGAAGCATTCTCAGAAACTTCTTTGGGATGTTTGCATTCAAGTCACAGAGTAGAACATTCCCTTTGGTAGAGCAGGTTTGAAACACTCTTTTTGTAGTATCTGGAAGTGGACATTTGGAGCGCTTTCAGGCCCATGTTGGAAAGGGAAATATCTTCCCGTAACAACTAGGCAGAAGCATTCTCAGAAACTTATTTGAGATGTGTGTACTCAACTAAGAGAATTGAACCACCGTTTTGAAGGAGCAGTTTTGAAACACTCTTTTTCTGGAATCTGCAAGAGTATATTTGCCTAGCCTTGAGGATTTCGTTGGAAACGGGATTGTCTTCAGAGAAAATCTAGACAGAAGCATTCTCAGAAACTTCTTTGGGATGTTTGCATTCAAGTCACAGAGTAGAACATTCCCTTTGGTAGAGCAGGTTTGAAACACTCTTTTTGTAGTATATGGAAGTGGACATTTGGATCGCTTTCAGGCCTACGTTGGAAAAGGAAATATCTTCCCATAACAACTAGACAGAAGCATTCTCAGAAACTAGTTTCTGATGTGTGTCCTCAACTAACACAGTTGAACATTTCTTTAGACAGAACAGTTTTGAAACACTCTTTTTGTGGAATCTGCAAGTGGCTATTTGGCTAGATTTGAGGATTTCGTTGGAAACGGGATTACATATAAAAAGCAGTCAGCAGCATTCTCAGAAAGTTCTTTGTGATGATTGCATTCAAGTCACAGAATTGAACATTCCCTTTCACAGAGCAGGTTTGAAACACTCTTTTTGTAGTGTGTGTAAGTGGACATTTGGAGCACTTACTGGCCTAAGGTGAAAAGGGAAATATCTTCCCATAAAAACTAGACAGAAGCATTCTCAGAAACTTACTCGTGATGTGTGTCCTCAACTAAAGGAGTAGAACCTTTCTTTTCATAGAGAAGTTTTGAAACGCTCTTTTTGTGGAATCTGCAAGTGGATATTTGGCTAGTTTTGAGGATTTCGTTGGAAGCGGGAATTCATACAAATTGCAGACTGCAGCGTTCTGAGAAACATCTTTGTGATGTTTGTATTCAGGACACAGAGTTGAACATTCCCTATCATAGAGCAGGTTTGAATCACTCCTTTTGTAGTATCTGGAAGTGGACATTTGGAGCGCTTTCAGGCCTATGTTGGAAAAGGAAATATCTTCCCATAACAACTAGACAGAAGCATTCTCAGAAACTTATTTGAGATGTGTGTACTCAACTAAGAGAATTGAACCACCGTTTTGAAGGAGCAGTTTTGAAACTCTCTTTTTCTGGAATCTGCAAGTGGATATTTGGCTAGCTTTGGGGATTTCGCTGGAAGCGGGAATACATATAAAAAGCACACAGCAGCGTTCTGAGAAACTGCTTTCTGATGTTTGCATTCAAGTCAAAAGTTGAACACTCCCTTTCATAGAGCAGTCTTGAAACACCCCTTTTGTAGTATCTGGAACTGGACTTTTGGAGCGATTTCAGGGCTAAGGTGAAAAAGGAAATATCTTCCCATAAAAACTGGACAGAAGCATTCTCAGAAACTTGGTTATGCTGTATCTACTCAACTAACAAAGTTGAACCTTTCTTTTGATAGAGCAGTTTTGAAATGGTCTTTTTGTGGAATCTGCAAGTGGATATTTGGCTAGTTTTGAGGATTTCGTTGGAAGCGGGAATTCATACAAATTGCAGACTGCAGCGTTCTGAGAAACATCTTTGTGATGTTTGTATTCAGGACACAGAGTTGAACATTCCCTATCATAGAGCAGGTTGGAATCACTCCTTTTGTAGTATCTGGAAGTGGACATTTGGAGCGCTTTCAGGCCTATTTTGGAAAGGGAAATATCTTCCCGTAACAACTATGCAGAAGCATTCTCAGAAACTTGTTTGTGATGTGTGCCCTCTACTGACAGAGTTGAACCTTTCTTTTCATAGAGCAGTTTTGAAACACTCTTTTTGTAGAATCTGCAAGAGGATATTTGCATAGCTTTGAGGATTTCGTGGGAAACGGGATTGTCTTCAGGTAAAATCTAGACAGAAGCATTCTCAGAAACTTCTTTGGGATGTTTGCATTCAAGTCACAGAGTAGAACATTCCCTTTGGTAGAGCAGGTTTGAAACACTCTTTTTGTAGTATCTGGAAGTGGACATTTGGAGCGCTTTCAGGCCCATGTTGGAAAGGGAAATATCTTCCCGTAACAACTAGGCAGAAGCATTCTCAGAAACATATTTGAGATGTGTGTACTCAACTAAGAGAGGTGAACCACCGTTTTGAAGGAGCAGTTTTGAAACACTCTTTTTCTGGAATCTGCAAGAGTATATTTGCCTAGCCTTGAGGATTTCGTTGGAAACGGGATTGTCTTCAGATAAAATCTAGACAGAAGCATTCTCAGAAACTTCTTTGGGATGTTTGCATTCAAGTCACAGAGTAGAACATTCCCTTTGGTAGAGCAGGTTTGAAACACTCTTTTTGTAGTATCTGGAAGTGGACATTTGGAGCGCTTTCAGGCCTATGTTGGAAAGGGAAATATCTTCCCTTAACAACTAGGCAGAAGCATTCTCAGAAACTTATTTGAGATGTGTGTACTCAACTAAGAGAATTGAACCACCGTTTTGAAGGACCAGTTTTGAAACACTCTTTTTCTGGAATCTGCTAGAGGATATTTGCCAGCTTTGAGGATTTCGTTGGAAACGGGATTGTCTTCAGATCAAATCTAGACAGAAGCATTCTCAGAAACTTCTTTGGGATGTTTGCATTCAAGTCACAGAGTAGAACATTCCCTTTGGTAGAGCAGGTTTGAAACACTCTTTTTTTAGTATATGGAAGTGGACATTTGGAGCGCTTTCAGGCCTACGTTGGAAAAGGAAATATCTTCCCATAACAACTAGACAGAAGCATTCTCAGAAACTAGTTTCTGATGTGTGTCCTCAACTAACACAGTTGTACATTTCTTTAGACAGAACAGTTTTGAAACACTCTTTTTGTGGAATCTGCAAGTGGATATTGGGCTAGATTTGAGGATTTCGTTGGAAACGGGATTACATATAAATAGCAGTCAGCAGCATTCTCAGAAAGTTCTTTGTGATGATTGTATTCTAGTCACAGAATTGAACATTCCCTTTCATAGAGCAGGTTTGAAACACTCTTTTTGTAGTGTGTGTAAGTGGACATTTGGAGCGCTTTCCGGCCTAAGGTGAAAAAGGACATATATTCCCATAAAAACTAGACAGAAGCATTCTCAGAAACTTACTCGTGATGTGTGTCCTCAACTAAAGGAGTAGAACCTTTCTATTCATAGAGAAGTTTTGAAACGCTCTTTTTGTGAAATCTCCAAGTGGATATTTGGCTAGTTTTGAGGATTTCGTTGGAAGCGGGAATTCATACAAATTGCAGACTGCAGCGTTCTGAGAAACATCTTTGTGATGTTTGTATTCAAGACACAGAGATGAACATTCCCTATCATAGAGCATGTTGGAATCACTCCTTTTGTAGTATCTGGAAGTGGACATTTGGAGCTTTTTCAGGCCTATGTTGAAAAAGGAAATATCTTCCCATAACAACTAGACACAAGCATTCTCAGAAACTTTTTTATGCTGTATCTACTCAACTAACAAAGTTGAACCTTTCTTTTGATAGAGCAGTTTTGAAATGCTCTTTTTGTGGAATCTGCAAGTGGATATTTGGCTAGTTTTGAGGATTTCGTTGGAAGCGGGAATTCATACAAATTGCAGACTGCAGCGTTCTGAGAAACATCTTTGTGATGTTTGTATTCAGGACAGAGAGTTGAACATTCCCTATCATAGAGCAGGTTGGAATCACTCCTTTTGTAGTATCTGGAAGTGGACATTTGGAGCGCTTTCTGGCCTATGTTGAAAAAGGAAATATCTTCCCATAACAACTAGACACAAGCATTCTCAGAAACTTGTTTGTGATGTGTGCCCTCTACTGACAGAGTTGAACCTTTCTTTTCATAGAGCAGTTTTGAAACACTCTTTTTGTAGAATCTGCAAGAGGATATTTGCATAGCTTTGAGGATTTCGTGGGAAACGGGATTGTCTTCAGGTAAAATCTAGACAGAAGCATTCTCAGAAACTTCTTTGGGATGTTTGCATTCAAGTCACAGAGTAGAACATTCCCTTTGGTAGAGCAGGTTTGAAACACTCTTTTTATAGTATCTGGAAGTGGACATTTGGAGCGCTTTCAGGCCTATGTTGGAAAGGGAAATATACTTCCCGTAACAACTAGGCAGAAGCATTCTCAGAAACTTATTTGAGATGTGTGTACTCAACTAAGAGAATTGAACCACCGTTTTGAAGGAGCAGTTTTGAAACACTCTTTTTCTGGAATCTGCAAGAGTATATTTGCCTAGCCTTGAGGATTTCGTTGGAAACGGGATTGTCTTCAGATAAAATCTAGACAGAAGCATTCTCAGAAACTTCTTTGGGATGTTTGCATTCAAGTCACAGAGTAGAACATTCCCTTTGGTAGAGCAGGTTTGAAACACTCTTTTTTTAGTATATGGAAGTGGACATTTGGAGCGCTTTCAGGCCTACGTTGGAAAAGGAAATATCTTCCCATAACAACTAGACAGAAGCATTCTCAGAAACTAGTTTCTGATGTGTGTCCTCAACTAACACAGTTGTACATTTCTTTAGACAGAACAGTTTTGAAACACTCTTTTTGTGGAATCTGCAAGTGGATATTGGGCTAGATTTGAGGATTTCGTTGGAAACGGGATTACATATAAAAAGCAGTCAGCAGCATTCTCAGAAAGTTCTTTGTGATGATTGCATTCAAGTCACAGAATTGAACATTCCCTTTCACAGAGCAGGTTTGAAACACTCTTTTTGTAGTGTGTGTAAGTGGACATTTGGAGCGCTTTCCGGCCTAAGGTGAAAAAGGACATATCTTCCCATAAAAACTAGAGAGAAGCATTCTCAGAAACTTCCTCGTGATGTGTGCCCTCAACTAAAGGAATAGAACCTTTCTATTCATAGAGAAGTTTTGAAACGCTCTTTTTGTGGACTCTCCAAGTGGATATTTGGCTAGTTTTGAGGATTTCGTTGGAAGCGGGAATTCATCCAAATTGCAGACTGCAGCATTCTCAGAAACTTATTTGAGATGTGTGTACTCAACTAAGAGAATTGAACCACCGTTTTGAAGGAGCAGTTTTGAAACACTCTTTTTCTGGAATCTGTAAGTGGATATTTGGCTAGCTTTGGGGATTTCGCTGGAAGCGGGAATACATATAAAAAGCACACAGCAGCGTTCTGAGAAACTGCTTTCTGATGTTTGCATTCAAGTCAAAAGTTGAACACTCCCTTTCATAGAGCAGTCCTGAAACACCCCTTTTGTAGTATCTGGAACTGGACTTTTGGAGCGATTTCAGGGCTAAGGTGAAAAAGGAAATATCTTCCCATAAAAACTGGACAGAAGCATTCTCAGAAACTTGGTTATGCTGTATCTACTCAACTAACAAAGTTGAACCTTTCTTTTGATAGAGCAGTTTTGAAATGGTCTTTTTGTGGAATCTGCAAGTGGATATTTGGCTAGTTTTGAGGATTTCGTTGGAAGCGGGAATTCATACAAATTGCAGACTGCAGCGTTCTGAGAAACATCTTTGTGATGTTTGTATTCAGGACACAGAGTTGAACATTCCCTATCATAGAGCAGGTTGGAATCACTCCTTTTGTAGTATCTGGAAGTGGACATTTGGAGCGCTTTCAGGCCTATGTTGGAAAAGGAAATATCTTCCCATAACAACTAGACAGAAGCATTCTCAGAAACTTATTTGAGATGTGTGTACTCAACTAAGAGAATTGAACCACCGTTTTGAAGGAGCAGTTTTGAAACACTCTTTTTCTGGAATCTGCAAGTGGATATTTGGCTAGCTTTGGGGATTTCGCTGGAAGCGGGAATACATATAAAAAGCACACAGCAGCGTTCTGAGAAACTACTTTCTGATGTTTGCATTCAAGTCAAAAGTTGAACACTCCCTTTCATAGAGCAGTCTTGAAACACCCCTTTTGTAGTATCTGGAACTGGAAATTTGGAGCGCTTTCAGGGCTAAGGTGAAAAAGGAAATATCTTCCCATAAAAACTGGACAGAAGCATTCTCAGAAACTTGTTTATGCTGTATCTACTCAACTAACAAAGTTGAACCTTTCTTTTGATAGAGCAGTTTTGAAATGCTCTTTTTGTGGAATCTGCAAGTGGATATTTGGCTAGTTTTGAGGATTTCGTTGGAAGCGGGAATTCATACAAATTGCAGACTGCAGCGTTCTGAGAAACATCTTTGTGATGTTTGTATTCAGGACAGAGTGTTGAACATTCCCTATCATAGAGCAGGTTGGAATCACTCCTTTTGTAGTATCTGGAAGTGGACATTTGGAGCGCTTTCAGGCCTATGTTGAAAAAGGAAATATCTTCCCATAACAACTAGACACAAGCATTCTCAGAAACTTGTTTGTGATGTGTGCCCTCTACTGACAGAGTTGAACCTTTCTTTTCATAGAGCAGTTTTGAAACACTCTTTTTGTAGAATCTGCAAGAGGATATTTGCATAGCTTTGAGGATTACGTGGGAAACGGGATTGTCTTCAGGTAAAATCTAGACAGAAGCATTCTCAGAAACTTCTTTGGGATGTTTGCATTCAAGTCACAGAGTAGAACATTCCCTTTGGTAGAGTAGGTTTGAAACACTCTTTTTGTAGTATTTGGAAGTGGACATTTGGAGCGCTTTCAGGCCTATGTTGGAAAGGGAAATATCTTCCCGTAACAACTAGGCAGAAGCATTCTCAGAAACTTATTTGAGATGTGTGTACTCAACTAAGAGAATTGAATCACCGTTTTGAAGGAGCAGTTTTGAAACACTCTTTTTCTGGAATCTGCAAGAGGATATTTGCCTAGCCTTGAGGATTTCGTTGGAAACGGGATTGTCTTCAGATCAAATCTAGACAGAAGCATTCTCAGAAACTTCTTTGGGATGTTTCTATTCAAGTCACAGAGTAGAACATTCTCTTTGGTAGAGCAGGTTTGAAACACTCTTTTTTTAGTATATGGAAGTGGACATTTGGAGCGCTTTCAGGCCTATGTTGGAAAAGGAAATATCTTCCCATAACAACTAGACAGAGGCATTCTCAGAAACTAGTTTCTGATGTGTGTCCTCAACTAACACAGTTGAACATTTCTTTAGACAGAACAGTTTTGAAACACTCTTTTTGTGGAATATGCAAGTGGCTATTTGGCTAGATTTGAGGATTTCGTTGGAAACGGGATTACATATAAAAAGCAGTCAGCAGCATTCTCAGAAAGTTCTTTGTGATGATTGCATTCAAGTCACAGAATTGAACATTCCCTTTCACAGAGCAGGTTTGAAACACTCTTTTTGTAGTGTGTGTAAGTGGACATTTGGAGCACTTTCCGGCCTAAGGTGAAAAAGGAAATATCTTCCCATAAAAACTAGACAGAAGCACTCTCAGAAACTTACTCGTGATGTGTGTCCTCAACTAAAGGAGTAGAACCTTTCTTTTCATAGAGAAGTTTTGAAACGCTCTTTTTGTGGAATCTGCAAGTGGATATTTGGCTAGTTTGGAGGATTTCGTTGGAAGCGGGAATTCATACAAATTGCAGACTGCAGCGTTCTGAGAAACATCTTTGTGATGTTTGTATTCAGGACACAGAGATGAACATTCCCTATCATAGAGCAGGTTGGAATCACTCCTTTTGTAGTATCTGGAAGTGGACATTTGGAGCGCTTTCAGGCCCTATGTTGAAAAAGGAAATATCTTCCCATAACAACTAGACACAAGCATTCTCAGAAACTTGTTTGTGATGTGTGCCCTCTACTGACAGAGTTGAACCTTTCTTTTCATAGAGCAGTTTTGAAACACTCTTTTTGTAGAATCTGCAAGAGGATATTTGCATAGCTTTGAGGATTTCGTGGGAAACGGGATTGTCTTCAGGTAAAATCTAGACAGAAGCACTCTCAGAAACTTCTTTGGGATGTTTGCATTCAAGTCACAGAGTAGAACATTCCCTTTGGTAGAGTAGGTTTGAAACACTCTTTTTGTAGTATCTGGAAGTGGACATTTGGAGCGCTTTCAGGCCCATGTTGGAAAGGGAAATATCTTCCCGTAACAACTAGGCAGAAGCATTCTCAGAAACTTATTTGAGATGTGTGGACTCAACGAAGAGAATTGAACCACCGTTTTGAAGGAGCAGTTTTGAAACACTCTTTTTCTGGAATCTGCAAGAGTATATTTGCCTAGCCTTGAGGATTTCGTTGGAAACGGGATTGTCTTCAGATAAAATCTAGACAGAAGCATTCTCAGAAACTTCTTTGGGATGTTTGCATTCAAGTCACAGAGTAGAACATTCCCTTTGGTAGAGCAGGTTTGAAACACTCTTTTTTTAGTATATGGAAGTGGACATTTGGAGCGCTTTCAGGCCTACGTTGGAAAAGGAAATATCTTCCCATAACAACTAGACAGAAGCATTCTCAGAAACTAGTTTCTGATGTGTGTCCTCAACTGACACAGTTGTACATTTCTTTAGACAGAACAGTTTTGAAACACTCTTTTTGTGGAATCTGCAAGTGGATATTGGGCTAGATTTGAGGATTTCGTTGGAAACGGGATTACATATAAAAAGCAGTCAGCAGCATTCTCAGAAAGTTCTTTGTGATGATTGCATTCAAATCACAGAATTGAACATTCCCTTTCACAGAGGAGGTTTGAAACACTCTTTTTGTAGTGTGTGCAAGTGGACATTTGGAGCGCTTTCCGGCCTAAGGTGAAAAAGGAAATATCTTCCCATAAAAACTAGACAGAAGCATTCTCAGAAACTTACTCGTGATGTGTGTCCTCAACTAAAGGAGTAGAACCTTTCTATTCATAGAGAAGTTTTGAAACGCTCTTTTTGTGGAATCTCCAAGTGGATATTTGGCTAGTTTTGAGGATTTCGTTGGAAGCGGGAATTCATACAAATTGCAGACTGCAGCGTTCTGAGAAACATCTTTGTGATGTTTGTATTCAGGACACAGAGATGAACATTCCCTATCATAGAGCAGGTTGGAATCACTCCTTTTGTAGTATCTGGAAGTGGACATTTGGAGCGCTTTGAGGCCTATGTTGAAAAAGGAAATATCTTCCCATAACAACTAGACACAAGCATTCTCAGAAACTTGTTTGTGATGTGTGCCCTCTACTGACAGAGTTGAACCTTTCTTTTCATAGAGCAGTTTTGAAACACTCTTTTTGTAGAATCCGCAAGAGGATATTTGCATAGCTTTGAGGATTTCGTGGGAAACGGGATTGTCTTCAGGTAAAATCTAGAAAGAAGCATTCTCAGAAACTTCTTTGGGATGTTTGCATTCAAGTCACAGAGTAGAACATTCCCTTTGGTAGAGCAGGTTTGAAACACTCTTTTTGTAGTATCTGGAAGTGGACATTTGGAGCGCTTTCAGGCCCATGTTGGAAAGGGAAATATCTTCCCGTAACAACTAGGCAGAAGCATTCTCAGAAACTTTTTTGAGATGTGTGTACTCAACTAAGAGAATTGAACCACCGTTTTGAAGGAGCAGTTTTGAAACCCTCTTTTTCTGGAATCTGCAAGAGTATATTTGCCTAGCCTTGAGGATTTCGTTGGAAACGGGATTGTCTTCAGATAAAATCTAGACAGAAGCATTCTCAGAAACTTCTTTGGGATGTTTGCATTCAAGTCACAGAGTAGAATATTCCCTTTGGTAGAGCAGGTTTGAAACACTCTTTTTTTAGTATATGGAAGTGGACATTTGGAGCGCTTTCAGGCCTACGTTGGAAAAGGAAATATCTTCCCATAACAACTAGACAGAAGCATTCTCAGAAACTAGTTTCTGATGTGTGTCCTCAACTAACACAGTTGTACATTTCTTTAGACAGAACAGTTTTGAAACACTCTTTTTGTGGAATCTGCAAGTGGATATTGGGCTAGATTTGAGGATTTCGTTGGAAACGGGATTACATATAAAAAGCAGACAGCAGAATTCTCAGAAAGTTCTTTGTGATGATTGCATTCAAGTCACAGAATTGAACATTCCCTTTCACAGAGCTGGTTTGAAACACTCTTTTTGTAGTGTGTGTAAGTGGACATTTGGAGCGCTTTCCGGCCTAAGGTGAAAAAGGAAATATCTTCCCATAAAAACTAGACAGAAGCATTCTCAGAAACTTACTCGTGATGTGTGTCCTCAACTAAAGGAGTAGAACCTTTCTATTCATAGAGAAGTTTTGAAACGCTCTTTTTGTGGAATCTCCAAGTGGATATTTGGCTAGTTTTGAGGATTTCGTTGGAAGCGGGAATTCATACAAATTGCAGACTGCAGCGTTCTGAGAAACATCTTTGTGATGTTTGTATTCAGGACACAGAGATGAACATTCCCTATCATAGAGCAGGTTGGAATCACTCCTTTTGTAGTATCTGGGACATTTGGAGCGCTTTCAGGCCTATGTTGAAAAAGGAAATATCTTCCCATAACAACTAGACACAAGCATTCTCAGAAACTTGTTTGTGATGTGTGCCCTCTACTGAAAGAGTTGAACCTTTCTTTTCGTAGAGCAGTTTTGAAACACTCTTTTTGTAGAATCTGCAAGAGGATATTTGCATAGCTTTGAGGATTTCGTGGGAAACGGGATTGTCTTCAGGTAAAATCTAGACAGAAGCATTCTCAGAAACTTCTTTGGGATGTTTGCATTCAAGTCACAGAGTAGAACATTCCCTTTGGTAGAGCAGGTTTGAAACACTCTTTTTGTAGTATCTGGAAGTGGACATTTGGAGCGCTTTCAGGCCTATGTTGGAAAGGGAAATATCTTCCCGTAACAACTAGGCAGAAGCATTCTCAGAAACTTATTTGAGATGTGTGTACTCAACTAAGAGAATTGAACCACCGTTTTGAAGGAGCAGTTTTGAAACACTCTTTTTTTGGAATCTGCAAGAGTATATTTGCCTAGCCTTGAGGATTTCGTTGGAAACGGGATTGTATTCCGATAAAATCTAGACAGAAGCATTCTCAGAAACTTCTTTGGGATGTTTGCATTCAAGTCACAGAGTAGAACATTCCCTTTGGTAGAGCAGGTTTGAAACACTCTTTTTTTAGTATATGGAAGTGGACATTTGGAGCGCTTTCAGGCCTACGTTGGAAAAGGAAATATCTTCCCATAACAACTAGACAGAAAGCATTCTCAGAAACTAGTTTCTGATGTGTGTCCTCAACTAACACAGTTGTACATTTCTTTAGACAGAACAGTTTTGAAACACTCTTTTTGTGGAATCTGCAAGTGGATATTGGGGTAGATTTGAGGATTTCGTTGGAAACGGGATTACATATAAAAAGCAGTCAGCAGCATTCTCAGAAAATTCTTTGTGATGATTGCATTCAAGTCACAGAATTGAACATTCCCTTTCATAGAGCAGGTTTGAAACACTCTTTTTGTAGTGTGTGTAAGTGGACATTTGGAGCGCTTTCCGGCCTAAGGTGAAAAAGGACATATCTTCCCATAAAAATTAGACAGAAGCATTCTCAGAAACTTACTCGTGATGTGTGTCCTCAACTAAAGGAGTAGAACCTTTCTATTCATAGAGAAGATTTGAAACGCTCTTTTTGTGGAATCTCCAAGTGGATATTTGGCTAGTTTTGAGGATTTCGTTGGAAGCGGGAATTCATACAAATTGCAGACTGCAGCATTCTCAGAAACCTTATTTGAGATGTGTGTACTCAACTAAGAGAATTGAACCACCGTTTTGAAGGAGCAGTTTTGAAACACTCTTTTTCTGGAATCTGCAAGTGGATATTTGGCTAGCTTTGGGGATTTCGCTGGAAGCGGGAATACATATAAAAAGCACACAGCAGCGTTCTGAGAAACTGCTTTCTGATGTTTGCATTCAAGTCAAAAGTTGAACACTCCCTTTCATAGAGCAGTCTTGAAACACCCCTTTTGTAGTATCTGGAACTGGACTTTTGGAGCGATTTCAGGGCTAAGGTGAAAAAGGAAATATCTTCCCATAAAAACTGGACAGAAGCATTCTCAGAAACTTGTTTATGCTGTATCTACTCAACTAACAAAGTTGAACCTTTCTTTTGATAGAGCAGTTTTGAAATGGTCTTTTTGTGGAATCTGCAAGTGGATATTTGGCTAGTTTTGAGGATTTCGTTGGAAGCGGGAATTCATACAAATTGCAGACTGCAGCGTTCTGAGAAACATCTTTGTGATGTTTGTATTCAGGACACAGAGTTGAACATTCCCTATCATAGAGCAGGTTGGAATCACTCCTTTTGTAGTATCTGGAAGTGGACATTTGGAGCGCTTTCAGGCCTATTTTGGAAAGGGAAATATCTTCCCGTAACAACTATGCAGAAGCATTCTCAGAAACTTGTTTGTGATGTGTGCCCTCTACTGACAGAGTTGAACCTTTCTTTTCATAGAGCAGTTTTGAAACACTCTTTTTGTAGAATCTGCAAGAGGATATTTGCATAGCTTTGAGGATTTCGTGGGAAACGGGATTGTCTTCAGGTAAAATCTAGACAGAAGCATTCTCAGAAACTTCTTTGGGATGTTTGCATTCAAGTCACAGAGTAGAACATTCCCTTTGGTAGAGCAGGTTTGAAACACTCTTTTTGTAGTATCTGGAAGTGGACATTTGGAGCGCTTTCAGGCCCATGTTGGAAAGGGAAATATCTTCCCGTAACAACTAGGCAGAAGCATTCTCAGAAACTTATTTGAGATGTGTGTACTCAACTAAGAGAATTGAACCACCGTTTTGAAGGAGCAGTTTTGAAACACTCTTTTTCTGGAATCTGCAAGAGTATATTTGCCTAGCCTTGAGGATTTCGTTGGAAACGGGATTGTCTTCAGAGAAAATCTAGACAGAAGCATTCTCAGAAACTTCTTTGGGATGTTTGCATTCAAGTCACAGAGTAGAACATTCCCTTTGGTAGAGCAGGTTTGAAACACTCTTTTTTTAGTATATGGAAGTGGACATTTGGAGCGCTTTCAGGCCTACGTTGGAAAAGGAAATATCTTCCCATAACAACTAGACAGAAGCATTCTCAGAAACTAGTTTCTGATGTGTGTCCTCAACTAACACAGTTGAACATTTCTTTAGACAGAACAGTTTTGAAACACTCTTTTTGTGGAATCTGCAAGTGGCTATTTGGCTGGATTTGAGGATTTCGTTGGAAACGGGATTACATATAAAAAGCAGTCAGCAGCATTCTCAGAAAGTTCTTTGTGATGATTGCATTCAAGTCACAGAATTGAACATTCCCTTTCACACAGCAGGTTTGAAACACTCTTTTTGTAGTGTGTGTAAGTGGACATTTGGATCGCTTTCCGGCCTAAGGTGAAAAAGGACATATCTTCCCATAAAAACTAGACAGAAGCATTCTCAGAAACTTACTCGTGATGTGTGTCCTCAACTAAAGGAGTAGAACCTTTCTTTTCATAGAGAAGTTTTGAGACGCTCTTTTTGTGGAATCTGCAAGTGGATATTTGGCTAGTTTTGAGGATTTCGTTGGAAGCGGGAATTCATACAAATTGCAGACTGCAGCATTCTCAGAAACTTTTTTATGCTGTATCTACTCAACTAACAAAGTTGAACCTTTCTTTTGATAGAGCAGTTTTGAAATGCTCTTTTTGTGGAATCTGCAAGTGGATATTTGGCTAGTTTTGAGGATTTCGTTGGAAGCGGGAATTCATACAAATTGCAGACTGCAGCGTTCTGAGAAACATCTTTGTGATGTTTGTATTCAGGACAGAGAGTTGAACATTCCCTATCATAGAGCAGGTTGGAATCACTCCTTTTGTAGTATCTGGAAGTGGACATTTGGAGCGCTTTCTGGCCTATGTTGAAAAAGGAAATATCTTCCCATAACAACTAGACACAAGCATTCTCAGAAACTTGTTTGTGATGTGTGCCCTCTACTGACAGAGTTGAACCTTTCTTTTCATAGAGCAGTTTTGAAACACTCTTTTTGTAGAATCTGCAAGAGGATATTTGCATAGCTTTGAGGATTTCGTGGGAAACGGGATTGTCTTCAGGTAAAATCTAGACAGAAGCATTCTCAGAAACTTCTTTGGGATGTTTGCATTCAAGTCACAGAGTAGAACATTCCCTTTGGTAGAGCAGGTTTGAAACACTCTTTTTGTAGTATCTGGAAGTGGACATTTGGAGCGCTTTCAGGCCTATGTTGGAAAGGGAAATATCTTCCCGTAACAACTAGGCAGAAGCATTCTCGGAAACTTATTTGAGATGTGTGTACTCAACTAAGAGAATTGAACCACCCTTTTGAAGGAGCAGTTTTGAAACACTCTTTTTCTGGAATCTGCAAGAGTATATTTGCCTAGCTTTGAGGATTTCCGTTGGAAACGGGATTGTCTTCAGATCAAATCTAGACAGAAGCATTCTCAGAAACTTCTTTGGGATGTTTGCATTCAAGTCACAGAGTAGAACATTCCCTTTGGTAGAGCAGGTGTGAAACACTCTTTTTTTAGTATATGGAAGTGGACATTTGGAGCGCTTTCAGGCCTACTTTGGAAAACGAAATATCTTCCCATAACAACTAGACAGAAGCATTCTCAGAAACTAGTTTCTGATGTGTGTCCTCAACTAACACAGTTGAACATTTCTTTAGACAGAACAGTTTTGAAACTCTCTTTTTGTGGAATCTGCAAGTGGCTATTTGGCTAGATTTGAGGATTTCGTTGGAAACGGGATTACATATAAAAAGCAGACAGCAGCATTCTCAGAAAGTTCTTTGTGATGATTGCATTCAAGTCACAGAATTGAACATTCCCTTTCACAGAGCAGGTTTGAAAGACTCTTTTTGTAGTGTGTGTAAGTGGACATTTGGAGCACTTACCGGCCTAAGGTGAAAAAGGAAATATCTTCCCATAAAAACTAGACAGAAGCATTCTCAGAAACTTACTCGTGATGTGTGTCCTCAACTAAAGGAGTAGAACCTTTCTTTTCATAGAGAAGTTTTGAAACGCTCTTTTTGTGGAATCTGCAAGTGGATATTTGGCTAGTTTGGAGGATTTCGTTGGAAGCGGGAATTCATACAAATTGCAGACTGCAGCGTTCTGAGAAACATCTTTGTGATGTTTGTATTCAGGACACAGAGTTGAACATTCCCTATCATAGAGCAGGTTTGAATCACTCCTTTTGTAGTATCTGGAAGTGGACATTTGGAGCGCTTTCAGGCCTATGTTGGAAAAGGAAATATCTTCCCATAACAACTAGACAGAAGCATTCTCAGAAACTTATTTGAGATGTGTGTACTCAACTAAGAGAATTGAACCACCGTTTTGAAGGAGCAGTTTTGAAACACTCTTTTTCTGGAATCTGCAAGTGGATATTTGGCTAGCTTTGGGGATTTCGCTGGAAGCGGGAATACATATAAAAAGCACACAGCAGCGTTCTGAGAAACTGCTTTCTGATGTTTGCATTCAAGTCAAAAGTTGAACACTCCCTTTCATAGAGCAGTCCTGAAACACTCCTTTTGTAGTATCTGGAACTGGACTTTTGGAGCGCTTTCAGGGCTAAGGTGAAAAAGGAAATATCTTCCCATAAAAACTGGACAGAAGCATTCTCAGAAACTTGTTTATGCTGTATCTACTCAACTAACAAATTTGAACCTTTCTTTTGATAGAGCAGTTTTGAAATGCTCTTTTCGTGGAATCTGCAAGTGGATATTTGGCTAGTTTTGAGGATTTCGTTGGAAGCGGGAATTCATACAAATTGCAGACTGCAGCGTTCTGAGAAACATCTTTGTGATGTTTGTATTCAGGACAGAGAGTTGAACATTCCCTATCATAGAGCAGGTTGGAATCACTCCTTTTGTAGTATCTGGAAGTGGACATTTGGAGCGCTTTCAGGCCTATGTTGAAAAAGGAAATATCTTCCCATAACAACTAGACACAAGCATTCTCAGAAAATTGTTTGTGATGTGTGCCCTCTACTGACAGAGTTGAACCTTTCTTTTCATAGAGCAGTTTTGAAACACTTTTTTTGTAGAATCTGCAAGAGGATATTTGCATAGCTTTGAGGATTTCGTGGGAAACGGGATTGTCTTCAGGTAAAATCTAGACAGAAGCATTCTCAGAAACTTCTTTGGGATGTTTGCATTCAAGTCACAGAGTAGAACATTCCCTTTGGTAGAGCAGGTTTGAAACACTCTTTTTGTAGTATCTGGAAGTGGACATTTGGAGCGCTTTCAGGCCTATGTTGGAAAGGGGAATATCTTCCCTTAACAACTAGGCAGAAGCATTCTCAGAAACTTATTTGAGATGTGTGTACTCAACTAAGAGAATTGAACCACCGTTTTGAAGGAGCAGTTTTGAAACACTCTTTTTCTGGAATCTGCAAGAGTATATTTGCCTAGCCTTGAGGATTTCGTTGGAAACGGGATTGTCTTCAGAGAAAATCTAGACAGAAGCATTCTCAGAAACTTCTTTGGGATGTTTGCATTCAAGTCACAGAGTAGAACATTCCCTTTGGTAGAGCAGGTTTGAAACACTCTTTTTTTAGTATATGGAAGTGGACATTTTGATCGCTTTCAGGCCTACGTTGGAAAAGGAAATATCTTCCCATAACAACTAGACAGAAGCATTCTCAGAAACTAGTTTCTGATGTGTGTCCTCAACTAACACAGTTGAACATTTCTTTAGACAGAACAGTTTTGAAACACTCTTTTTGTGGAATCTGCAAGTGGCTATTTGGCTAGATTTGAGGATTTCGTTGGAAACGGGATTACATATAAAAAGCAGTCAGCAGCATTCTCAGAAAGTTCTTTGTGATGATTGCATTCAAGTCACAGTAATTGAACATTCCCTTTCACAGAGCAGGTTTGAAACACTCTTTTTGTAGTGTGTGTAAGTGGACATTTGGAGCACTTACCGGCCTAAGGTGAAAAAGGAAATAATCTTCCCATAAAAACTAGACAGAAGCATTCTCAGAAACTTACTCGTGATGTGTGTCCTCAACTAAAGGAGTAGAACCTTTCTTTTCATAGAGAAGTTTTGAAACGCTCTTTTTGTGGAATCTGCAAGTGGATATTTGGCTAGTTTTGAGGATTTCGTTGGAAGCGGGAATTCATACAAATTGCAGACTGCAGCGTTCTGAGAAACATCTTTGTGATGTTTGTATTCAGGACACAGAGTTGAACATTCCCTATCATAGAGCAGGTTTGAATCACTCCTTTTGTAGTATCTGGAAGTGGACATTTGGAGCGCTTTCAGGCCTATGTTGGAAAAGGAAATATCTTCCCATAACAACTAGACAGAAGCATTCTCAGAAACTTATTTGAGATGTGTGTACTCAACTAAGAGAATTGAACCACCGTTTTGAAGGAGCAGTTTTGAAACTCTCTTTTTCTGGAATCTGCAAGTGGATATTTGGCTAGCTTTGGGGATTTCGCTGGAAGCGGGAATACATATAAAAAGCACACAGCAGCGTTCTGAGAAACTGCTTTCTGATGTTTGCATTCAAGTCAAAAGTTGAACACTCCCTTTCATAGAGCAGTCTTGAAACACCCCTTTTGTAGTATCTGGAACTGGACTTTTGGAGCGATTTCAGGGCTAAGGTGAAAAAGGAAATATCTTCCCATAAAAACTGGACAGAAGCATTCTCAGAAACTTGTTTATGCTGTATCTACTCAACTAACAAAGTTGAACCTTTCTTTTGATAGAGCAGTTTTGAAATGGTCTTTTTGTGGAATCTGCAAGTGGATATTTGGCTAGTTTTGAGGATTTCGTTGGAAGCGGGAATTCATACAAATTGCAGACTGCAGCGTTCTGAGAAACATCTTTGTGATGTTTGTATTCAGGACACAGAGTTGAACATTCCCTATCATAGAGCAGGTTGGAATCACTCCTTTTGTAGTATCTGGAAGTGGACATTTGGAGCGCTTTCAGGCCTATTTTGGAAAGGGAAATATCTTCCCGTAACAACTATGCAGAAGCATTCTCAGAAACTTGTTTGTGATGTGTGCCCTCTACTGACAGAGTTGAACCTTTCTTTTCATAGAGCACTTTTGAAACACTCTTTTTGTAGAATCTGCAAGAGGATATTTGCATAGCTTTGAGGATTTCGTGGGAAACGGGATTGTCTTCAGGTAAAATCTAGACAGAAGCATTCTCAGAAACTTCTTTGGGATGTTTGCATTCAAGTCACAGAGTAGAACATTCCCTTTGGTAGAGCAGGTTTGAAACACTCTTTTTGTAGTATCTGGAAGTGGACATTTGGAGCGCTTTCAGGCCCATGTTGGAAAGGGAAATATCTTCCCGTAACAACTAGGCAGAAGCATTCTCAGAAACTTATTTGAGATGTGTGTACTCAAGTAAGAGAATTGAACCACCGTTTTGAAGGAGCAGTTTTGAAACACTCTTTTTCTGGAATCTGCAAGAGGATATTTGCCTAGCCTTGATGATTTCGTTGGAAACGGGATTGTCTTCAGATCAAATCTAGACAGAAGCATTCTCAGAAACTTCTTTGGGATGTTTGCATTCAAGTCACAGAGTAGAACATTCCCTTTGGTAGAGCAGGTTTGAAACACTCTTTTTTTAGTATATGGAAGTGGACATTTGGAGCGCTTTCAGGCCTACGTTGGAAAAGGAAATATCTTCCCATAACAACTAGACAGAAGCATTCTCAGAAACTAGTTTCTGATGTGTGTCCTCAACTAACACAGTTGAACTTTTCTTTAGACAGAACAGTTTTGAAACACTCTTTTTGTGGAATCTGCAAGTGGATATTTGGCTAGATTTGAGGATTTCGTTGGAAACGGGATTACATATAAAAAGCAGACAGCAGCATTCTCAGAAAGTTCTTTGTGATGATTGCATTCAAGTCACAGAATTGAACATTCCCTTTCACAGAGCAGGTTTGAAAGACTCTTTTTGTAGTGTGTGTAAGTGGACATTTGGAGCACTTACCGGCCTAAGGTGAAAAAGGAAATATCTTCCCATAAAAACTAGACAGAAGCATTCTCAGAAACTTACTCGTGATGTGTGTCCTCAACTAAAGGAGTAGAACCTTTCTTTTCATAGAGAAGTTTTGAAACGCTCTTTTTGTGGAATCTGCAAGTGGATATTTGGCTAGTTTTGAGGATTTCGTTGGAAGCGGGAATTCATACAAATTGCAGACTGCAGCGTTCTGAGAAACATCTTTGTGATGTTTGTATTCAGGACACAGAGTTGAACATTCCTTATCATAGAGCAGGTTTGAATCACTCCTTTTGTAGTATCTGGAAGTGGACATTTGGAGCGCTTTCAGGCCTATGTTGGAAAAGGAAATATCTTCCCATAACAACTAGACAGAAGCATTCTCAGAAACTTATTTGAGATGTGTGTACTCAACTAAGAGAATTGAACCACCGTTTTGAAGGAGCAGTTTTGAAACACTCTTTTTCTGGAATCTGCAAGTGGATATTTGGTTAGCTTTGGGGATTTCGCTGGAAGCGGGAATACATATAAAAAGCACACAGCAGCGTTCTGAGAAACGGCTTTCTGATGTTTGCATTCAAGTCAAAAGTTGAACACTCCCTTTCATAGAGCAGTCCTGAAACACTCCTTTTGTAGTATCTGGAACTGGACTTTTGGAGCGCTTTCAGGGCTAAGGTGAAAAAGGAAATATCTTCCCATAAAAACTAGACAGAAGCATTCTCAGAAACTTGTTTATGCTGTATCTACTCAACTAACAAAGTTGAACCTTTCTTTTGATAGAGCAGTTTTGAAATGCTCTTTTTGTGGAATCTGCAAGTGGATATTTGGCTAGTTTTGAGGATTTCGTTGGAAGCGGGAATTCATACAAATTGCAGACTGCAGCGTTCTGAGAAACGTCTTTGTGATGTTTGTATTCAGGACACAGAGTTGAACATTCCCTATCATAGAGCAGGTTGGAATCACTCCTTTTGTAGTATCTGGAAGTGGACATTTGGAGCGCTTTCAGGCCTATGTTGAAAAAGGAAATATCTTCCCATAACAACTAGACAGAAGCATTCTCAGAAACTTGTTTGTGATGTGTGCTCTCTACTGACACAGTTGAACCTTTCTTTTCATAGAGCAGTTTCGAAACACTCTTTTTGTAGAATCTGCAAGAGGATATTTGCATAGCTTTGAGGATTTCGTGGGAAACGGGATTGTCTTCAGGTAAAATCTAGACAGAAGCATTCTCAGAAACTTCTTTGGGATGTTTGCATTCAAGTCACAGAGTAGAACATTCCCTTTGGTAGAGCAGGTTTGAAACACTCTTTTTGTAGTGTGTGTAAGTGGACATTTGGAGCGCTTTCAGGCCTACGTTGGAAAAGGAAATATCTTCCCATAACAACTAGACAGAAGCATTCTCACAAACTAGTTTCTGATGTGTGTCCTCAACTAACACAGTTGAACTTTTCTTTAGACAGAACAGTTTTGAAACACTCTTTTGTGGAATCTGCAAGTGGATATTTGGCTAGATTTGAGGATTTCGTTGGAAAAGGGATTACATATAAAAAGCAGACAGCAGCATTCTCAGAAAGTTCTTTGTGATGATTGCATTCAAGTCACAGAATTGAACATTCCCTTTCACAGAGCAGGTTTGAAACACTCTTTTTGTAGTGTGTGTAAGTGGACATTTGGAGCGCTTTCCGGCCTAAGGTGAAAAAGGAAATATCTTCCCATAAAAACTAGACAGAAGCATTCTCAGAAACTTACTCGTGATGTGTGTCCTCAACTAAAGGAGTAGAACCTTTGTATTCATAGAGAAGTTTTGAAACGCTCTTTTTGTGGAATCTCCAAGTGGATATTTGGCTAGTTTTGAGGATTTCGTTGGAAGCGGGAATTCATACAAATTGCAGACTGCAGCGTTCTGAGAAACATCTTTGTGATGTTTGTATTCAGGACACAGAGATGAACATTCCCTATCATAGAGCAGGTTGGAATCACTCCTTTTGTAGTATCTGGAAGTGGACATTTGGAGCGCTTTCAGGCCTATGTTGAAAAAGGAAATATCTTCCCATAACAACTAGACACAAGCATTCCCAGAAACTTATTTGAGATGTGTGTACTCAACTAAGAGAATTGAACCACCGTTTTGAAGGAGCAGTTTGGAAACTCTCTTTTTCTGGAATCTGCAAGTGGATATTTGGCTAGCTTTGGGGATTTCGCTGGAAGCGGGAATACATATAAAAAGCACACAGCAGCGTTCTGAGAAACTGCTTTCTGATGTTTGCATTCAAGTCAAAAGTTGAACACTCCCTTTCATAGAGCAGTCTTGAAACACCCCTTTTGTAGTATCTGGAACTGGAAATTTGGAGCGCTTTCAGGGCTAAGGTGAAAAAGGAAATATCTTCCCATAAAAACTGGACAGAAGCATTCTCAGAAACTTGTTTATGCTGTATCTGCTCAACTAACAAAGTTGAACCTTTCTTTTGATAGAGCAGTTTTGAAATGCTCTTTTTGTGGAATCTGCAAGTGGATATTTGGCTAGTTTTGAGGATTTCGTTGGAAGCGGGAATTCATACAAATTGCAGACTGCAGCGTTCTGAGAAACATCTTTGTGATGTTTGTATTCAGGACAGAGAGTTGAACATTCCCTATCATAGAGCAGGTTGGAATCACTCCTTTTGTAGTATCTGGAAGTGGACATTTGGAGCGCTTTCAGGCCTATGTTGAAAAAGGAAATATCTTCCCATAACAACTAGACACAAGCATTCTCAGAAACTTGTTTGTGATGTGTGCCCTCTACTGACAGAGTTGAACCTTTCTTTTCATAGAGCAGTTTGGAAACACTCTTTTTGTAGAATCTGCAAGAGGATATTTGCATAGCTTTGAGGATTTCGTGGGAAACGGGATTGTCTTCAGGTAAAATCTAGACAGAAGCATTCTCAGAAACTTCTTTGGGATGTTTGCATTCAAGTCACAGAGTAGAACATTCCCTTTGGTAGAGCAGGTTTGAAACACTCTTTTTGTAGTATCTGGAAGTGGACATTTGGAGCGCTTTCAGGCCTATGTTGGAAAGGGAAATATCTTCCCGTAACAACTAGGCAGAAGCATTCTCAAAAACTTATTTGAGATGTGTGTACTCAACTAAGAGAATTGAACCACCGTTTTGAAGGAGCAGTTTTGAAACACTCTTTTTCTGGAATCTGCAAGAGGATATTTGCCTAGCCTTGAGGATTTCGTTGGAAACGGGATTGTCTTCAGATCAAATCTAGACAGAAGCATTCTCAGAAACTTCTTTGGGATGTTTGCATTCAAGTCACAGAGTAGAACATTCCCTTTGGTAGAGCAGGTTTGAAACACTCTTTTTTTAGTATATGGAAGTGGACATTTGGAGCGCTTTCAGGCCTACGTTGGAAAAGGAAATATCTTCCCATAACAACTAGACAGAAAGCATTCTCAGAAACTAGTTTCTGATGTGTGTCCTCAACTAACACAGTTGAACATTTCTTTAGACAGAACAGTTTTGAAACACTCTTTTTGTGGAATCTGCAAGTGGCTATTTGGCTAGATTTGAGGATTTCGTTGGAAACGGGATTACATATAAAAAGCAGTCAGCAGCATTCTCAGAAAGTTCTTTGTGATGATTGCATTCAAGTCACAGAATTGAACATTCCCTTTCACAGAGCAGGTTTGAAACACTCTTTTTGTAGTGTGTGTAAGTGGACATTTGGAGCACTTACCGGCCTAAGGTGAAAAAGGAAATATCTTCCCATAAAAACTAGACAGAAGCATTCTCAGAAACTTACTCGTGATGTGTGTCCTCAACTAAAGGAGTAGAACCTTTCTTTTCATAGAGAAGTTTTGAAACGCTCTTTTTGTGGAATCTGCAAGTGGATATTTGGCTAGTTTTGAGGATTTCGTTGGAAGTGGGAATTCATACAAATTGCAGACTGCAGCGTTCTGAGAAACATCTTTGTGATGTTTGTATTCAGGACACAGAGTTGAACATTCCCTATCATAGAGCAGGTTTGAATCATTCCTTTTGTAGTATCTGGAAGTGGACATTTGGAGCGCTTTCAGGCCTATGTTGGAAAAGGAAATATCTTCCCATAACAACTAGACAGAAGCATTCTCAGAAACTTATTTGAGATGTGTGTACTCAACTAAGAGAATTGAACCACCGTTTTGAAGGAGCAGTTTTGAAACTCTCTTTTTCTGGAATCTGCAAGTGGATATTTGGCTAGCTTTGGGGATTTCGCTGGAAGCGGGAATACATATAAAAAGCACACAGCAGCGTTCTGAGAAACTGCTTTCTGATGTTTGCATTCAAGTCAAAAGTTGAACACTCCCTTTCATAGAGCAGTCTTGAAACACCCCTTTTGTAGTATCTGGAACTGGACTTTTGGAGCGATTTCAGGGCTAAGGTGAAAAAGGAAATATCTTCCCATAAAAACTGGACAGAAGCATTCTCAGAAACTTGGTTATGCTGTATCTACTCAACTAACAAAGTTGAACCTTTCTTTTGATAGAGCAGTTTTGAAATGGTCTTTTTGTGGAATCTGCAAGTGGATATTTGGCTAGTTTTGAGGATTTCGTTGGAAGCGGGAATTCATACAAATTGCAGACTGCAGCGTTCTGAGAAACATCTTTGTGATGTTTGTATTCAGGACACAGAGTTGAACATTCCCTATCATAGAGCAGGTTGGAATCACTCCTTTTGTAGTATCTGGAAGTGGACATTTGGAGCGCTTTCAGGCCTATTTTGGAAAGGGAAATATCTTCCCGTAACAACTATGCAGAAGCATTCTCAGAAACTTGTTTGTGATGTGTGCCCTCTACTGACAGAGTTGAACCTTTCTTTTCATAGAGCAGTTTTGAAACACTCTTTTTGTAGAATCTGCAAGAGGATATTTGCATAGCTTTGAGGATTTCGTGGGAAACGGGATTGTCTTCAGGTAAAATCTAGACAGAAGCATTCTCAGAAACTTCTTTGGGATGTTTGCATTCAAGTCACAGAGTAGAACATTCCCTTTGGTAGAGCAGGTTTGAAACACTCTTTTTGTAGTATCTGGAAGTGGACATTTGGAGCGCTTTCAGGCCCATGTTGGAAAGGGAAATATCTTCCCGTAACAACTAGGCAGAAGCATTCTCAGAAACTTATTTGAGATGTGTGTACTCAACTAAGAGAATTGAACCACCGTTTTGAAGGAGCAGTTTTGAAACACTCTTTTTCTGGAATCTGCAAGAGTATATTTGCCTAGCCTTGAGAATTTCGTTGGAAACGGGATTGTCTTCAGATCAAATCTAGACAGAAGCATTCTCAGAAACTTCTTTGGGATGTTTGCATTCAAGTCACAGAGTAGAACATTCCCTTTGGTAGAGCAGGTTTGAAACACTCTTTTTTTAGTATATGGAAGTGGACATTTGGAGCGCTTTCAGGCCTACGTTGGAAAAGGAAATATCTTCCCATAACAACTAGACAGAAGCATTCTCAGAAACTAGTTTCTGATGTGTGTCCTCAACTAACACAGTTGTACATTTCTTTACACAGAACAGTTTTGAAACACTCTTTTTGTGGAATCTGCAAGTGGATATTGGGCTAGATTTGAGGATTTCGTTGGAAACGGGATTACATATAAAAAGCAGTCAGCAGCATTCTCAGAAAGTTCTTTGTGATGATTGCATTCAAGTCACAGAATTGAACATTCCCTTTCACAGAGCAGGTTTGAAACACTCTTTTTGTAGTGTGTGTAAGTGGACATTTGGAGCACTTACCGGCCTAAGGTGAAAAAGGAAATATCTTCCCATAAAAACTAGACAGAAGCATTCTCAGAAACTTACTCGTGATGTGTGTCCTCAACTAAAGGAGTAGAACCTTTCTATTCATAGAGAAGGTTTGAAACGCTCTTTTTGTGGAATCTCCAAGTGGATATTTGGCTAGTTTTGAGGATTTCGTTGGATGCGGGAATTCATACAAATTGCAGACTGCAGCGTTCTGAGAAACATGTTTGTGATGTTTGTATTCAGGACACAGAGATGAACATTACCTATCATAGAGCAGGTTGGAATCACTCCTTTTGTAGTATCTGGAAGTGGACATTTGGAGCGCTTTCAGGCCTATGTTGAAAAAGGAAATATCTTCCCATAACAACTAGACACAAGCATTCTCAGAAACTTATTTGAGATGTGTGTACTCAACTAAGAGAATTGAACCACCGTTTTGAAGGAGCAGTTTTGAAACTCTCTTTTTCTGGAATCTGCAAGTGGATATTTGGCTAGCTTTGGGGATTTCGCTGGAAGCGGGAATACATATAAAAAGCACACAGCAGCTTTCTGAGAAACTGCTTTCTGATGTTTGCATTCAAGTCAAAAGTTGAACACTCCCTTTCATAGAGCAGTCTTGAAACACCCCTTTTGTAGTATCTGGACCTGGACTTTTGGAGCGATTTCAGGGCTAAGGTGAAAAAGGAAATATCTTCCCATAAAAACTGGACAGAAGCATTCTCAGAAACTTGGTTATGCTGTATCTACTCAACTAACAAAGTTGAACCTTTCTTTTGATAGAGCAGTTTTGAAATGGTCTTTTTGTGGAATCTGCAAGTGGATATTTGGCTAGTTTTGAGGATTTCGTTGGAAGCGGGAATTCATACAAATTGCAGACTGCAGCGTTCTGAGAAACATCTTTGTGATGTTTGTATTCAGGACACAGAGTTGAACATTCCCTATCATAGAGCAGGTTGGAATCACTCCTTTTGTAGTATCTGGAAGTGGACATTTGGAGCGCTTTCAGGCCTATTTTGGAAAGGGAAATATCTTCCCGTAACAACTATGCAGAAGCATTCTCAGAAACTTGTTTGTGATGTGTGCCCTCTACTGACAGAGTTGAACCTTTCTTTTCATAGAGCAGTTTTGAAACACTCTTTTTGTAGAATCTGCAAGAGGATATTTGCATAGCTTTGAGGATTTCGTGGGAAACGGGATTGTCTTCAGGTAAAATCTAGACAGAAGCATTCTCAGAAACTTCTTTGGGATGTTTGCATTCAAGTCACAGAGTAGAACATTCCCTTTGGTAGAGCAGGTTTGAAACACTCTTTTTGTAGTATCTGGAAGTGGACATTTGGAGCGCTTTCAGGCCCATGTTGGAAAGGGAAATATCTTCCCGTAACAACTAGGCAGAAGCATTCTCAGAAACTTATTTGAGATGTGTGTACTCAACTAAGAGAATTGAACCACCGTTTTGAAGGAGCAGTTTTGAAACACTCTTTTTCTGGAATCTGCAAGAGTATATTTGCCTAGCCTTGAGGATTTCGTTGGAAACGGGATTGTCTTCAGAGAAAATCTAGACAGAAGCATTCTCAGAAACTTCTTTGGGATGCTTGCATTCAAGTCACAGAGTAGAACATTCCCTTTGGTAGAGCAGGTTTGAAACACTCTTTTTGTAGTATCTGGAAGTGGACATTTGGAGCGCTTTCAGGCCTACGTTGGAAAAGGAAATATCTTCCCATAACAACTAGACAGAAGCATTCTCAGAAACTAGTTTCTGATGTGTGTCCTCAACTAACACAGTTGAACATTTCTTTAGACAGAACAGTTTTGAAACACTCTTTTTGTGGAATCTGCAAGTGGCTATTTGGCTAGATTTGAGGATTTCGTTGGAAACGGGATTACATATAAAAAGCAGTCAGCGGCATTCTCAGAAAGTTCTTTGTGATGATTGCATTCAAGTCACAGAATTGAACATTCCCTTTCACAGAGCAGGTTTGAAACACTCTTTTTGTAGTGTGTGTAAGTGGACATTTGGAGCACTTACCGGCCTAAGGTGAAAAAGGAAATATCTTCCCATAAAAACTAGACAGAAGCATTCTCAGAAACTTACTCGTGATGTGTGTCCTCAACTAAAGGAGTAGAACCTTTCTTTTCATAGAGAAGTTTTGAAACGCTCTTTTTGTGGAATCTGCAAGTGGATATTTGGCTAGTTTTGAGGATTTCGTTGGAAGCGGGAATTCATACAAATTGCAGACTGCAGCGTTCTGAGAAACATCTTTGTGATGTTTGTATTCAGGACACAGAGTTGAACATTCCCTATCATAGAGCAGGTTTGAATCACTCCTTTTGTAGTATCTGGAAGTGGACATTTGGAGCGCTTTCAGGCCTATGTTGGAAAAGGAAATATCTTCCCATAACAACTAGACAGAAGCATTCTCAGAAACTTATTTGAGATGTGTGTACTCAACTAAGAGAATTGAACCACCGTTTTGAAGGAGCAGTTTTGAAACTCTCTTTTTCTGGAATCTGCAAGTGGATATTTGGCTAGCTTTGGGGATTTCGCTGGAAGCGGGAATACATATAAAAAGCACACAGCAGCGTTCTGAGAAACTGCTTTCTGATGTTTGCATTCAAGTCAAAAGTTGAACACTCCCTTTCATAGAGCAGTCTTGAAACACCCGTTTTGTAGTATCTGGAACTGGACTTTTGGAGCGATTTCAGGGCTAAGGTGAAAAAGGAAATATCTTCCCATAAAAACTGGACAGAAAGCATTCTCAGAAACTTATTTGAGATGTGTGTACTCAACTAAGAGAATTGAACCACCGTTTTGAAGGAGCAGTTTTGAAACTCTCTTTTTCTGAAATCTGCAAGTGGATATTTGGCTAGCTTTGGGGATTTCGCTGGAAGCGGGAATACATATAAAAAGCACACAGCAGCGTTCTGAGAAACTGCTTTCTGATGTTTGCATTCAAGTCAAAAGTTGAACACTCCCTTTCATAGAGCAGTCCTGAAACACTCCTTTTGTAGTATCTGGAACTGGACTTTTGGAGCGCTTTCAGGGCTAAGGTGAAAAAGGAAATATCTTCCCATAAAAACTGGACAGAAGCATTCTCAGAAACTTGTTTATGCTGTATCTACTCAACTAACAAAGTTGAACCTTTCTTTTGATAGAGCAGTTTTGAAATGCTCTTTTTGTGGAATCTGCAAGTGGATATTTGGCTAGTTTTGAGGATTTCGCTGGAAGCGGGAATTCATACAAATTGCAGACTGCAGCGTTCTGAGAAACATCTTTGTGATGTTTGTATTCAGGACAGAGAGTTGAACATTCCCTATCATAGAGCAGGTTGGAATCACTCCTTTTGTAGTATCTGGAAGTGGACATTTGGAGCGCTTTCAGGCCTATGTTGAAAAAGGAAATATCTTCCCATAACAACTAGACACAAGCATTCTCAGAAACTTGTTTGTGATGTGTGCCCTCTAGTGACAGAGTTGAACCTTTCTTTTCATAGAGCAGTTTTGAAACACTCTTTTTGTAGAATCTGCAAGAGGATATTTGAATAGCTTTGAGGATTTCGTGGGAAACGGGATTGTCTTCAGGTAAAATCTAGACAGAAGCATTCTCAGAAACTTCTTTGGGATGTTTGCATTCAAGTCACAGAGTAGAACATTCCCTTTGGTAGAGCAGGTTTGAAACACTCTTTTTGTAGTATCTGGAAGTGGACATTTGGAGCGCTTTCAGGCCCATGTTGGAAAGGGAAATATCTTCCCGTAACAACTAGGCAGAAGCATTCTCAGAAACTTATTTGAGATGTGTGTACTCAACTAAGAGAACTGAACCACCGTTTTGAAGGAGCAGTTTTGAAACCCTCTTTTTCTGGAATCTGCAAGAGTATATTTGCCTAGCCTTGAGGATTTCGTTGGAAACGGGATTGTCTTCAGATAAAATCTAGACAGAAGCATTCTCAGAAACTTCTTTGGGATGTTTGCATTCAAGTAACAGAGTAGAACATTCCCTTTGGTAGAGCAGGTTTGAAACACTCTTTTTTTACTATATGGAAGTGGACATTTGCAGCGCTTTCAGGCCTACGTTGCAAAAGGAAATATCTTCCCATAACAACGAGACAGAAGCATTCTCAGAAACTAGTTTCTGATGTGTGTCCTCAACTAACACAGTTGTACATTTCTTTATACAGAACAGTTTTGAAACACTCTTTTTGTGGAATCTGCAAGTGGATATTGGGGTAGATTTGAGGATTTCGTTGGAAACGGGATTACATATAAAAAGCAGACAGCAGCATTCTCAGAAAGTTCTTTGTGATGATCGCATTCAAGTCACAGAATTGAACATTCCCTTTCACAGAGCAGGTTTGAAACACTCTTTTTGTAGTGTGTGTAAGTGGACATTTGGAGCGCTTTCTGGCCTAAGGTGAAAAAGGAAATATCTTCCCATAAAAACTAGACAGAAGTATTCTCAGAAACTTACTCGTGATGTGTGTCCTCAACTAAAGGAGTAGAACCTTTCTTTTCATAGAGAAGTTTTGAAACGCTCTTTTTGTGGAATCTGCAAGTGGATATTTGGCTAGTTTTGAGGATTTCGTTGGAAGCGGGAATTCATACAAATTGCAGACTGCAGCGTTCTGAGAAACATCTTTGTGATGTTTGTATTCAGGACACAGAGTTGAACGTTCCCTATCATAGAGCAGGTTTGAATCACTCCTTTTGTAGTATCTGGAAGTGGACATTTGGAGCGCTTTCCGGCCTCAGGTGAAAAAGGAAATATCTTCCCATAAAAACTAGACAGAAGCATTCTCAGAAACTTACTCGTGATGTGTGTCCTCAACTAAAGGGGTAGAACCTTTCTTTTCATAGAGCAGTTTTGAAACACTCTTTTTGTAGAATCTGCAAGTGGATATTTCGATAGCTTTGTGGATTTCGTTGGAAACGGGAATATCTTCATATAAAATCTAGAGAGAAGCATTCTCAGAAACTTATTTGTGATGTGTGTCCTCAACTGACAGAGTTGAACATTTCTTTTGAGAGAGCAGTTTTGAAACACTCTTTTTGTGGAATCTGCAAGTGGATATTTGGCTGGCTTTGAGGATTTCGTTGGAAACGGGAATACATATAAAAAGCAGACAGCCAGCATTCTCAGAAAGTTCTTTGTGATGATTGCATTCAAGTCACAGTAATTGAACATTCCCTTTCACAGTAGCAGGTTTGAAACACTCTTTTTGTAGTGTGTGTAAGTGGACATTTGGAGCACTTTCCGGCCTAAGGTGAAAAAGGAAATATCTTCCCATAAAAACTAGACAGAGCATTCTCAGAAACTTACTCGTGATGTGTGTCCTCAACTAAAGGAGTAGAACCTTTCTTTTCATAGAGAAGTTTTGAAACGCTCTTTTTGTGGAATCTGCAAGTGGATATTTGGCTAGTTTTGAGGATTTCGTTGGAAGCGGGAATTCATACAAATTGCAGACTGCAGCGTTCTGAGAAACATCTTTGTGATGTTTGTATTCAGGACACAGAGTTGAACATTCCCTATCATAGAGCAGGTTTGAATCACTCCTTTTGTAGTATCTGGAAGTGGACATTTGGAGCGCTTTCAGGCCTATGTTGGAAAAGGAAATATCTTCCCATAAGAACTAGACAGAAGCATTCTCAGAAACTTATTTGAGATGTGTGTACTCAACTAAGAGAATTGAACCACCGTTTTGAAGGAGCAGTTTTGAAACACTCTTTTTCTGGAATCTGCAAGTGGATATTTGGCTAGCTTTGGGGATTTCGCTGGAAGCGGGAATACATATAAAAAGCACACAGCAGCGTTCTGAGAAACTGCTTTCTGATGTTTGCATTCAAGTCAAAAGTTGAACACTCCCTTTCATAGAGCAGTCCTGAAACACTCCTTTTGTAGTATCTGGAACTGGACTTTTGGAGCGCTTTCAGGGCTAAGGTGAAAAAGGAAATATCTTCCCATAAAAACTGGACAGAAGCATTCTCAGAAACTTGTTTATGCTGTATCTACTCAACTAACAAAGTTGAACCTTTCTTTTGATAGAGCAGTTTTGAAATGCTCTTTTTGTGGAATCTGCAAGTGGATATTTGGCTAGTTTTGAGGATTTCGTTGGAAGCGGGAATTCATACAAATTGCAGACTGCAGCGTTCTGAGAAACATCTTTGTGATGTTTGTATTCAGGACACAGAGTTGAACATTCCCTATCATAGAGCAGGTTGGAATCACTCCTTTTGTAGTATCTGGAAGTGGACATTTGGAGCGCTTTCAGGCCTATGTTGAAAAAGGAAATATCTTCCCATAACAAGTAGACACAAGCATTCTCAGAAACTTGTTTGTGATGTGTGCCCTCTACTGACAGAGTTGAACCTTTCTTTTCATAGAGCAGTTTTGAAACACTCTTTTTGTAGAATCTGCAAGAGGATATTTGCATAGCTTTGAGGATTTCGTGGGAAACGGGATTGTCTTCAGGTAAAATCTAGACAGAAGCATTCTCAGAAACTTCTTTGGGATGTTTGCATTCAAGTCACAGAGTAGAACATTCCCTTTGGTAGAGCAGGTTTGAAACACTCTTTTTGTAGTATCTGGAAGTGGACATTTGGAGCGCTTTCAGGCCTATGTTGGAAAGGGAAATATCTTCCCGTAACAACTAGGCAGAAGCATTCTCAGAAACTTATTTGAGATGTGTGTACTCAACTAAGAGAATTGAACCACCGTTTTGAAGGAGCAGTTTTGAAACACTCTTTTTCTGGAATCTGCAAGAGTATATTTGCCTAGCCTTGAGGATTTCGTTGGAAACGGGATTGTCTTCAGAGAAAATCTAGACAGAAGCATTCTCAGAAACTTCTTTGGGATGTTTGCATTCAAGTCACAGAGTAGAACATTCCCTTTGGTAGAGCAGGTTTGAAACACTCTTTTTTTAGTATATGGAAGTGGACATTTGGAGCGCTTTCAGGCCTACGTTGGAAAAGGAAATATCTTCCCATAACAACTAGACAGAAGCATTCTCAGAAACTAGTTTCTGATGTGTGTCCTCAACTAACACAGTTGAACTTTTCTTTAGACAGAACAGTTTTGAAACACTCTTTTTGTGGAATCTGCAAGTGGATATTTGGCTAGATTTGAGGATTTCGTTGGAAACGGGATTACATATAAAAAGCAGACAGCAGCATTCTCAGAAAGTTCTTTGTGATGATTGCATTCAAGTCACAGAATTGAACATTCCCTTTCACAGAGCAGGTTTGAAACCCTCTTTTTGTAGTGTGTGTAAGTGGACATTTGGAGCGCTTTCCGGCCTCAGGTGAAAAAGGAAATATCTTCCCATAAAAACTAGACAGAAGCATTCTCAGAAACTTACTCGTGATGTGTGTCCTCAACTAAAGGAGTAGAACATTTCTATTCATAGAGAAGTTTTGAAACGCTCTTTTTGTGGAATCTCCAAGTGGATATTTGGCTAGTTTTGAGGATTTCGTTGGAAGCGGGAATTCATACAAATTGCAGACTGCAGCGTTCTGAGAATCATCTTTGTGATGTTTGTATTCAGGACACAGAGATGAACATTCCCTATCATAGAGTAGGTTGGAATCACTCCTTTTGTAGTATCTGGAAGTGGACATTTGGAGCGCTTTCAGTCCTATGTTGAAAAAGGAAATATCTTCCCACAACAACTAGACACAAGCATTCTCAGAAACTTGTTTGTGATGTGTGCCCTCTACTGACAGAGTTGAACCTTTCTTTTCATAGAGCAGTTTTGAAACACTCTTTTTGTAGAATCTGCAAGAGGATATTTGCATAGCTTTGAGGTTTCCGTGGGAAACGGGATTGTCTTCAGGTAAAATCTAGACAGAAGCACTCTCAGAAACTTCTTTGGGATGTTTGCATTCAAGTCACAGAGTAGAACATTCCCTTTGGTAGAGCAGGTTTGAAACACTCTTTTTGTAGTATCTGGAAGTGGACATTTGGAGCGCTTTCAGGCCAATGTTGGAAAGGGAAATATCTTCCCGTAACAACTAGGCAGAAGCATTCTCGGAAACTTATTTGAGATGTGTGTACTCAACTAAGAGAATTGAACCACCCTTTTGAAGGAGCAGTTTTGAAACACTCTTTTTCTGGAATCTGCAAGAGTATATTTGCCTAGCTTTGAGGATTCCGTTGGAAACGGGATTGTCTTCAGATCAAATCTAGACAGAAGCATTCTCAGAAATTTCTTTGGGATGTTTGCATTCAAGTCACAGAGTAGAACATTCCCTTTGGTAGAGCAGGTTTGAAACACTCTTTTTTTCGTATATGGAAGTGGACATTTGGAGCGCTTTCAGGCCTACGTTGGAAAAGGAAATATCTTCCCATAACAACTAGACAGAAGCATTCTCAGAAACTAGTTTCTGATGTGTGTCCTCAACTAACACAGTTGAACATTTCTTTAGACAGAACAGTTTTGAAACACTCTTTTTGTGGAATCTGCAAGTGGCTATTTGGCTAGATTTGAGGATTTCGTTGGAAACGGGATTACATATAAAAAGCAGACAGCAGCATTCTCAGAAAGTTCTTTGTGATGATTGCATTCAAGTCACAGAATTGAACATTCCCTTTCACAGAGCAGGTTTGAAACACTCTTTTTGTAGTGTGTGTAAGTGGACATTTGGAGCACTTTCCGGCCTAAGGTGAAAAAGGAAATATCTTCCCATATAAACTAGACAGAAGCATTCTCAGAAACTTACTCGTGATGTGTGTCCTCAACTAAAGGAGTAGAACCTTTCTTTTCATAGAGAAGTTTTGAAACGCTCTTTTTGTGGAATCTGCAAGTGGATATTTGGCTAGTTTGGAGGATTTCGTTGGAAGCGGGAATTCATACAAATTGCAGACTGCAGCGTTCTGAGAAACTGCTTTCTGATGTTTGCATTCAAGTCAAAAGTTGAACACTCCCTTTCATAGAGCAGTCCTGAAACACCCCTTTTGTAGTATCTGGAACTGGACTTTTGGAGCGATTTCAGGGCTAAGGTGAAAAAGGAAATATCTTCCCAATAAAAACTGGACAGAAGCATTCTCAGAAACTTATTTGAGATGTGTGTACTCAACTAAGAGAATTGAACCACCGTTTTGAAGGAGCAGTTTTGAAACACTCTTTTTCTGGAATCTGCAAGTGGATATTTGGCTAGCTTTGGGGATTTCGCTGGAAGCCGGAATACATATAAAAAGCGTACAGCAGCGTTCTGAGAAACTGCTTTCTGATGTTTGCATTCAAGTCAAAAGTTGAACACTCCCTTTCATAGAGCAGTCCTGAAACACTCCTTTTGTAGTATCTGGAACTGGACTTTTGGAGCGCTTTCAGGGCTAAGGTGAAAAAGGAAATATCTTCCCATAAAAACTGGACAGAAGCATTCTCAGAAACTTGTTTATGCTGTATCTACTCAACTAACAAAGTTGAACCTTTCTTTTGATAGAGCAGTTTTGAAATGCTCTTTTTGTGGAATCTGCAAGTGGATATTTGGCTAGTTTTGAGGATTTCGCTGGAAGCGGGAATTCATACAAATTGCAGACTGCAGCGTTCTGAGAAACATCTTTGTGATGTTTGTATTCAAGACACAGAGATGAACATTCCCTATCATAGAGCAGGTTGGAATCACTCCTTTTGTAGTATCTGGAAGTGAACATTTGGAGCGCTTTCAGGCCTATGTTGAAAAAGGAAATATCTTCCCATAACAACTAGACACAAGCATTCTCAGAAACCTGTTTGTGATGTGTGCCCTCTACTGACAGAGTTGAACCTTTCTTTTCATAGAGCAGTTTTGAAACACTCTTTTTGTAGAATCTGCAAGAGGATATTTGCATAGCTTTGAGGATTTCGTGGGAAACGGGATTGTCTTCAGGTAAAATCTAGACAGAAGCATTCTGAGAAACTTCTTTGGGATGTTTGCATTCAAGTCACAGAGTAGAACATTCCCTTTGGTAGAGCAGGTTTGAAACCCTCTTTTTGTAGTATCTGGAAGTGGACATTTGGAGCGCTTTCAGGCCCATGTTGGAAAGGGAAATATCTTCCCGTAACAACTAGGCAGAAGCATTCTCAGAAACTTATTTGAGATGTGTGTACTCAACTAAGAGAATTTAACCAACGTTTTGAAGGAGCAGTTTTGAAACAATCTTTTTCTGGAATCTGCAAGAGTATATTTGCCTAGCCGTGAGAATTTCGTTGGAAACGGGATTGTCTTCAGATAAAATCTAGACAGAAGCATTCTCAGAAACTTCTTTGGGATGTTTGCATTCAAGTCACAGAGTAGAACATTCCCTTTGGTAGAGCAGGTTTGAAACACTCTTTTTTTAGTATATGGAAGTGGACATTTGGAGCGCTTTCAGGCCTACGTTGGAAAAGGAAATATCTTCCCATAACAACTAGACAGAAGCATTCTCAGAAACTAGTTTCTGATGTGTGTCCTCAACTAACACAGTTGAACATTTCTTTAGACAGAACAGTTTTGAAACACTCTTTTTGTGGAATCTGCAAGTGGCTATTTGGCTAGATTTGAGGATTTCGTTGGAAACGGGATTACATATAAAAAGCAGACAGCCAGCATTCTCAGAAAGTTCTTTGTGATGATTGCATTCAAGTCACAGTAATTGAACATTCCCTTTCACAGTAGCAGGTTTGAAACACTCTTTTTGTAGTGTGTGTAAGTGGACATTTGGAGCACTTTCCGGCCTAAGGTGAAAAAGGAAATATCTTCCCATAAAAACTAGACAGAGCATTCTCAGAAACTTACTCGTGATGTGTGTCCTCAACTAAAGGAGTAGAACTTTTCTTTTCATAGAGAAGTTTTGAAACGCTCTTTTTGTGGAATCTGCAAGTGGATATTTGGCTAGTTTTGAGGATTTCGTTGGAAGCGGGAATTCATAAAAGTTGCAGACTGCAGCGTTCTGAGAAACATCTTTGTGATGTTTGTATTCAGGACACAGAGTTGAACGTTCCCTATCATAGAGCAGGTTTGAATCACTCCTTTTGTAGTATCTGGAAGTGGACATTTGGAGCGCTTTCCGGCCTCAGGTGAAAAAGGAAATATCTTCCCATAAAAACTAGACAGAAGCATTCTCAGAAACTTATTTGAGATGTGTGTACTCAACTAAGAGAATTGAACCACCGTTTTGAAGGAGCAGTTTTGAAACACTCTTTTTCTGGAATCTGCAAGTGGATATTTGGCTAGCTTTGGGGATTTCGCTGGAAGCGGGAATACATATAAAAAGCACACAGCAGCGTTCTGAGAAACTGCTTTCTGATGTTTGCATTCAAGTCAAAAGTTGAACACTCCCTTTCATAGAGCAGTCTTGAAACACCCCTTTTGTAGTATCTGGAACTGGACTTTTGGAGCGATTTTAGGGCTAAGGTGAAAAAGGAAATATCTTCCCATAAAAACTGGACAGAAGCATTCTCAGAAACTTGTTTATGCTGTATCTACTCAACTAACAAAGTTGAACCTTTCTTTTGATAGAGCAGTTTTGAAATGGTCTTTTTGTGGAATCTGCAAGTGGATATTTGGCTAGTTTTGAGGATTTCGTTGGAAGCGGGAATTCATACAAATTGCAGACTGCAGCGTTCTGAGAAACATCTTTGTGATGTTTGTATTCAGGACACAGAGTTGAACATTCCCTATCATAGAGCAGGTTGGAATCACTCCTTTTGTAGTATCTGGAAGTGGACATTTGGAGCGCTTTCAGGCCTATTTTGGAAAGGGAAATATCTTCCCGTAACAACTATGCAGAAGCATTCTCAGAAACTTGTTTGTGATGTGTGCCCTCTACTGACAGAGTTGAACCTTTCTTTTCATAGAGCAGTTTTGAAACACTCTTTTTGTAGAATCTGCAAGAGGATATTTGCATAGCTTTGAGGATTTCGTGGGAAACGGGATTGTCTTCAGGTAAAATCTAGACAGAAGCATTCTCAGAAACTTCTTTGGGATGTTTGCATTCAAGTCACAGAGTAGAACATTCCCTTTGGTAGAGCAGGTTTGAAACACTCTTTTTGTAGTATCTGGAAGTGGACATTTGGAGCGCTTTCAGGCCCATGTTGGAAAGGGAAATATCTTCCCGTAACAACTAGGCAGAAGCATTCTCAGAAACTTATTTGAGATGTGTGTACTCAACTAAGAGAATTGAACCACCGTTTTGAAGGAGCAGTTTTGAAACACTCTTTTTCTGGAATCTGCAAGAGTATATTTGCCTAGCCTTGAGGATTTCGTTGGAAACGGGATTGTCTTCAGAGAAAATCTAGACAGAAGCATTCTCAGAAACTTCTTTGGGATGTTTGCATTCAAGTCACAGAGTAGAACATTCCCTTTGGTAGAGCAGGTTTGAAACACTCTTTTTTTAGTATATGGAAGTGGACATTTGGATCGCTTTCAGGCCTACGTTGGAAAAGGAAATATCTTCCCATAACAACTAGACAGAAGCATTCTCAGAAACTAGTTTCTGATGTGTGTCCTCAACTAACACAGTTGAACATTTCTTTAGACAGAACAGTTTTGAAACACTCTTTTTGTGGAATCTGCAAGTGGCTATTGGGCTAGATTTGAGGATTTCGTTGGAAACGGGATTACATATAAAAAGCAGTCAGCAGCATTCTCAGAAAGTTCTTTGTGATGATTGCATTCAAGTCACAGAATTGAACATTCCCTTTCACAGAGCAGGTTTGAAACACTCTTTTTGTAGTGTGTGTAAGTGGACATTTGGAGCACTTACCGGCCTAAGGTGAAAAAGGAAATATCTTCCCATAAAAACTAGACAGAAGCATTCTCAGAAACTTACTCGTGATGTGTGTCCTCAACTAAAGGAGTAGAACCTTTCTTTTCATAGAGAAGTTTTGAAACGCTCTTTTTGTGGAATCTGCAAGTGGATATTTGGCTAGTTTTGAGGATTTCGTTGGAAGCGGGAATTCATACAAATTGCAGACTGCAGCGTTCTGAGAAACATCTTTGTGATGTTTGTATTCAGGACACAGAGCTGAACGTTCCCTATCATAGAGCAGGTTTGAATCACTCCTTTTGTAGTATCTGGAAGTGGACATTTGGAGCGCTTTCCGGCCTCAGGTGAAAAAGGAAATATCTTCCCATAAAAACTAGACAGAAGCATTCTCAGAAACTTATTTGAGATGTGTGTACTCAAGTAAGAGAATTGAACCACCGTTTTGAAGGAGCAGTTTTGAAACACTCTTTTTCTGGAATCTGCAAGTGGATATTTGGCTAGCTTTGGGGATTTCGCTGGAAGCGGGAATACATATAAAAAGCATACAGCAGCGTTCTGAGAAACTGCTTTCTGATGTTTGCATTCAAGTCAAAAGTTGAACACTCCCTTTCATAGAGCAGTCTTGAAACACCCCTTTTGTAGTATCTGGAACTGGACTTTTGGAGCGATTTCAGGGCTAAGGTGAAAAAGGAAATATCTTCCCATAAAAACTGGACAGAAGCATTCTCAGAAACTTGGTTATGCTGTATCTACTCAACTAACAAAGTTGAACCTTTCTTTTGATAGAGCAGTTTTGAAATGGTCTTTTTGTGGAATCTGCAAGTGGATATTTGGCTAGTTTTGAGGATTTCGTTGGAAGCGGGAATTCATACAAATTGCAGACTGCAGCGTTCTGAGAAACATCTTTGTGATGTTTGTATTCAGGACACAGAGTTGAACATTCCCTATCATAGAGCAGGTTGGAATCACTCCTTTTGTAGTATCTGGAAGTGGACATTTGGAGCGCTTTCAGGCCTATTTTGGAAAGGGAAATATCTTCCCGTAACAACTATGCAGAAGCATTCTCAGAAACTTGTTTGTGATGTGTGCCCTCTACTGACAGAGTTGAACCTTTCTTTTCATAGAGCAGTTTTGAAACACTCTTTTTGTAGAATCTGCAAGAGGATATTTGCATAGCTTTGAGGATTTCGTGGGAAACGGGATTGTCTTCAGGTAAAATCTAGACAGAAGCATTCTCAGAAACTTCTTTGGGATGTTTGCATTCAAGTCACAGAGTAGAACATTCCCTTTGGTAGAGCAGGTTTGAAACACTCTTTTTGTAGTATCTGGAAGTGGACATTTGGAGCGCTTTCAGGCCCATGTTGGAAAAGGAAATATCTTCCTGTAACAACTAGGCAGAAGCATTCTCAGAAACTTATTTGAGATGTGTGTACTCAACTAAGAGAATTGAACCACCGTTTTGAAGGAGCAATTTTGAAACACTCTTTTTCTGGAATCTGCAAGAGTATATTTGCCTAGCCTTGAGGATTTCGTTGGAAACGGGATTGTCTTCAGAGAAAATCTAGACAGAAGCATTCTCAGAAACTTCTTTGGGATGTTTGCATTCAAGTCACAGAGTAGAACATTCCCTTTGGTAGAGCAGGTTTGAAACACTCTTTTTTTAGTATATGGAAGTGGACATTTGGAGCGCTTTCAGGCCTACGTTGGAAAAGGAAATATCTTCCCATAACAACTAGACAGAAGCATTCTCAGAAACTAGTTTCTGATGTGTGTCCTCAACTAACACAGTTGAACATTTCTTTAGACAGAACAGTTTTGAAACTCTCTTTTTGTGGAATCTGCAAGTGGCTATTTGGCTAGATTTGAGGATTTCGTTGGAAACGGGATTACATATAAAAAGCAGACACCCAGCATTCTCAGAAACTTCTTTGTGATGATTGCATTCAAGTCACAGAATTGAACATTCCCTTTCACAGAGCAGGTTTGAAACACTCTTTTTGTAGTGTGTGTAAGTGGACATTTGGAGCGCTTTCCGGCCTAAGGTGAACAAGGAAATATCTTCCCATAAAAACTAGACAGAGCATTCTCAGAAACTTACTCGTGATGTGTGTCCTCAACTAAAGGAGTAGAACCTTTCTTTTCATAGAGAAGTTTTGAAACGCTCTTTTTGTGGAATCTGCAAGTGGATATTTGGCTAGTTTTGAGGATTTCGTTGGAAGAGGGAATTCATACAAATTGCAGACTGCAGCGTTCTGAGAAACATCTTTGTGATGTTTGTATTCAGGACACAGAGTTGAACATTCCCTATCATAGAGCAGGTTGGGATCACTCCTTTTGTAGTATCTGGAAGTGGACATTTGGAGCGCTTTCAGGCCTATGTTGAAAAAGGAAAAATCTTCCCATAACAACTAGACAGAAGCATTCTCAGAAACTTGTTGGTGATGTGTTTCCTCTACTGACAGAGTTGAACCTTTCTTTTCATAGAGCAGTTTCGAAACACTCTTTTTGTAGAATCTGCAAGAGGATATTTGCATAGCTCTGAGGATTTCGTGGGAAACGGGATTGTCTTCAGGTAAAATCTAGACAGAAGCATTCTCAGAAACTTCTTTGGGATGTTTGCATTCAAGTCACAGAGTAGAACATTCCCTTTGGTAGAGCAGGTTTGAAACACTCTTTTTGTAGTATCTGGAAGTGGACATTTGGAGCGCTTTCAGGCCTATGTTGGAAAGGGAAATATCTTCCCGTAACAACTAGGCAGAAGCATTCTCAGAAACTTATTTGAGATGTGTGTACTCAACTAAGAGAATTGAACCACCGTTTTGAAGGAGCAGTTTTGAAACACTCTTTTTCTGGAATCTGCAAGAGGATATTTGCCTAGCCTTGAGGATTTCGTTGGAAAAGGGATTGTCTTCAGATCAAATCTAGACAGAAGCATTCTCAGAAACTTCTTTGGGATGTTTGCATTCAAGTCACAGAGTAGAACATTCCCTTTGGTAGAGCAGGTTTGAAACACTCTTTTTTTAGTATATGGAAGTGGACATTTGGAGCGCTTTCAGGCCTACGTTGGAAAAGGAAATATCTTCCCATAACAACTAGACAGAAGCATTCTCAGAAACTAGTTTCTGATGTGTGTCCTCAACTAACACAGTTGAACATTTCTTTAGACAGAACAGTTTTGAAACACTCTTTTTGTGGTATCTGCAAGTGGCTATTTGGCCAGATTTGAGGATTTCGTTGGAAACGGGATTACATATAAAAAGCAGACAGCAGCATTCTCAGAAACTTCTTTGTGATGATTGCATTCAAGTCACAGTATTGAACATTCCCTTTCACAGAGCAGGTTTGAAACACTCTTTGTATAGTGTGTGTAAGTGGACATTTGGAGCACTTTCCGGCCTAAGGTGAAAAAGGAAATATCTTCCCATAAAAACTAGACAGAAGCATTCTCAGAAACTTACTCGTGATGTGTGTCCTCAACTAAAGGAGTAGAACCTTTCTATTCATGGAGAAGTTTTGAAACGCTCTTTTTGTGGAATCTCCAAGTGGATATTTGGCTAGTTTTGAGGATTTCGTTGGAAGCGGGAATTCATACAAATTGCAGACTGCAGCGTTCTGAGAAACATCTTTGTGATGTTTGTATTCAAGACACAGAGATGAACATTCCCTATCATAGAGCATGTTGGAATCACTCCTTTTGTAGTATCTGGAAGTGGACATTTGGAGCGCTTTCAGGCCTATGTTGAAAAAGGAAATATCTTCCCATAACAACTAGACACAAGCATTCTCAGAAACTTGTTTGTGATGTGTGCCCTCTACTGACAGAGTTGAACCTTTCTTTTCATAGAGCAGTTTTGAAACACTCTTTTTGTAGAATCTGCAAGAGGATATTTGCATAGCTTTGAGGATTTCGTGGGAAACGGGATTGTCTTCAGGTAAAATCTAGACAGAAGCATTCTCAGAAACTTCTTTGGGATGTTTGCATTCAAGTCACAGAGTAGAACATTCCCTTTGGTAGAGCAGGTTTGAAACACTCTTTTTGTAGTATCTGGAAGTGGACATTTGGAGCGCTTTCAGGCCTATGTTGGAAAGGGAAATATCTTCCCGTAACAACTAGGCAGAAGCATTGTCAGAAACTTATTTGAGATGTGTGTACTCAACTAAGAGAATTGAACCACCGTTTTGAAGGAGCAGTTTTGAAACAGTCTTTTTCTGGAATCTGCAAGAATATATTTGCCTAGCCTTGATGATTTCGTTGGAAACGGGATTGTATTCAGATAAAATCTAGACAGAAGCATTCTCAGAAACTTCTTTGGGATGTTTGCATTCAAGTCACAGAGTAGAACATTCCCTTTGGTAGAGCAGGTTTGAAACACTCTTTTTTTAGTATATGGAAGTGGACATTTGGAGCGCTTTCAGGCCTACGTTGGAAAAGGAAATATCTTCCCATAACAACTAGACAGAAGCATTCTCAGAAACTAGTTTCTGATGTGTGTCCTCAACTAACACAGTTGAACATTTCTTTAGACAGAACAGTTTTGAAACACTCTTTTTGTCGAATCTGCAAGTGGCTATTTGGCTAGATTTGAGGATTTCGTTGGAAACGGGATTACATATAAAAAGCAGACAGCAGCATTCTCAGAAAGTTCTTTGTGATGATTGCATTCAAGTCACAGAATTGAACATTCCCTTTCACAGAGCAGGTTTGAAACACTCTTTTTGTAGTGTGTGTAAGTGGACATTTGGAGCACTTTCCGGCCTAAGGTGAAAAAGGAAATATCTTCCCATAAAAACTAGACAGAAGCACTCTCAGAAACTTACTCGTGATGTGTGTCCTCAACTAAAGGAGTAGAACCTTTCTTTTCATAGAGAAGTTTTGAAACGCTCTTTTTGTGGAATCTGCAAGTGGATATTTGGCTAGTTTTGAGGATTTCGTTGGAAGCGGGAATTCATACAAATTGCAGACTGCAGCGTTCTGAGAAACATCTTTGTGATGTTTGTATTCAGGACACAGAGTTGAACATTCCCTATCATAGAGCAGGTTTGAATCACTCCTTTTGTAGTATCTGGAAGTGGACATTTGGAGCGCTTTCAGGCCTATGTTGGAAAAGGAAATATCTTCCCATAACAACTAGACAGAAGCATTCTCAGAAACTTATTTGAGATGTGTGTACTCAACTAAGAGAATTGAACCACCGTTTTGAAGGAGCAGTTTTGAAACACTCTTTTTCTGGAATCTGCAAGTGGATATTTGGCTAGCTTTGGGGATTTCGCTGGAAGCGGGAATACATATAAAAAGCACACAGCAGCGTTCTGAGAAACTGCTTTCTGATGTTTGCATTCAAGTCAAAAGTTGAACACTCCCTTTCATAGAGCAGTCTTGAAACACCCCTTTTGTAGTATCTGGAACTGGACATTTGGAGCGCTTTCAGGGCTAAGGTGAAAAAGGAAATATCTTCCCATAAAAACTGGACAGAAGCATTCTCAGAAACTTGTTTATGCTGTATCTACTCAACTAACAAAGTTGAACCTTTCTTTTGATAGAGCAGTTTTGAAATGCTCTTTTTGTGGAATCTGCAAGTGGATAGTTGGCTAGGTTTGAGGATTTCGTTGGAAGCGGGAATTCATACAAATTGCAGACTGCAGCGTTATGAGAAACATCTTTGTGATGTTTGTATTCAGGACACAGAGTTGAACATTCCCTATCATAGAGCAGGTTGGAATCACTCCTTTTGTAGTATCTGGAAGTGGACATTTGGAGCGCTTTCAGGCCTATTTTGGACAGGGAAATATCTTCCCATAACAACTATGCAGAAGCATTCTCAGAAACTTGTTTGTGATGTGTGCCCTCTACTGACAGAGTTGAACCTTTCTTTTCTTAGAGCAGTTTTGAAACACTCTTTTTGTAGAATCTGCAAGAGGATATTTGCATAGCTTTGAGGATTTCGTGGGAAACGGGATTGTCTTCAGGTAAAATCTAGACAGAAGCATTCTCAGAAACTTCTTTGGGATGTTTGCATTCAAGACACAGAGTAGAACATTCCCTTTGGTAGAGCAGGTTTGAAACACTCTTTTTGTAGTATCTGGAAGTGGACATTTGGAGCGCTTTCAGGCCCATGTTGGAAAGGGAAATATCTTCCCGTAACAACTAGGCAGAAGCATTCTCAGAAACTTATTTGAGATGTGTGTACTCAACTAAGAGAATTGAACCACCGTTTTGAAGGAGCAGTTTTGAAACACTCTTTTTCTGGATTCTGCAAGAATATATTTGCCTAGCCTTGAGGATTTCGTTGGAAACGGGATTGTCTTCAGATAAAATCTAGACAGAAGCATTCTCAGAAACTTCTTTGGGATGTTTGCATTCAAGTCACAGAGTAGAACATTCTCTTTGGTAGAGCAGGTTTGAAACACTCTTTTTTTAGTATCTGGAAGTGGACATTTGGAGCGCTTTCAGGCCTACGTTGGAAAAGGAAATATCTTCCCATAACAACTAGACAGAAGCATTCTCAGAAACTAGTTTCTGATGTGTGTCCTCAACTAACACAGTTGTACATTTCTTTAGACAGAACAGTTTTGAAACACTCTTTTTGTGGAATCTGCAAGTGGATATTGGGCTAGATTTGAGGATTTCGTTGGAAACGGGATTACATATAAAAAGCAGTCAGCAGCATTCTCAGAAAGTTCTTTGTGATGATTGCATTCAAGTCACAGAATTGAACATTCCCTTTCACAGAGCAGGTTTGAAACACTCTTTTTGTAGTGTGTGTAAGTGGACATTTGGAGCGCTTTCCGGCCTAAGGTGAAAAAGGAAATATCTTCCCATAAAAACTAGACAGAAGCATTCTCAGAAACTTACTCGTGATGTGTGTCCTCAACTAAAGGAGTAGAACCTTTCTATTCATAGAGAAGTTTTGAAACGCTGTTTTTGTGGAATCTCCAAGTGGATATTTGGCTAGTTTTGAGGATTTCGTTGGAAGCGGGAATTCATCCAAATTGCAGACTGCAGCGTTCTGAGAAACATCTTTGAAATGTTTGTATTCAAGACACAGAGATGAACATTCCCTATCATAGAGCATGTTGGAATCACTCCTTTTGTAGTATCTGGAAGTGGACATTTGGAGCGCTTTCAGGCCTATGTTGAAAAAGGAAATATCTTCCCATAACAAGTAGACACAAGCATTCTCAGAAACTTGTTTGTGATGTGTGCCCTCTACTGACAGAGTTGAACCTTTCTTTTCATAGAGCAGTTTTGAAACACTCTTTTTGTAGAATCCGCAAGAGGATATTTGCATAGCTTTGAGGATTTCGTGGGAAACGGGATTGTCTTCAGGTAAAATCTAGACAGAAGCATTCTCAGAAACTTCTTTGGGATGTTTGCATTCAAGTCACAGAGTAGAACATTCCCTTTGGTAGAGCACGTTTGAAACACTCTTTTTGTAGTATCTGGAAGTGGACATTTGGAGCGCTTTCAGGCCTATGTTGGAAAGGGAAATATCTTCCCGTAACAACTAGGCAGAAGCATTCTCAGAAACTTATTGGAGATGTGTGTACTCAACTAAGAGAATTGAACCACCGTTTTGAAGGAGCAGTTTTGAAACCCTCTTTTTCTGGAATCTGCAAGAGTATATTTGCCTAGCCTTGAGGATTTCGTTGGAAACGGGATTGTCTTCAGATAAAATCTAGACAGAAGCATTCTCAGAAACTTCTTTGGGATGTTTGCATTCAAGTCACAGAGTAGAACATTCCCTTTGGTAGAGCAGGTTTGAAACACTCTTTTTTTAGTATATGGAAGTGGACATTTGGAGCGCTTTCATGCCTACGTTGGAAAAGGAAATATCTTCCCATAACAACTAGACAGAAGCATTCTCAGAAACTAGTTTCTGATGTGTGTCCTCAACTAACACAGTTGAACTTTTCTTTACACAGAACAGTTTTGAAACACTCTTTTTGTGGAATCTGCAAGTGGATATTTGGCTAGATTTGAAGATTTCGTTGGAAACGGGATTACATATAAAAAGCAGACAGCAGCATTCTCAGAAAGTTCTTTGTGATGATTGCATTCAAGTCACAGAATTGAACATTCCCTTTCACAGAGCAGGTTTGAAACACACTTTTTGTAGTATGTGTAAGTGGACATTTGGAGCGCTTTCCGGCCTAAGGTGAAAAAGGAAATATCTTCCCATAAAAACTAGACAGAAGCATTCTCAGAAACTTACTCGTGATGTGTGTCCTCAACTAAAGGAGTAGAACCTTTCTATTCATAGAGAAGTTTTGAAACCCTCTTTTTGTGGAATCTCCAAGTGGATATTTGGCTAGTTTTGAGGATTTCGTTGGAAGCGGGAATTCATCCAAATTGCAGACTGCAGCGTTCTGAGGAACATCTTTGTGATGTTTGTATTCAGGACACAGAGATGAACATTCCCTATCATAGAGCAGGTTGGAATCACTCCTTTTGTAGTATCTGGAAGTGGACATTTGGAGCGCTTTCAGGCCTATGTTGAAAAAGGAAATATCTTCCCATAACAACTAGACACAAGCATTCTCAGAAACTTGTTTGTGATGTGTGCCCTCTATTGACAGAGTTGAACCTTTCTTTTCATAGAGCAGTTTTGAAACACTCTTTTTGTAGAATCCGAAAGAGGATATTTGCATAGCTTTGAGGATTTCGTGGGAAACGGGATTGTCTTCAGGTAAAATCTAGACAGAAGCATTCTCAGAAACTTCTTTGGGATGTTTGCATTCAAGTCACAGAGTAGAACATTCCCCTTTGGTAGAGCAGGTTTGAAACACTCTTTTTGTAGTATCTGGAAGTGGACATTTGGAGCGCTTTCAGGCCCATGTTGGAAAGGGAAATATCTTCCCGTAACAACTAGGCAGAAGCATTCTCAGAAACTTATTTGAGATGTGTGGACTCAACTAAGAGAATTGAACCACCGTTTTGAAGGAGCAGTTTTGAAACACTCTTTTTCTGGAATCTGCAAGAGTATATTTGCCTAGCCTTGAGGATTTCGTTGGAAACGGGATTGTCTTCAGATAAAATCTAGACAGAAGCATTCTCAGAAACTTCTTTGGGATGTTTGCATTCAAGTCACAGAGTAGAACATTCCCTTTGGTAGAGCAGGTTTGAAACACTCTTTTTTTAGTATCTGGAAGTGGACATTTGGAGCGCTTTCAGGCCTACGTTGGAAAAGGAAATATCTTCCCATAACAACTAGACAGAAGCAATCTCAGCAAACTAGTTTCTGATGTGTGTCCTCAACTAACACAGTTGTACATTTCTTTAGACAGAACAGTTTTGAAACACTCTTTTTGTGGAATCTGCAAGTGGATATTTGGCTAGATTTGAGGATTTCGTTGGAAACGGGATTACATATAAAAAGCAGTCAGCAGCATTCTCAGAAAGTTCTTTGTGATGATTGCATTCAAGTCACAGAATTGAACATTCCCTTTCACAGAGCAGGTTTGAAACACTCTTTTTGTAGTGTGTGTAAGTGGACATTTGGAGCACTTACCGGCCTAAGGTGAAAAAGGAAATATCTTCCCATAAAAACTAGACAGAAGCATTCTCAGAAACTTACTCGTGATGTGTGTCCTCAACTAAAGGAGTAGAACCTTTCTTTTCATAGAGAAGTTTTGAAACGCTCTTTTTGTGGAATCTGCAAGTGGATATTTGGCTAGTTTTGAGGATTTCGTTGGAAGCGGGAATTCATACAAATTGCAGACTGCAGCGTTCTGAGAAACATCTTTGTGATGTTTGTATTCAGGACACAGAGTTGAACATTCCCTATCATAGAGCAGGTTTGAATCACTCCTTTTGTAGTATCTGGAAGTGGACATTTGGAGCGCTTTCAGGCCTATGTTGGAAAAGGAAATATCTTCCCATAACAACTAGACAGAAGCATTCTCAGAAACTTATTTGAGATGTGTGTACTCAACTAAGAGAATTGAACCACCGTTTTGAAGGAGCAGTTTTGAAACTCTCTTTTTCTGGAATCTGCAAGTGGATATTTGGCTAGCTTTGGGGATTTCGCTGGAAGCGGGAATACATATAAAAAGCACACAGCAGCGTTCTGAGAAACTGCTTTCTGATGTTTGCATTCAAGTCAAAAGTTGAACACTCCCTTTCATAGAGCAGTCTTGAAACACCCCTTTTGTAGTATCTGGAACTGGACTTTTGGAGCGATTTCAGGGCTAAGGTGAAAAAGGAAATATCTTCCCATAAAAACTGGACAGAAGCATTCTCAGAAACTTGGTTATGCTGTATCTACTCAACTAACAAAGTTGAACCTTTCTTTTGATAGAGCAGTTTTGAAATGGTCTTTTTGTGGAATCTGCAAGTGGATATTTGGCTAGTTTTGAGGATTTCGTTGGAAGCGGGAATTCATACAAATTGCAGACTGCAGCGTTCTGAGAAACATCTTTGTGATGTTTGTATTCAGGACACAGAGTTGAACATTCCCTATCATAGAGCAGGTTGGAATCACTCCTTTTGTAGTATCTGGAAGTGGACATTTGGAGCGCTTTCAGGCCTATTTTGGAAAGGGAAATATCTTCCCGTAACAACTATGCAGAAGCATTCTCAGAAACTTGTTTGTGATGTGTGCCCTCTACTGACAGAGTTGAACCTTTCTTTTCATAGAGCAGTTTTGAAACACTCTTTTTGTAGAATCTGCAAGAGGATATTTGCATAGCTTTGAGGATTTCGTGGGAAACGGGATTGTCTTCAGGTAAAATCTAGACAGAAGCATTCTCAGAAACTTCTTTGGGATGTTTGCATTCAAGTCACAGAGTAGAATATTCCCTTTGGTAGAGCAGGTTTGAAACACTCTTTTTGTAGTATCTGGAAGTGGACATTTGGAGCGCTTTCAGGCCCATGTTGGAAAGGGAAATATCTTCCCGTAACAACTAGGCAGAAGCATTCTCAGAAACTTATTTGAGATGTGTGTACTCAACTAAGAGAATTGAACCACCGTTTTGAAGGAGCAGTTTTGAAACACTCTTTTTCTGGAATCTGCAAGAGTATATTTGCCTAGCCTTGAGGATTTCGTTGGAAACGGGATTGTCTTCAGAGAAAATCTAGACAGAAGCATTCTCAGAAACTTCTTTGGGATGTTTGCATTCAAGTCACAGAGTAGAACATTCCCTTTGGTAGAGCAGGTTTGAAACACTCTTTTTTTAGTATATGGAAGTGGACATTTGGATCGCTTTCAGGCCTACGTTGGAAAAGGAAATATCTTCCCATAACAACTAGACAGAAGCATTCTCAGAAACTAGTTTCTGATGTGTGTCCTCAACTAACACAGTTGAACATTTCTTTAGACAGAACAGTTTTGAAACACTCTTTTTGTGGAATCTGCAAGTGGCTATTTGGCTAGATTTGAGGATTTCGTTGGAAACGGGATTACATATAAAAAGCAGTCAGCAGCATTCTCAGAAAGTTCTTTGTGATGATTGCATTCAAGTCACAGAATTGAACATTCCCTTTCACAGAGCAGGTTTGAAACACTCTTTTTGTAGTGTGTGTAAGTGGACATTTGGAGCACTTACCGGCCTAAGGTGAAAAAGGAAATATCTTCCCATAAAAACTAGACAGAAGCATTCTCAGAAACTTACTCGTGATGTGTGTCCTCAACTAAAGGAGTAGAACCTTTCTTTTCATAGAGAAGTTTTGAAACGCTCTTTTTGTGGAATCTGCAAGTGGATATTTGGCTAGTTTTGAGGATTTCGTTGGAAGCGGGAATTCATACAAATTGCAGACTGCAGCGTTCTGAGAAACATCTTTGTGATGTTTGTATTCAGGACACAGAGTTGAACATTCCCTATCATAGAGCAGGTTTGAATCACTCCTTTTGTAGTATCTGGAAGTGGACATTTGGAGCGCTTTCAGGCCTATGTTGGAAAAGGAAATATCTTCCCATAACAACTAGACAGAAGCATTCTCAGAAACTTATTTGAGATGTGTGTACTCAACTAAGAGAATTGAACCACCGTTTTGAAGGAGCAGTTTTGAAACACTCTTTTTCTGGAATCTGCAAGTGGCTATTTGGCTAGCTTTGGAGATTTCGCTGGAAGCGGGAATACATATAAAAAGCACACAGCAGCGTTCTGAGAAACTGCTTTCTGATGTTTGCATTCAAGTCAAAAGTTGAACACTCCCTTTCATAGAGCAGTCCTGAAACACTCCTTTTGTAGTATCTGGAACTGGACTTTTGGAGCGCTTTCAGGGCTAAGGTGAAAAAGGAAATATCTTCCCATAAAAACTGGACAGAAGCATTCTCAGAAACTTGTTTATGCTGTATCTACTCAACTAACAAAGTTGAACCTTTCTTTTGATAGAGCAGTTTTGAAATGCTCTTTTTGTGGAATCTGCAAGTGGATATTTGGCTAGTTTTGAGGATTTCGTTGGAAGCGGGAATTCATACAAATTGCAGACTGCAGCGTTCTGAGAAACATCTTTGTGATGTTTGTATTCAGGACACAGAGTTGAACATTCCCTATCATAGAGCAGGTTGGAATCACTCCTTTTGTAGTATCTGGAAGTGGACATTTGGAGCGCTTTCAGGCCTATTTTGGAAAGGGAAATATCTTCCCGTAACAACTATGCAGAAGCATTCTCAGAAACTTGTTTGTGATGTGTGCCCTCTACTGACAGAGTTGAACCTTTCTTTTCATAGAGCAGTTTTGAAACACTCTTTTTGTAGAATCTGCAAGAGGATATTTGCATAGCTTTGAGGATTTCGTGGGAAACGGGATTGTCTTCAGGTAAAATCTAGACAGAAGCATTCTCAGAAACTTCTTTGGGATGTTTGCATTCAAGTCACAGAGTAGAACATTCCCTTTGGTAGAGCAGGTTTGAAACACTCTTTTTGTAGTATCTGGAAGTGGACATTTGGAGCGCTTTCAGGCCCATGTTGGAAAGGGAAATATCTTCCCGTAACAACTAGGCAGAAGCATTCTCAGAAACTTATTTGAGATGTGTGTACTCAACTAAGAGAATTGAACCACCGTTTTGAAGGAGCAGTTTTGAAACACTCTTTTTCTGGAATCTGCAAGAGTATATTTGCCTAGCCTTGAGGATTTCGTTGGAAACGGGATTGTCTTCAGAGAAAATCTAGACAGAAGCATTCTCAGAAACTTCTTTGGGATGTTTGCATTCAAGTCACAGAGTAGAACATTCCCTTTGGTAGAGCAGGTTTGAAACACTCTTTTTTTAGTATCTGGAAGTGGACATTTGGAGCGCTTTCAGGCCTACGTTGGAAAAGGAAATATCTTCCCATAACAACTAGACAGAAGCATTCTCAGAAACTAGTTTCTGATGTGTGTCCTCAACTAACACAGTTGTACATTTCTTTAGACAGAACAGTTTTGAAACACTCTTTTTGTGGAATCTGCAAGTGGATATTGGGCTAGATTTGAGGATTTCGTTGGAAACGGGATTACATATTAAAAGCAGACAGCAGCATTCTCAGAAACTTCTTTGTGATGATTGCATTCAAGTCACAGAATTGAACATTCCCTTTCACAGAGCAGGTTTGAAACACTCTTTTTGTAGTGTGTGTAAGTGGACATTTGGAGCACTTTCCGGCCTAAGGTGAAAAAGGAAATATCTTCCCATAAAAACTAGACAGAAGCATTCTCAGAAACTTACTCGTGATGTGTGTCCTCAACTAAAGGAGTAGAACCTTTCTTTTCATAGAGAAGTTTTGAAACGCTCTTTTTGTGGAATCTGCAAGTGGATATTTGGCTAGTTTGGAGGATTTCGTTGGAAGCGGGAATTCATACAAATTGCAGACTGCAGCGTTCTGAGAAACATCTTTGTGATGTTTGTATTCAGGACACAGAGTTGAACATTCCCTATCATAGAGCAGGTTTGAATCACTCCTTTTGTAGTATCTGGAAGTGGACATTTGGAGCGCTTTCAGGCCTATGTTGGAAAAGGAAATATCTTCCCATAACAACTAGACAGAAGCATTCTCAGAAACTTATTTGAGATGTGTGTACTCAACTAAGAGAATTGAACCACCGTTTTGAAGGAGCAGTTTTGAAACACTCTTTTTCTGGAATCTGCAAGTGGATATTTGGCTAGCTTTGGGGACTTCGCTGGAGGCGGGAATACATATAAAAAGCACACAGCAGCGTTCTGAGAAACTGCTTTCTGATGTTTGCATTCAAGTCAAAAGTTGAACACTCCCTTTCATAGAGCAGTCTTGAAACACCCCTTTTGTAGTATCTGGAACTGGACATTTGGAGCGCTTTCAGGGCTAAGGTGAAAAAGGAAATATCTTCCCATAAAAACTGGACAGAAGCATTCTCAGAAACTTGTTTATGCTGTATCTACTCAACTAACAAAGTTGAACCTTTCTTTTGATAGAGCAGTTTTGAAATGCTCTTTTTGTGGAATCTGCAAGTGGATATTTGGCTAGGTTTGAGGATTTCGTTGGAAGCGGGAATTCATACAAATTGCAGACTGCAGCGTTCTGAGAAACGTCTTTGTGATGTTTGTATTCAGGACACAGAGTTGAACATTCCCTATCATAGAGAAGGCTGGAATCACTCCTTTTGTACTATCTGGAAGTGGACATTTGGAGCGCTTTCAGGCCTATGTTGAAAAAGGAAATATCTTCCCATAACAACTAGACAGAAGCATTCTCAGAAACTTATTTGAGATGTGTGTACTCAACTAAGAGAATTGAACCACCGTTTTGAAGGAGCAGTTTTGAAACTCTCTTTTTCTGGAATCTGCAAGTGGATATTTGGCTAGCTTTGGGGATTTCGCTGGAAGCGGGAATACATATAAAAAGCACACAGCAGCGTTCTGAGAAACTGCTTTCTGATGTTTGCATTCAAGTCAAAAGTTGAACACTCCCTTTCATAGAGCAGTCCTGAAACACCCCTTTTGTAGTATCTGGAACTGGACTTTTGGAGCGATTTCAGGGCTAAGGTGAAAAAGGAAATATCTTCCCATAAAAACTGGACAGAAGCATTCTCAGAAACTTGTTTATGCTGTATCTACTCAACTAACAAAGTTGAACCTTTCTTTTGATAGAGCAGTTTTGAAATGGTCTTTTTGTGGAATCTGCAAGTGGATATTTGGCTAGTTTTGAGGATTTCGTTGGAAGCGGGAATTCATACAAATTGCAGACTGCAGCGTTCTGAGAAACATCTTTGTGATGTTTGTATTCAGGACACAGAGTTGAACATTCCCTATCATAGAGCAGGTTGGAATCACTCCTTTTGTAGTATCTGGAAGTGGACATTTGGAGCGCTTTCAGGCCTATTTTGGAAAGGGAAATATCTTCCCGTAACAACTATGCAGAAGCATTCTCAGAAACTTGTTTGTGATGTGTGCCCTCTACTGACAGAGTTGAACCTTTCTTTTCATAGAGCAGTTTTGAAACACTCTTTTTGTAGAATCTGCAAGAGGATATTTGCATAGCTTTGAGGATTTCGTGGGAAACGGGATTGTCTTCAGGTAAAATCTAGACAGAAGCATTCTCAGAAACTTCTTTGGGATGTTTGCATTCAAGTCACAGAGTAGAACATTCCCTTTGGTAGAGCAGGTTTGAAACACTCTTTTTGTAGTATCTGGAAGTGGACATTTGGAGCGCTTTCAGGCCCATGTTGGAAAGGGAAATATCTTCCCGTAACAACTAGGCAGAAGCATTCTCAGAAACTTATTTGAGATGTGTGTACTCAACTAAGAGAATTGAACCACCGTTTTGAAGGAGCAGTTTTGAAACACTCTTTTTCTGGAATCTGCAAGAGTATATTTGCCTAGCCTTGAGGATTTCGTTGGAAACGGGATTGTCTTCAGAGAAAATCTAGACAGAAGCATTCTCAGAAACTTCTTTGGGATGCTTGCATTCAAGTCACAGAGTAGAACATTCCCTTTGGTAGAGCAGGTTTGAAACACTCTTTTTGTAGTATCTGGAAGTGGACATTTGGAGCGCTTTCAGGCCTACGTTGGAAAAGGAAATATCTTCCCATAACAACTAGACAGAAGCATTCTCAGAAACTAGTTTCTGATGTGTGTCCTCAACTAACACAGTTGAACATTTCTTTAGACAGAACAGTTTTGAAACACTCTTTTTGTGGAATCTGCAAGTGGCTATTTGGCTAGATTTGAGGATTTCGTTGGAAACGGGATTACATATAAAAAGCAGTCAGCGGCATTCTCAGAAAGTTCTTTGTGATGATTGCATTCAAGTCACAGAATTGAACATTCCCTTTCACAGAGCAGGTTTGAAACACTCTTTTTGTAGTGTGTGTAAGTGGACATTTGGAGCACGTACCGGCCTAAGGTGAAAAAGGAAATATCTTCCCATAAAAACTAGACAGAAGCATTCTCAGAAACTTACTCGTGATGTGTGTCCTCAACTAAAGGAGTAGAACCTTTCTTTTCATAGAGAAGTTTTGAAACGCTCTTTTTGTGGAATCTGCAAGTGGATATTTGGCTAGTTTTGAGGATTTCGTTGGAAGCGGGAATTCATACAAATTGGCAGACTGCCAGCGTTCTGAGAAACATCTTTGTGATGTTTGTATTCAGGACACAGAGTTGAACATTCCCTATCATAGAGCAGGTTGGAATCACTCCTTTTGTAGTATCTGGAAGTGGACATTTGGAGCGCTTTCAGGCCTATGTTGGAAAAGGAAATATCTTCCCATAACAACTAGACAGAGCATTCTCAGAAACTTATTTGAGATGTGTGTACTCAACTAAGAGAATTGAACCACCGTTTTGAAGGAGCAGTTTTGAAACACTCTTTTTCTGGAATCTGCAAGTGGATATTTGGCTAGCTTTGGGGATTTCGCTGGAAGCGGGAATACATATAAAAAGCACACAGCAGCGTTCTGAGAAACTGCTTTCTGATGTTTGCATTCAAGTCAAAAGTTGAACACTCCCTTTCATAGTGCAGTCCTGAAACACTCCTTTTGTAGTATCTGGAACTGGACTTTTGGAGCGCTTTCAGGGCTAAGGTGAAAAAGGAAATATCTTCCCATAAAAACTGGACAGAAGCATTCTCAGAAACTTGTTTATGCTGTATCTACTCAACTAACAAAGTTGAACCTTTCTTTTGATAGAGCAGTTTTGAAATGCTCTTTTTGTGGAATCTGCAAGTGGATATTTGGCTAGTTTTGAGGATTTCGTTGGAAGCGGGAATTCATACAAATTGCAGACTGCAGCGTTCTGAGAAACATCTTTGTGATGTTTGTATTCAGGACACAGAGTTGAACATTCCCTATCATAGAGCAGGTTGGAATCACTCCTTTTGTAGTATCTGGAAGTGGACATTTGGAGCGCTTTCAGGCCTATGTTAAAAAAGGAAATATCTTCCCATAACAACTAGACACAAGCATTCTCAGAAACTTGTTTGTGATGTGTGCCCTCTACTGACAGAGTTGAACCTTTCTTTTCATAGAGCAGTTTTGAAACACTCTTTTTGTAGAATCTGCAAGAGGATATTTGCATAGCTTTGAGGATTTCGTGGGAAACGGGATTGTCTTCAGGTAAAATCTAGACAGAAGCATTCTCAGAAACTTCTTTGGGATGTTTGCATTCAAGTCACAGAGTAGAACATTCCCTTTGGTAGAGCAGGTTTGAAACCCTCTTTTTGTAGTATCTGGAAGTGGACATTTGGAGCGCTTTCAGGCCCATGTTGGAAAGGGAAATATCTTCCCGTAACAACTAGGCAGAAGCATTCTCAGAAACTTATTTGAGATGTGTGTACTCAACTAAGAGAATTGAACCACCGTTTTGAAGGAGCAGTTTTGAAACACTCTTTTTCTGGAATCTGCAAGAGTATATTTGCCTAGCCTTGAAGATTTCGTTGGAAACGGGATTGTCTTCAGATAAAATCAAGACAGAAGCATTCTCAGAAACTTCTTTGGGATGTTTGCATTCAAGTCACAGAGTAGAACATTCCCTTTGGTAGAGCAGGTTTGAAACACTCTTTTTTTAGTATATGGAAGTGGACATTTGGAGCGCTTTCAGGCCTACGTTGGAAAAGGAAATATCTTCCGATAACAACTAGACAGAAGCATTCTCAGAAACTAGTTTCTGATGTGTGTCTTCAACTAACACAGTTGAACTTTTCTTTAGACAGAACAGTTTTGAAACACTCTTTTTGTGGAATCTGCAAGTGGATATTTGGCTAGATTTGAGGATTTCGTTGGAAACGGGATTACATATAAAAAGCAGACAGCAGCATTCTCAGAAAGTTCTTTGTGATGATTGCATTCAAGTCACAGAATTGAACATTCCCTTTCACAGAGCAGGTTTGAAACACTCTTTTTGTAGTGTGTGTAAGTGAACATTTGGAGCGCTTTCCGGCCTAAGGTGAAAAAGGACATATCTTCCCATAAAAACTAGACAGAAGCATTCACAGAAACTTACTCGTGATGTGTGTCCTCAACTAAAGGAGTAGAACCGTTCTTTTCATAGAGAAGTTTTGAAACGCTCTTTTTGTGGAATCTGCACGTGGATATTTGGCTAGTGTTGAGGAGTTCGTTGGAATGGGGAATTCATACAAATTGCAGACTGCAGCCTTCTGAGAAACATCTTTGTGATGTTTTTATTCAGGACACAGAGTTGAACATTCCCTATCATAGAGCAGGTTGGAATCACTGCTTTTGTCGTATCTGGAAGTGGACATTTGTAGCGCTTTCAGGCCTATGTTGGAAAAGGAAATATCTTCCCATAACAGCTAGACAGAAGCATTCTCAGAAACTTATTTGAGATGTGTGTACTCAACTAAGAGAATTGAACCACCGTTTTGAAGGAGCAGTTTTGAAACTCTCTTTTTCTGGAATCTGCAAGTGGATATTTGGCTAGCTTTGGGGATTTCGCTGGAAGCGGGAATACATATAAAAAGCACACAGCAGCGTTCTGAGAAACTGCTTTCTGATGTTTGCATTCAAGTCAAAAGTTGAACACTCCCTTTCATAGAGCAGTCTTGAAACACCCCTTTTGTAGTATCTGGAACTGGACTTTTGGAGCGCTTTCAGGGCTAAGGTGAAAAAGGAAATATCTTCCCATAAAAACTGGACAGAAGCATTCTCAGAAACTTGTTTATGCTGTATCTACTCAACTAACAAAGTTGAACCTTTCTTTTGATAGAGCAGTTTTGAAATGGTCTTTTTGTGGAATCTGCAAGTGGATATTTGGCTAGTTTTGAGGATTTCGTTGGAAGCGGGAATTCATACAAATTGCAGACTGCAGCGTTCTGAGAAACATCTTTGTGATGTTTGTATTCAGGACACAGAGTTGAACATTCCCTATCATAGAGCAGGTTGGAATCACTCCTTTTGTAGTATCTGGAAGTGGACATTTGGAGCGCTTTCAGGCCTATTTTGGAAAGGGAAATATCTTCCCGTAACAACTATGCAGAAGCATTCTCAGAAACTTGTTTGTGATGTGTGCCCTCTACTGACAGAGTTGAACCTTTCTTTTCATAGAGCAGTTTTGAAACACTCTTTTTGTAGAATCTGCAAGAGGATATTTGCATAGCTTTGAGGATTTCGTGGGAAACGGGATTGTCTTCAGGTAAAATCTAGACAGAAGCGTTCTCAGAAACTTCTTTGGGATGTTTGCATTCAAGTCACAGAGTAGAACATTCCCTTTGGTAGAGCAGGTTTGAAACACTCTTTTTGTAGTATCTGGAAGTGGACATTTGGAGCGCTTTCAGGCCCATGTTGGAAAGGGAAATATCTTCCCGTAACAACTAGGCAGAAGCATTCTCAGAAACTTATTTGAGATGTGTGTACTCAACTAAGAGAATTGAACCACCGTTTTGAAGGAGCAGTTTTGAAACACTCTTTTTCTGGAATCTGCAAGAGGATATTTGCCTAGCCTTGAGGATTTCGTTGGAAACGGGATTGTCTTCAGATCAAATCTAGACAGAAGCATTCTCAGAAACTTCTTTGGGATGTTAGCATTCATGTCACAGAGTAGAACATTCCCTTTGGTAGAGCAGGTTTGAAACACTCTTTTTTTAGTATATGGAAGTGGACATTTGGAGCGCTTTCAGGCCTACGTTGGAAAAGGAAATATCTTCCCATAACAACTAGACAGAAGCATTCTCAGAAACTAGTTTCTGATGTGTGTCCTCAACTAACACAGTTGAACATTTCTTTAGACAGAACAGTTTTGAAACACTCTTTTTGTGGAATCTGCAAGTGGCTATTTGGCTAGATTTGAGGATTTCGTTGGAAACGGGATTACATATAAAAAGCAGACAGCAGCATTCTCAGAAAGTTCTTTGTGATGATTGCATTCAAGTCACAGAATTGAACATTCCCTTTCACAGAGCAGGTTTGAAACACTCTTTTTGTAGTGTGTGTAAGTGGACATTTGGAGCACTTTCCGGCCTAAGGTGAAAAAGGAAATATCTTCCCATAAAAACTAGACAGAAGCATTCTCAGAAACTTACTCGTGATGTGTGTCCTCAACTAAAGGAGTAGAACCTTTCTTTTCATAGAGAAGTTTTGAAACGCTCTTTTTGTGGAATCTGCAAGTGGATATTTGGCTAGTTTTGAGGATTTCGTTGGAAGCGGGAATTCATACAAATTGCAGACTGCAGCGTTCTGAGAAACATCTTTGTGATGTTTGTATTCAGGACACAGAGTTGAACATTCCCTATCATAGAGCAGGTTTGAATCACTCCTTTTGTAGTATCTGGAAGTGGACATTTGGAGCGCTTTCAGGCCTATGTTGGAAAAGGAAATATCTTCCCATAACAACTAGACAGAAGCATTCTCAGAAACTTATTTGAGATGTGTGTACTCAACTAAGAGAATTGAACCACCGTTTTGAAGGAGCAGTTTTGAAACTCTCTTTTTCTGGAATCTGCAAGTGGATATTTGGCTAGCTTTGGGGATTTCGCTGGAAGCGGGAATACATATAAAAAGCACACAGCAGCGTTCGGAGAAACTGCTTTCTGATGTTTGCATTCAAGTCAAAAGTTGAACACTCCCTTTCATAGAGCAGTCTTGAAACACCCCTTTTGTAGTATCTGGAACTGGACTTTTGGAGCGATTTCAGGGCTAAGGTGAAAAAGGAAATATCTTCCCATAAAAACTGGACAGAAGCATTCTCAGAAACTTGTTTATGCTGTATCTACTCAACTAACAAAGTTGAACCTTTCTTTTGATAGAGCAGTTTTGAAATGGTCTTTTTGTGGAATCTGCAAGTGGATATTTGGCTAGTTTTGAGGATTTCGTTGGAAGCGGGAATTCATACAAATTGCAGACTGCAGCGTTCTGAGAAACATCTTTGTGATGTTTGTATTCAGGACACAGAGTTGAACATTCCCTATCATAGAGCAGGTTGGAATCACTCCTTTTGTAGTATCTGGAAGTGGACATTTGGAGCGCTTTCAGGCCTATTTTGGAAAGGGAAATATCTTCCCGTAACAACTATGCAGAAGCATTCTCAGAAACTTGTTTGTGATGTGTGCCCTCTACTGACAGAGTTGAACCTTTCTTTTCATAGAGCAGTTTTGAAACACTCTTTTTGTAGAATCTGCAAGAGGATATTTGCATAGCTTTGAGGATTTCGTGGGAAACGGGATTGTCTTCAGGTAAAATCTAGACAGAAGCATTCTCAGAAACTTCTTTGGGATGTTTGCATTCAAGTCACAGAGTAGAACATTCCCTTTGGTAGAGCAGGTTTGAAACACTCTTTTTGTAGTATCTGGAAGTGGACATTTGGAGCGCTTTCAGGCCCATGTTGGAAAGGGAAATATCTTCCCGTAACAACTAGGCAGAAGCATTCTCAGAAACTTATTTGAGATGTGTGTACTCAACTAAGAGAATTGAACCACCGTTTTGAAGGAGCAGTTTTGAAACACTCTTTTTCTGGAATCTGCAAGAGTATATTTGCCTAGCCTTGAGGATTTCGTTGGAAACGGGATTGTCTTCAGAGAAAATCTAGACAGAAGCATTCTCAGAAACTTCTTTGGGATGCTTGCATTCAAGTCACAGAGTAGAACATTCCCTTTGGTAGAGCAGGTTTGAAACACTCTTTTTTTAGTATCTGGAAGTGGACATTTGGAGCGCTTTCAGGCCTACGTTGGAAAAGGAAATATCTTCCCATAACAACTAGACAGAAGCATTCTCAGAAACTAGTTTCTGATGTGTGTCCTCAACTAACACAGTTGAACATTTCTTTAGACAGAACAGTTTTGAAACACTCTTTTTGTGGAATCTGCAAGTGGCTATTTGGCTAGATTTGAGGATTTCGTTGGAAACGGGATTACATATAAAAAGCAGTCAGCGGCATTCTCAGAAAGTTCTTTGTGATGATTGCATTCAAGTCACAGAATTGAACATTCCCTTTCACAGAGCAGGTTTGAAACACTCTTTTTGTAGTGTGTGTAAGTGGACATTTGGAGCACTTACCGGCCTAAGGTGAAAAAGGAAATAATCTTCCCATAAAAACTAGACAGAAGCATTCTCAGAAACTTACTCGTGATGTGTGTCCTCAACTAAAGGAGTAGAACCTTTCTTTTCATAGAGAAGTTTTGAAACGCTCTTTTTGTGGAATCTGCAAGTGGATATTTGGCTAGTTTTGAGGATTTCGTTGGAAGCGGGAATTCATACAAATTGCAGACTGCAGCGTTCTGAGAAACATCTTTGTGATGTTTGTATTCAGGACACAGAGTTGAACATTCCCTATCATAGAGCAGGTTTGAATCACTCCTTTTGTAGTATCTGGAAGTGGACATTTGGAGCGCTTTCAGGCCTATGTTGGAAAAGGAAATATCTTCCCATAACAACTAGACAGAAGCATTCTCAGAAACTTATTTGAGATGTGTGTACTCAACTAAGAGAATTGAACCACCGTTTTGAAGGAGCAGTTTTGAAACTCTCTTTTTCTGGAATCTGCAAGTGGATATTTGGCTAGCTTTGGGGATTTCGCTGGAAGCGGGAATACATATAAAAAGCACACAGCAGCGTTCGGAGAAACTGCTTTCTGATGTTTGCATTCAAGTCAAAAGTTGAACACTCCCTTTCATAGAGCAGTCTTGAAACACCCCTTTTGTAGTATCTGGAACTGGACTTTTGGAGCGATTTCAGGGCTAAGGTGAAAAAGGAAATATCTTCCCATAAAAACTGGACAGAAGCATTCTCAGAAACTTGTTTATGCTGTATCTACTCAACTAACAAAGTTGAACCTTTCTTTTGATAGAGCAGTTTTGAAATGGTCTTTTTGTGGAATCTGCAAGTGGATATTTGGCTAGTTTTGAGGATTTCGTTGGAAGCGGGAATTCATACAAATTGCAGACTGCAGCGTTGTGAGAAACATCTTTGTGATGTTTGTATTCAGGACACAGAGTTGAACATTCCCTATCATAGAGCAGGTTGGAATCACTCCTTTTGTAGTATCTGGAAGTGGACATTTGGAGCGCTTTCAGGCCTATGTTGGAAAAGGAAATATCTTCCCATAACAACTAGACAGAAGCATTCTCAGAAACTTATTTGAGATGTGTGTACTCAACTAAGAGAATTGAACCACCGTTTTGAAGGAGCAGTTTTGAAACTCTCTTTTTCTGGAATCTGCAAGTGGATATTTGGCTAGCTTTGGGGATTTCGCTGGAAGCGGGAATACATATAAAAAGCACACAGCAGCGTTCTGAGAAACTGCTTTCTGATGTTTGCATTCAAGTCAAAAGTTGAACACTCCCTTTCATAGAGCAGTCTTGAAACACCCCTTTTGTAGTATCTGGAACTGGACTTTTGGAGCGATTTCAGGGCTAAGGTGAAAAAGGAAATATCTTCCCATAAAAACTGGACAGAAGCATTCTCAGAAACTTGTTTATGCTGTATCTACTCAACTAACAAAGTTGAACCTTTCTTTTGATAGAGCAGTTTTGAAATGGTCTTTTTGTGGAATCTGCAAGTGGATATTTGGCTAGTTTTGAGGATTTCGTTGGAAGCGGGAATTCATACAAATTGCAGACTGCAGCGTTCTGAGAAACATCTTTGTGATGTTTGTATTCAGGACACAGAGTTGAACATTCCCTATCATAGAGCAGGTTGGAATCACTCCTTTTGTAGTATCTGGAAGTGGACATTTGGAGCGCTTTCAGGCCTATGTTGAAAAAGGAAATGTCTTCCCATAACAACTAGACACAAGCATTCCCAGAAACTTATTTGAGATGTGTGTACTCAACTAAGAGAATTGAACCACCGTTTTGAAGGAGCAGTTTGGAAACACTCTTTTTCTGGAATCTGCAAGTGGATATTTGGCTAGCTTTGGGGATTTCGCTGGAAGCGGGAATACATATAAAAAGCACACAGCAGCGTTCTGAGAAACTGCTTTCTGATGTTTGCATTCAAGTCAAAAGTTGAACACTCCCTTTCATAGAGCAGTCTTGAAACACCCCTTTTGTAGTATCTGGAACTGGACATTTGGAGCGCTTTCAGGGCTAAGGTGAAAAAGGAAATATCTTCCCATAAAAACTGGACAGAAGCATTCTCAGAAACTTGTTTATGCTGTATCTACTCAACTAACAAAGTTGAACCTTTCTTTTGATAGAGCAGTTTTGAAATGCTCTTTTTGTGGAATCTGCAAGTGGATATTTGGCTAGTTTTGAGGATTTCGCTGGAAGCGGGAATTCATACAAATTGCAGACTGCAGCGTTCTGAGAAACATCTTTGTGATGTTTGTATTCAGGACAGAGAGTTGAACATTCCCTATCATAGAGCAGGTTGGAATCACTCCTTTTGTAGTATCTGGAAGTGGACATTTGGAGCGCTTTCTGGCCTATGTTGAAAAAGGAAATATCTTCCCATAACAACTAGACACAAGCATTCTCAGAAACTTGTTTGTGATGTGTGCCCTCTACTGACAGAGTTGAACCTTTCTTTTCATAGAGCAGTTTTGAAATGCTCTTTTTGTGGAATCTGCAAGTGGATATTTGGCTAGTTTTGAGGATTTCGTTGGAAGCGGGAATTCATACAAATTGCAGACTGCAGCGTTCTGAGAAACATCTTTGTGATGTTTGTATTCAGGACACAGAGTTGAACATTCCCTATCATAGAGCAGGTTGGAATCACTCCTTTTGTAGTATCTGGAAGTGGACATTTGGAGCGCTTTCAGGCCTATGTTGGAAAAGGAAATATCTTCCCATAACAACTAGACAGAAGCATTCTCAGAAACTTATTTGAGATGTGTGTACTCAACTAAGAGAATTGAACCACCGTTTTGAAGGAGCAGTTTTGAAACTCTCTTTTTCTGGAATCTGCAAGTGGATATTTGGCTAGCTTTGGGGATTTCGCTGGAAGCGGGAATACATATAAAAAGCACACAGCAGCGTTCTGAGAAACTGCTTTCTGATGTTTGCATTCAAGTCAAAAGTTGAACACTCCCTTTCATAGAGCAGTCTTGAAACACCCCTTTTGTAGTATCTGGAACTGGACTTTTGGAGCGATTTCAGGGCTAAGGTGAAAAAGGAAATATCTTCCCATAAAAACTGGACAGAAGCATTCTCAGAAACTTGTTTATGCTGTATCTACTCAACTAACAAAGTTGAACCTTTCTTTTGATAGAGCAGTTTTGAAATGGTCTTTTTGTGGAATCTGCAAGTGGATATTTGGCTAGTTTTGAGGATTTCGTTGGAAGCGGGAATTCATACAAATTGCAGACTGCAGCGTTCTGAGAAACATCTTTGTGATGTTTGTATTCAGGACACAGAGATGAACATTCCCTATCATAGAGCAGGTTGGAATCACTCCTTTTGTAGTATCTGGAAGTGGACATTTGGAGCGCTTTCAGGCCTATTTTGGACAGGGAAATATCTTCCCATAACAACTATGCAGAAGCATTCTCAGAAACTTGTTTGTGATGTGTGCCCTCTACTGACAGAGTTGAACCTTTCTTTTCTTAGAGCAGTTTTGAAACACTCTTTTTGTAGAATCTGCAAGAGGATATTTGCATAGCTTTGAGGATTTCGTGGGAAACGGGATTGTCTTCAGGTAAAATCTAGACAGAAGCATTCTCAGAAACTTCTTTGGGATGTTTGCATTCAAGACACAGAGTAGAACATTCCCTTTGGTAGAGCAGGTTTGAAACACTCTTTTTGTAGTATCTGGAAGTGGACATTTGGAGCGCTTTCAGGCCCATGTTGGAAAGGGAAATATCTTCCCATAACAACTAGGCAGAAGCATTCTCAGAAACTTATTTGAGATGTGTGTACTCAACTAAGAGAATTGAACCACCGTTTTGAAGGAGCAGTTTGGAAACACTCTTTTTCTGGAATCTGCAAGAGGATATTTGCCTAGCTTTGAGGATTTCGTTGGAAAAGGGATTGTCTTCAGATCAAATCTAGACAGAAGCATTCTCAGAAACTTCTTTGGGATGTTTGCATTCAAGTCACAGAGTAGAACATTCCTTTGGTAGAGCAGGTTTGAAACACTCTTTTTTTAGTATATGGAAGTGGACATTTGGAGCGCTTTCAGGCCTACGTTGGAAAAGGAAATATCTTCCCATAACAACTAGACAGAAGCATTCTCAGAAACTAGTTTCTGATGTGTGTCCTCAACTAACACAGTTGAACTTTTCTTTAGACAGAACAGTTTTGAAACACTCTTTTTGTGGAATCTGCAAGTGGATATTTGGCTAGATTTGAGGATTTCGTTGGAAACGGGATTACATATAAAAAGCAGACAGCAGCATTCTCAGAAACTTCTTTGTGATGATTGCATTCAAGTCACAGAATTGAACATTCCCTTTCACAGAGCAGGTTTGAAACACTCTTTTTGTAGTGTGTGTAAGTGGACATTTGGAGCGCTTTCCGGCCTAAGGTGAACAAGGAAATATCTTCCCATAAAAACTAGACAGAAGCATTCTCAGAAACTTACTCGTGATGTGTGTCCTCAACTAAAGGAGTAGAACCTTTCTTTTCATAGAGAAGTTTTGAAACGCTCTTTTTGTGGAATCTGCAAGTGGATATTTGGCTAGTTTGGAGGATTTCGTTGGAAGCGGGAATTCATACAAGATGCAGACTGCAGCGTTCTGAGAAACATCTTTGTGATGTTTGTATTCAAGACACAGAGATGAACATTCCCTATCATAGAGCATGTTGGAATCACTCCATTTGTAGTATCTGGAAGTGGACATTTGGAGCGCTTTCAGGCTTATGTTGAAAAAGGAAATATCTTCCCATAACAACTAGACACAAGCATTCCCAGAAACTTATTTGAGATGTGTGTACTCAACTAAGAGAATTGAACCACCGTTTTGAAGGAGCAGTTTGGAAACTCTCTTTTTCTGGAATCTGCAAGTGGATATTTGGCTAGCTTTGGGGATTTCGCTGGAAGCGGGAATACATATAAAAAGCACACAGCAGCGTTCTGAGAAACTGCTTTCTGATGTTTGCATTCAAGTCAAAAGTTGAACACTCCCTTTCATAGAGCAGTCTTGAAACACCCCTTTTGTAGTATCTGGAACTGGACATTTGGAGCGCTTTCAGGGCTAAGGTGAAAAAGGAAATATCTTCCCATAAAAACTGGACAGAAGCATTCTCAGAAACTTGTTTATGCTGTATCTGCTCAACTAACAAAGTTGAACCTTTCTTTTGATAGAGCAGTTTTGAAATGCTCTTTTTGTGGAATCTGCAAGTGGATATTTGGCTAGTTTTGAGGATTTCGTTGGAAGCGGGAATTCATACAAATTGCAGACTGCAGCGTTCTGAGAAACATCTTTGTGATGTTTGTATTCAGGACACAGAGTTGAACATTCCCTATCATAGAGCAGGTTGGGATCACTCCTTTTGTAGTATCTGGAAGTGGACATTTGGAGCGCTTTCAGGCCTATGTTGAAAAAGGAAAAATCTTCCCATAACAACTAGACAGAAGCATTCTCAGAAACTTGTTGGTGATGTGTTTCCTCTACTGACAGAGTTGCACCTTTCTTTTCATAGAGCAGTTTCGAAACACTCTTTTTGTAGAATCTGCAAGAGGATATTTGCATAGCTCTGAGGATTTCGTGGGAAACGGGATTGTCTTCAGGTAAAATCTAGACAGAAGCATTCTCAGAAACTTCTTCGGGATGTTTGCATTCAAGTCACAGAGTAGAACATTCCCTTTGGTAGAGCAGGTTTGAAACACTCTTTTTGTCGTATCTGGAAGTGGACATTTGTTGCGCTTTCAGGCCTATGTTGGAAAGGGAAATATCTTCCCGTAACAACTAGGCAGAAGCATTCTCAGAAACTTATTTGAGATGTGTGTACTCAACTAAGAGAATTGAACCACCGTTTTGAAGGAGCAGTTTGGAAACACTCTTTTTCTGGAATCTGCAAGAGGATATTTGCCTAGCTTTGAGGATTTCGTTGGAAAAGGGATTGTCTTCAGATCAAATCTAGACAGAAGCATTCTCAGAAACTTCTTTGGGATGTTTGCATTCAAGTCACAGAGTAGAACATTCCTTTGGTAGAGCAGGTTTGAAACACTCTTTTTTTAGTATATGGAAGTGGACATTTGGAGCGCTTTCAGGCCTACGTTGGAAAAGGAAATATCTTCCCATAACAACTAGACAGAAGCATTCTCAGAAACTAGTTTCTGATGTGTGTCCTCAACTAACACAGTTGAACATTTCTTTAGACAGAACAGTTTTGAAACACTCTTTTTGTGGAATCTGCAAGTGGATATTTGGCTAGATTTGAGGATTTCGTTGGAAACGGGATTACATATAAAAAGCAGACAGCAGCATTCTCAGAAACTTCTTTGTGATGATTGCATTCAAGTCACAGAATTGAACATTCCCTTTCACAGAGCAGGTTTGAAACACTCTTTTTGTAGTGTGTGTAAGTGGACATTTGGAGCGCTTTCCGGCCTAAGGTGAACAAGGAAATATCTTCCCATAAAAACTAGACAGAAGCATTCTCAGAAACTTACTCGTGATGTGTGTCCTCAACTAAAGGAGTAGAACCTTTCTTTTCATAGAGAAGTTTTGAAACGCTCTTTTTGTGGAATCTGCAAGTGGATATTTGGCTAGTTTTGGGGATTTCGTTGAAAGCGGGAATTCATACAAATTGCAGACTGCAGCGTTCTGAGAAACATCTTTGTGATGTTTGTATTCAGGACACAGAGTTGAACATTCCCTATCATAGAGCAGGTTGGAATCACTCCTTTTGTAGTATCTGGAAGTGGACATTTGGAGCGCTTTCAGGCATATGTTGAAAAAGGAATTATCTTCCCATAACAACTAGACAGAGGCATTCTCAGAAACTTGTTTGTGATGTGTGCCCTCTACTGACAGAGTTGAACCTTTCTTTTCATAGAGCACTTTCGAAACACTCTTTTTGTAGAATCTGCAAGAGGATATTTGCATAGCTTTGAGGATTTCGTGGGAAACGGGATTGTCTTCAGGTAAAATCTAGACAGAAGCATTCTCAGAAACTTCTTTGGGATGTTTGCATTCAAGTCACAGAGTAAAACATTCCCTTTGGTAGAGCAGGTTTGAAACACTCTTTTTGTAGTGTGTGTAAGTGGACATTTGGAGCGCTTTCAGGCCTACGTTGGAAAAGGAAATATCTTCCCATAACAACTAGACAGAAGCATTCTCAGAAACTAGTTTCTGATGTGTGTCCTCAACTAACACAGTTGAACTTTTCTTTAGACAGAACAGTTTTGAAACACTCTTTTGTGGAATCTGCAAGTGGATATTTGGCTAGATTTGAGGATTTCGTTGGAAAAGGGATTACATATAAAAAGCAGACAGCAGCATTCTCAGAAACTTCTTTGTGATGATTGTATTCAGGACACAGAGTTGAACATTCCCTATCATAGAGCAGGTTGGAATCACTCCTTTTGTAGTATCTGGAGGTGGACATTTGGAGCGCTTTCAGGCCTATGTTGAAAAAGGAAATATCTTCCCATAACAACTAGGCAGAAGCATTCTCAGAAACTTGTTTGTGATGTGTGCCTTCTACTGACACAGTTGAACCTTTCTTTTCATAGAGCAGTTTCGAAACTCTCTTTTTGTAGAATCTGCAAGAGGATATTTGCATAGCTTTGAGGATTTCGTGGGAAACGGGATTGTCTTCAGGTTAAATCTAGACAGAAGCATTCTCAGAAACTTCTTTGGGATGTTTGCATTCAAGTCACAGAGTAGAACATTCACTTTGGTAGAGCAGGTTTGAAACACTCTTTTTGTAGTGTGTGTAAGTGGACATTTGGAGCGCTTTCAGGCCTACGTTGGAAAAGGAAATATCTTCCCATAACAACTAGACAGAAGCATTCTCAGAAACTAGTTTCTGATGTGTGTCCTCAACTAACACAGTTGAACATTTCTTTAGACAGAACAGTTTTGAAACACTCTTTTTGTGGAATCTGCAAGTGGATATTTGGCTAGATTTGAGGATTTCGTTGGAAACGGGATTACATATAAAAAGCAGACAGCAGCATTCTCAGAAACTTCTTTGTGATGATTGCATTCAAGTCACAGAATTGAACATTCCTTTTCACAGAGCAGGTTTGAAACACTCTTTTTCTAGTGTGTGTAAGTGGACATTTGGAGCGCTTTCCGGCCTAAGGTGAACAAGGAAATATCTTCCCATAAAAACTAGACAGAAGCATTCTCAGAAACTTACTCGTGATGTGTGTCCTCAACTAAAGGAGTAGAACCTTTCTTTTCATAGAGAAGTTTTGAAACGCTCTTTTTGTGGAATCTGCAAGTGGATATTTGGCTAGTTTTGAGGATTTCGTTGGAAGCGGGAATTCATACAAATTGCAGACTGCAGCGTTCTGAGAAACATCTTTGTGATGTTTGTATTCAGGACACAGAGTTGAACATTCCCTATAATAGAGCAGGTTGGAATCACTCCTTTTGTAGTATCTGGAAGTGGACATTTGGAGCGCTTTCAGGCCTATGTTGAAAAAGGAAATATCTTCCCATAACAACTAGACAGAAGCATTCCCAGAAACTTATTTGAGATGTGTGTACTCAACTAAGAGAATTGAACCACCGTTTTGAAGGAGCAGTTTGGAAACTCTCTTTTTCTGGAATCTGCAAGTGGATATTTGGCTAGCTTTGGGGATTTCGCTGGAAGCGGGAATACATATAAAAAGCACACAGCAGCGTTCTGAGAAACTGCTTTCTGATGTTTGCATTCAAGTCAAAAGTTGAACACTCCCTTTCATAGAGCAGTCTTGAAACACCCCTTTTGTAGTATCTGGAACTGGAAATTTGGAGCGCCTTCAGGGCTAAGGTGAAAAAGGAAATATCTTCCCATAAAAACTGGACAGAAGCATTCTCAGAAACTTGTTTATGCTGTATCTACTCAACTAACAAAGTTGAACCTTTCTTTTGATAGAGCAGTTTTGAAATGCTCTTTTTGTGGAATCTGCAAGTGGATATTTGGCTAGTTTTGAGGATTTCGTTGGAAGCGGGAATTCATACAAATTGCAGACTGCAGCGTTCTGAGAAACATCTTTGTGATGTTTGTATTCAGGACACAGAGTTGAACATTCCCTATCATAGAGCAGGTTGGAATCACTCCTTTTGTAGTATCTGGAAGTGGACATTTGGAGCGCTTTCAGGCCTATTTTGGAAAGGGAAATATCTTCCCGTAACAACTATGCAGAAGCATTCTCAGAAACTTGTTTGTGATGTGTGCCCTCTACTGACAGAGTTGAACCTTTCTTTTCATAGAGCAGTTTTGAAACACTCTTTTTATAGAATCTGCAAGAGGATATTTGCATAGCTTTGAGGATTTCGTGGGAAACGGGATTGTCTTCAGGTAAAATCTAGACAGAAGCATTCTCAGAAACTTCTTTGGGATGTTTGCATTCAAGTCACAGAGTAGAACATTCCCTTTGGTAGAGCAGGTTTGAAACACTCTTTTTGTAGTATCTGGAAGTGGACATTTGGAGCGCTTTCAGGCCCATGTTGGAAAGGGAAATATCTTCCCGTAACAACTAGGCAGAAGCATTCTCAGAAACTTATTTGAGATGTGTGGACTCAACTAAGAGAATTGAACCACCGTTTTGAAGGAGCAGTTTTGAAACACTCTTTTTCTGGAATCTGCAAGAGTATATTTGCCTAACCTTGAGGATTTCGTTGGAAACGGGATTGTCTTCAGATAAAATCTAGACAGAAGCATTCTCAGAAACTTCTTTGGGATGTTTGCATTCAAGTCACAGAGTAGAACATTCCCTTTGGTAGAGCAGGTTTGAAACACTCTTTTTTTAGTATATGGAAGTGGACATTTGGAGCGCTTTCAGGCCTACGTTGGAAAAGGAAATATCTTCCCATAACAACTAGACAGAAGCATTCTCAGAAACTAGTTTCTGATGTGTGTCCTCAACTAACACAGTTGAGCATTTCTTTAGACAGAACAGTTTTGAAACACTCTTTTTGTGGAATCTGCAAGTGGCTATTTGGCTAGATTTGAGGATTTCGTTGGAAACGGGATTACATATAAAAAGCAGACAGCAGCATTCTCAGAAAGTTCTTTGTGATGATTGCATTCAAGTCACAGAATTGAACATTCCCTTTCACAGAGCAGGTTTGAAACACTCTTTTTGTAGTGTGTGTAAGTGGACATTTGGAGCACTTTCCGGCCTAAGGTGAAAAAGGAAATATCTTCCCATAAAAACTAGACAGAAGCATTCTCAGAAACTTACTCGTGATGTGTGTCCTCAACTAAAGGAGTAGAACCTTTCTTTTCATAGAGAAGTTTTGAAACGCTCTTTTTGTGGAATCTGCAAGTGGATATTTGGCTAGTTTTGAGGATTTCGTTGGAAGCGGGAATTCATACAAATTGCAGACTGCAGCGTTCTGAGAAACATCTTTGTGATGTTTGTATTCAGGACACAGAGTTGAACATTCCCTATCATAGAGCAGGTTTGAATCACTCCTTTTGTAGTAGCTGGAAGTGGACATTTGGAGCGCTTTCAGGCCTATGTTGGAAAAGGAAATATCTTACCATAACAACTAGACAGAAGCATTCCCAGAAACTTATTTGAGATGTGTGTACTCAACTAAGAGAATTGAACCACCGTTTTGAAGGAGCAGTTTGAAAACACTCTTTTTCTGGAATCTGCAAGTGGATATTTGGCTAGCTTTGGGGATTTCGCTGTAAGCGGGAATACATATAAAAAGCACACAGAAGCGTTCTGAGAAACTGCTTTCTGATGTTTGCATTCAAGTCAAAACTTGAACACTCCCTTTCATAGAGCAGTCTTGAAACACCCCTTTTGTAGTATCTGGAACTGGAAATTTGGAGCGCTTTCAGGGCTAAGGTGAAAAAGGAAATATCTTCCCATAAAAACTGGACAGAAGCATTCTCAGAAACTTGTTTATGCTGTATCTACTCAACTAACAAAGTTGAACCTTTCTTTTGATAGAGCAGTTTTGAAATGGTCTTTTTGTGGAATCTGCAAGTGGATATTTGGCTAGTTTTGAGGATTTCGTTGGAAGCGGGAATTCATACAAATTGCAGACTGCAGCGTTCTGAGAAACATCTTTGTGATGTTTGTATTCAGGACACAGAGTTGAACATTCCCTATCATAGAGCAGGTTGGAATCACTCCTTTTGTAGTATCTGGAAGTGGACATTTGGAGCGCTTTCAGGCCTATGTTGAAAAAGGAAATATCTTCCCATAACAACTAGACACAAGCATTCTCAGAAACTTGTTTGTGATGTGTGCCCTCTACTGACAGAGTTGAACCTTTCTTTTCATAGAGCAGTTTTGAAACACTCTTTTTGTAGAATCTGCAAGAGGATATTTGCATAGATTTGAGGATTTCGTGGGAAACGGGATTGTCTTCAGGTAAAATCTAGACAGAAGCATTCTCAGAAACTTCTTTGGGATGTTTGCATTCAAGTCACAGAGTAGAACATTCCCTTTGGTAGAGCAGGTTTGAAACACTCTTTTTGTAGTATCTGGAAGTGGACATTTGGAGCGCTTTCAGGCCTATGTTGGAAAGGGAAATATCTTCCGGTAACAACTAGGCAGAAGCATTCTCAGAAACTTATTTGAGATGTGTGTACTCAACTAAGAGAATTGAACCACCGTTTTGAAGGAGCAGTTTTGAAACACTCTTTTTCTGGAATCTGCAAGAGGATATTTGCCTAGCCTTGAGGATTTCGTTGGAAACGGGATTGTCTTCAGATCAAATCTAGACAGAAGCATTCTCAGAAACTTCTTTGGGATGTTTGCATTCAAGTCACAGAGTAGAACATTCCCTTTGGTAGAGCAGGTGTGAAACACTCTTTTTTTAGTATATGGAAGTGGACATTTGGAGCGCTTTCAGGCCTACGTTGGAAAAGGAAATATCTTCCCATAACAACTAGACAGAAGCATTCTCAGAAACTAGTTTCTGATGTGTGTCCTCAACTAACACAGTTGAACATTTCTTTAGACAGAACAGTTTTGAAACTCTCTTTTTGTGGAATCTGCAAGTGGCTATTTGGCTAGATTTGAGGATTTCGTTGGAAACGGGATTACATATAAAAAGCAGACAGCAGCATTCTCAGAAAGTTCTTTGTGATGATTGCATTCAAGTCACAGAATTGAACATTCCCTTTCACAGAGCAGGTTTGAAACACTCTTTTTGTAGTGTGTGTAAGTGGACATTTGGAGCACTTTCCGGCCTAAGGTGAGAAAGGAAATATCTTCCCATAAAAACTAGACAGAAGCATTCTCAGAAACTTACTCGTGATGTGTGTCCTCAACTAAAGGAGTAGAACCTTTCTTTCGCAGAGAAGTTTTGAAACGCTCTTTTTGTGGAATCTGCAAGTGGATATTTGGCTAGTTTGGAGGATTTCGTTGGAAGCGGGAATTCATACAAATTGCAGACTGCAGCGTTCTGAGAAACATCTTTGTGATGTTTGTATTCAGGACACAGAGTTGAACATTCCCTATCATAGAGCAGGTTTGAATCACTCCTTTTGTAGTATCTGGAAGTGGACATTTGGAGCGCTTTCAGGCCTATGTTGGAAAAGGAAATATCTTCCCATAACAACTAGACAGAAGCATTCTCAGAAACTTATTTGAGATGTGTGTACTCAACTAAGAGAATTGAACCACCGTTTTGAAGGAGCAGTTTTGAAACACTCTTTTTCTGGAATCTGCAAGTGGATATTTGGCTAGCTTTGGGGATTTCGCTGGAAGCGGGAATACATATAAAAAGCACACAGCAGCGTTCTGAGAAACTGCTTTCTGATGTTTGCATTCAAGTCAAAAGTTGAACACTCCCTTTCATAGAGCAGTCCTGAAACACTCCTTTTGTAGTATCTGGAACTGGACTTTTGGAGCGCTTTCAGGGCTAAGGTGAAAAAGGAAATATCTTCCCATAAAAACTGGACAGAAGCATTCTCAGAAACTTGTTTATGCTGTATCTACTCAACTAACAAAGTTGAACCTTTCTTTTGATAGAGCAGTTTTGAAATGCTCTTTTTGTGGAATCTGCAAGTGGATATTTGGCTAGTTTTGAGGATTTCGCTGGAAGCGGGAATTCATACAAATTGCAGACTGCAGCGTTCTGAGAAACATCTTTGTGATGTTTGTATTCAGGACAGAGAGTTGAACATTCCCTATCATAGAGCAGGTTGGAATCACTCCTTTTATAGTATCTGGAAGTGGACATTTGGAGCGCTTTCAGGCCTATGTTGAAAAAGGAAATATCTTCCCATAACAACTAGACACAAGCATTCTCAGAAACTTATTTGAGATGTGTGTACTCAACTAAGAGAATTGAACCACCGTTTTGAAGGAGCAGTTTTGAAACTCTCTTTTTCTGGAATCTGCAAGTGGATATTTGGCTAGCTTTGGGGATTTCGCTGGAAGCGGGAATACATATAAAAAGCACACAGCAGCGTTCTGAGAAACTGCTTTCTGATGTTTGCATTCAAGTCAAAAGTTGAACACTCCCTTTCATAGAGCAGTCTTGAAACACCCCTTTTGTAGTATCTGGAACTGGACTTTTGGAGCGATTTCAGGGCTAAGGTGAAAAAGGAAATATCTTCCCATAAAAACTGGACAGAAGCATTCTCAGAAACTTGTTTATGCTGTATCTACTCAACTAACAAAGTTGAACCTTTCTTTTGATAGAGCAGTTTTGAAATGGTCTTTTTGTGGAATCTGCAAGTGGATATTTGGCTAGTTTTGAGGATTTCGTTGGAAGCGGGAATTCATACAAATTGCAGACTGCAGCGTTCTGAGAAACATCTTTGTGATGTTTGTATTCAGGACACAGAGTTGAACATTCCCTATCATAGAGCAGGTTGGAATCACTCCTTTTGTAGTATCTGGAAGTGGACATTTGGAGCGCTTTCAGGCCTATTTTGGAAAGGGAAATATCTTCCCGTAACAACTATGCAGAAGCATTCTCAGAAACTTGTTTGTGATGTGTGCCCTCTACTGACAGAGTTGAACCTTTCTTTTCATAGAGCAGTTTTGAAACACTCTTTTTGTAGAATCTGCAAGAGGATATTTGCATAGCTTTGAGGATTTCGTGGGAAACGGGATTGTCTTCAGGTAAAATCTAGACAGAAGTATTCTCAGAAACTTCTTTGGGATGTTTGCATTCAAGTCACAGAGTAGAACATTCCCTTTGGTAGAGCAGGTTTGAAACACTCTTTTTGTAGTATCTGGAAGTGGACATTTGGAGCGCTTTCAGGCCCATGTTGGAAAGGGAAATATCTTCCCGTAACAACTAGGCAGAAGCATTCTCAGAAACTTATTTGAGATGTGTGTACTCAACTAAGAGAATTGAACCACCGTTTTGAAGGAGCAGTTTTGAAACACTCTTTTTCTGGAATCTGCAAGAGTATATCTTCCTAGCTTTGTGGATTTCGTTGGAAACGGGATTGTCTTCAGATAAAATCTAGACAGAAGCATTCTCAGAAACTTCTTTGGGATGTTTGCATTCAAGTCACAGAGTAGAACATTCCCTTTGGTAGAGCAGGTTTGAAACACTCTTTTTTTAGTATATGGAAGTGGACATTTGGAGCGCTTTCAGGCCTACGTTGGAAAAGGAAATATCTTCCCATAACAACTAGACAGAAGCATTCTCAGAAACTAGTTTCTGATGTGTGTCCTCAACTAACACAGTTGAACTTTTCTTTAGACAGAACAGTTTTGAAACACTCTTTTTGTGGAATCTGCAAGTGGATATTGGACTAGATTTGAGGATTTCGTTGGAAACGGGATTACATATAAAAAGCAGTCAGCAGCATTCTCAGAAAGTTCTTTGTGATGATTGCATTCAAGTCACAGAATTGAACATTCCCTTTCACAGAGCAGGTTTGAAACACTCTTTTTGTAGTGTGTGTAAGTGGACATTTGGAGCGCTTTCCGGCCTAAGGTGAAAAAGGACATATCTTCCCATAAAAACTAGACAGAAGCATTCTCAGAAACTTACTCGTGATGTGTGTCCTCAACTAAAGGAGTAGAACCTTTCTATTCATGGAGAAGTTTTGAAACGCTCTTTTTGTGGAATCTCCAAGTGGATATTTGGCTAGTTTTGAGGATTTCGTTGGAAGCGGGAATTCATACAAATTGCAGACTGCAGCGTTCTGAGAAACATCTTTGTGATGTTTGTATTCAAGACACAGAGATGAACATTCCCTATCATAGAGCATGTTGGAATCACTCCTTTTGTAGTATCTGGAAGTGGACATTTGGAGCGCTTTCAGGCCTATGTTGAAAAAGGAAATATCTTCCCATAACAACTAGACACAAGCATTCTCAGAAACTTGTTTGTGATGTGTGCCCTCTACTGACAGAGTTGAACCTTTCTTTTCATAGAGCAGTTTTGAAACACTCTTTTTGTAGAATCCGCAAGAGGATATTTGCATAGCTTTGAGGATTTCGTGGGAAACGGGATTGTCTTCAGGTAAAATCTAGACAGAAGCATTCTCAGAAACTTCTTTGGGATGTTTGCATTCAAGTCACAGAGTAGAACATTCCCTTTGGTAGAGCAGGTTTGAAACACTCTTTTTGTAGTATCTGGAAGTGGACATTTGGAGCGCTTTCAGGCCCATGTTGGAAAGGGAAATATCTTCCCGTAACAACTAGGCAGAAGCATTCTCAGAAACTTATTTGAGATGTGTGTACTCAACTAAGACAATTGAACCACCGTTTTGAAGGAACAGTTTTGAAACACTCTTTTGCTGGAATCTGCAAGAGTATATTTGCCTAGCCTTGAGGATTTCGTTGGAAACGGGATTGTCTTCAGATAAAATCTAGACAGAAGCATTCTCAGAAACTTCTTTGGGATGTTTGCATTCAAGTCACAGAGTAGAACATTCCCTTTGGTAGAGCAGGTTTGAAACACTCTTTTTTTAGTATATGGAAGTGGACATTTGGAGCGCTTTCAGGCCTACGTTGGAAAAGGAAATATCTTCCCATAACAACTAGACAGAAGCATTCTCAGAAACTAGTTTCTGATGTGTGTCCTCAACTAACACAGTTGAACTTTTCTTTAGACAGAACAGTTTTGAAACACTCTTTTTGTGGAATCTGCAAGTGGATATTGGGCTACATTTGAGGATTTCGTTGGAAACGGGATTACATATAAAAAGCAGACAGCAGCATTCTCAGAAAGTTCTTTGTGATGATTGCATTCAAGTCACAGAATTGAACATTCCCTTTCACAGAGCAGGTTTGAAACACTCTTTTTGTAGTGTGTGTAAGTGGACATTTGGAGCGCTTTCCGGCCTAAGGTGAAAAAGGACATATCTTCCCATAAAAACTAGACAGAAGCATTCTCAGAAACTTACTCGTGATGTGTGTCCTCAACTAAAGGAGTAGAACCTTTCTTTTCATAGAGAAGTTTTGAAACGCTCTTTTTGTGGAATCTGCAAGTGGATATTTGGCTAGTTTTGAGGATTTCGTTGGAAGCGGGAATTCATACAAATTGCAGACTGCAGCGTTCTGAGAAACATCTTTGTGATGTTTGTATTCAGGACACAGAGTTGAACATTCCCTATCATAGAGCAGGTTGGAATCACTCCTTTTGTAGTATCTGGAAGTGGACATTTGGAGCGCTTTCAGGCCTATTTTGGAAAGGGAAATATCTTCCCGTAACAACTATGCAGAAGCATTCTCAGAAACTTATTTGAGATGTGTGTACTCAACTAAGAGAATTGAACCACCGTTTTGAAGGAGCAGTTTTGAAACTCTCTTTTTCTGGAATCTGCAAGTGGATATTTGGCTAGCTTTGGGGATTTCGCTGGAAGCGGGAATACATATAAAAAGCACACAGCAGCGTTCTGAGAAACTGCTTTCTGATGTTTGCATTCAAGTCAAAAGTTGAACACTCCCTTTCATAGAGCAGTCTTGAAACACCCCTTTTGTAGTATCTGGAACTGGACTTTTGGAGCGATTTCAGGGCTAAGGTGAAAAAGGAAATATCTTCCCATAAAAACTGGACAGAAGCATTCTCAGAAACTTGTTTATGCTGTATCTACTCAACTAACAAAGTTGAACCTTTCTTTTGATAGAGCAGTTTTGAAATGGTCTTTTTGTGGAATCTGCAAGTGGATATTTGGCTAGTTTTGAGGATTTCGTTGGAAGCGGGAATTCATACAAATTGCAGACTGCAGCGTTCTGAGAAACATCTTTGTGATGTTTGTATTCAGGACACAGAGTTGAACATTCCCTATCATAGAGCAGGTTGGAATCACTCCTTTTGTAGTATCTGGAAGTGGACATTTGGAGCGCTTTCAGGCCTATTTTGGACAGGGAAATATCTTCCCATAACAACTATGCAGAAGCATTCTCAGAAACTTGTTTGTGATGTGTGCCCTCTACTGACAGAGTTGAACCTTTCTTTTCATAGAGCAGTTTTGAAACACAATTTTTGTAGAATCTGCAAGAGGATATTTGCATAGCTTTGAGGATTTCGTGGGAAACGGGATTGTCTTCAGGTAAAATCTAGACAGAAGCATTCTCAGAAACTTCTTTGGGATGTTTGCATTCAAGTCACAGAGTAGAACATTCCCTTTGGTAGAGCAGGTTTGAAATCCTCTTTTTGTAGTATCTGGAAGTGGACATTTGGAGCGCTTTCAGGCCCATGTTGGAAAGGGAAATATCTTCCCGTAAAAACTAGGCAGAAGCATTCTCAGAAACTTATTTGAGATGTGTGTACTCAACTAAGAGAATTGAACCACCCTTTTGAAGGAGCAGTTTTGAAACACTCTTTTTCTGGAATCTGCAAGAGTATATTTGCCTAGCCTTGAGGATTTCGTTGGAAACGGGATTGTCTTCAGATAAAATCTAGACAGAAGCATTTTCAGAAACTTCTTTGGGATGTTTGCATTCAAGTCACAGAGTAGAACATTCCCTTTGGTAGAGCAGGTTTGAAACACTCTTTTTTTAGTATATGGAAGTGGACATTTGGAGCGCTTTCAGGCCTACGTTGGAAAAGGAAATATCTTCCCATAACAACTAGACAGAAGCATTCTCAGAAACTAGTTTCTGATGTGTGTCCTCAACTAACACAGTTGAACATTTCTTTAGACAGAACAGTTTTGAAACACTCTTTTTGTGGAATCTGCAAGTGGCTATTTGGCTAGATTTGAGGATTTCGTTGGAAACGGGATTACATATAAAAAGCAGACAGCAGCATTCTCAGAAAGTTCTTTGTGATGATTGCATTCAAGTCACAGAATTGAACATTCCCTTTCACAGAGCAGGTTTGAAACACACTTTTTGTAGTGTGTGTAAGTGGACATTTGGAGCACTTTCCGGCCTAAGGTGAAAAAGGAAATATCTTCCCATAAAAACTAGACAGAAGCACTCTCAGAAACTTACTCGTGATGTGTGTCCTCAACTAAAGGAGTAGAACCTTTCTTTTCATAGAGAAGTTTTGAAACGCTCTTTTTGTGGAATCTGCAAGTGGATATTTGGCTAGTTTTGAGGATTTCGTTGGAAGCGGGAATTCATACAAATTGCAGACTGCAGCGTTCTGAGAAACATCTTTGTGATGTTTGTATTCAGGACACAGAGTTGAACATTCCCTATCATAGAGCAGGTTTGAATCACTCCTTTTGTAGTATCTGGAAGTGGACATTTGGAGCGCTTTCAGGCCTATGTTGGAAAAGGAAATATCTTCCCATAACAACTAGACAGAAGCATTCTCAGAAACTTATTTGAGATGTGTGTACTCAACTAAGAGAATTGAACCACCGTTTTGAAGGAGCAGTTTTGAAACACTCTTTTTCTGGAATCTGCAAGTGGATATTTGGCTAGCTTTGGGGATTTCGCTGGAAGCGGGAATACATATAAAAAGCACACAGCAGCGTTCTGAGAAACTGCTTTCTGATGTTTGCATTCAAGTCAAAAGTTGAACACTCCCTTTCATAGAGCAGTCCTGAAACACTCCTTTTGTAGTATCTGGAACTGGACTTTTGGAGCGCTTTCAGGGCTAAGGTGAAAAAGGAAATATCTTCCCATAAAAACTGGACAGAAGCATTCTCAGAAACTTGTTTATGCTGTATCTACTCTACTAACAAAGTTGAACCTTTCTTTTGATAGAGCAGTTTTGAAATGCTCTTTTTGTGGAATCTGCAAGTGGATATTTGGCTAGATTTGAGGATTTCGTTTGAAGCTGGAATTCATACAAATTGCAGACTGCAGCGTTCTGAGAAACATCTTTGTGATGTTTGTATTCAGGACACAGAGTTGAACATTCCCTATCATAGAGCAGGTTGGAATCACTCCTTTTGTAGTATCTGGAAGTGGACATTTGGAGCGCTTTCAGGCCTATGTTGAAAAAGGAAATATCTTCCCATAACAACTAGACACAAGCATTCTCAGAAACTTGTTTGTGATGTGTGCCCTCTACTGACAGAGTTGAACCTTTCTTTTCATAGAGCAGTTTTGAAACACTCTTTTTGTAGAATCTGCAAGAGGATATTTGCATAGCTTTGAGGATTTCGTGGGAAACGGGATTGTCTTCAGGTAAAATCTAGACAGAAGCATTCTCAGAAACTTCTTTGGGATGTTTGCATTCAAGTCACAGAGTAGAACATTCCCTTTGGTAGAGCTGGTTTCAAACACTCTTTTTGTAGTATCTGGAAGTGGACATTTGGAGCGCTTTCAGGCCCATGTTGGAAAGGGAAATATCTTCCCTTAACAACTAGGCAGAAGCATTCTCAGAAACTTATTTGAGATGTGTATACTCAACTAAGAGAATTGAACCACCGTTTTGAAGGAGCAGTTTTGAAACACTCTTTTTCTGGAATCTGCAAGAGGATATTTGCCTAGCCTTGAGGATTTCGTTGGAAACGGGATTGTCTTCAGATAAAATCTAGACAGAAGCATTCTCAGAAACTTCTTTGGGATCTTTGCATTCAAGTCACAGAGTAGAACATTCCCTTTGGTAGAGCAGGTTTGAAACACTCTTTTTTTAGTATATGGAAGTGGACATTTGGAGCGCTTTCAGGCCTACGTTGGAAAAGGAAATATGTTACCATAACAACTAGACAGAAGCATTCTCAGAAACTAGTTTCTGATGTGTGTCCTCAACTAACACAGTTGTACATTTCTTTAGACAGAACAGTTTTGAAACAGTCTTTTTGTGGAATCTGCAAGTGCATATTTGGCCAGATTTGAGGATTTCGTTGGAAACGGGATTACGTATAAAAAGCAGTCAGCAGCATTCTCAGAAAGTTCTTTGTGATGATTGCATTCAAGTCACAGAATTGAACATTCCCTTTCACAGAGCAGGTTTGAAACACTCTTTTTGTAGTGTGTGTAAGCGGTCATTTGGAGCACTTTCCGGCCTAAGGTGGAAAAGGAAATATCTTCCCATAAAAACTAGACAGAAAGCATTCTCAGAAACTTACTCGTGATGTGTGTCCTCAACTAAAGGTGTAGAACCTTTCTTTTCATAGAGAAGTTTTGAAACGCTCTTTTTGTGGAATCTGCAAGTGGATATTTGGCTAGTTTTGAGGATTTCGTTGGAAGCGGGAATTCATACAAATTGCAGACTGAGCGTTCTGAGAAACATCTTTGTGATGTTTGTATTCAGGACACAGAGTTGAACATTCCCTATCATAGAGCAGGTTGGAATCACTCCTTTTGTAGTATCTGGAAGTGGACATTTGGAGCGCTTTCAGGCCTATGTTGAAAAAGGAAATATCTTCCCATAACAACTAGACACAAGCATTCTCAGAAACTTCTTTGGGATGTTTGCATTCAAGTCACAGAGTAGAACATTCCCTTTGGTAGAGCAGGTTTGAAACACTCTTTTTGTAGTATCTGGAAGTGGACATTTGGAGCGCTTTCAGGCCTATGTTGGAAAGGGAAATATCTTCCCGTAACAACTAGGCAGAATCATTCTCAGAAACTTATTTGAGATGTGTGTACTCAACTAAGAGAATTGAACCACCGTTTTGAAGGAGCAGTTTTGAAACACTCTTTTTCTGGAATCTGCAAGAGGATATTTGCCTAGCCTTGAGGATTTCGTTGGAAACGGGATTGTCTTCAGATCAAATCTAGACAGAAGCATTCTCAGAAACTTCTTTGGGATGTTTGCATTCAAGTCACAGAGTAGAACATTCCCTTTGGTAGAGCAGGTTTGAAACACTCTTTCTTTAGTATATGGAAGTGGACATTTGGAGCGCTTTCAGGCCTACGTTGGAAAAGGAAATATCTTCCCATAACAACTAGACAGAAGCATTCTCAGAAACTAGTTTCTGATGTGTGTCCTCAACTAACACAGTTGAACATTTCTTTAGACAGAACAGTTTTGAAACACTCTTTTTGTGGAATCTGCAAGTGGCTATTTGGCTAGATTTGAGGATTTCGTTGGAAACGGGATTACATGTAAAAAGCAGACAGCAGCATTCTCAGAAAGTTCTTTGTGATGATTGCATTCAAGTCACAGAATTGAACATTCCCTTTCACAGAGCAGGTTTGAAACACTCTTTTTGTAGTGTGTGTAAGTGGACATTTGGAGCACTTTCCGGCCTAAGGTGAAAAAGGAAATATCTTCCCATAAAAACTAGACAGAAGCATTCTCAGAAACTTACTCGTGATGTGTGTCCTCAACTAAAGGAGTAGAACCTTTCTTTTCATAGAGAAGTTTTGAAACGCTCTTTTTGTGGAATCTGCAAGTGGATATTTGGCTAGTTTGGAGGATTTCGTTGGAAGCGGGAATTCATACAAATTGCAGACTGCAGCGTTCTGAGAAACATCTTTGTGATGTTTGTATTCAGGACACAGAGTTGAACATTCCCTATCATAGAGCAGGTTTGAATCACTCCTTTTGTAGTATCTGGAAGTGGACATTTGGAGCGCTTTCAGGCCTATGTTGGAAAAGGAAATATCTTCCCATAACAACTAGACAGAAGCATTCTCAGAAACTTATTTGAGATGTGTGTACTCAACTAAGAGAATTGAACCACCGTTTTGAAGGAGCAGTTTTGAAACACTCTTTTTCTGAAATCTGCAAGTGGCTATTTGGCTAGCTTTGGGGATTTCGCTGGAAGCGGGAATACATATAAAAAGCACACAGCAGCGTTCTGAGAAACTGCTTTCTGATGTTTGCATTCAAGTCAAAAGTTGAACACTCCCTTTCATAGAGCAGTCTTGAAACACCCCTTTTGTAGTATCTGGAACTGGACTTTTGGAGCGATTTCAGGGCTAAGGTGAAAAAGGAAATATCTTCCCATAAAAACTGGACAGAAGCATTCTCAGAAACTTGTTTATGCTGTATCTACTCAACTAACAAAGTTGAACCTTTCTTTTGATAGAGCAGTTTTGAAATGGTCTTTTTGTGGAATCTGCAAGTGGATATTTGGCTAGTTTTGAGGATTTCGTTGGAAGCGGGAATTCATACAAATTGCAGACTGCAGCGTTCTGAGAAACATCTTTGTGATGTTTGTATTCAGGACACAGAGTTGAACATTCCCTATCATAGAGCAGGTTGGAATCACTCCTTTTGTAGTATCTGGAAGTGGACATTTGGAGCGCTTTCAGGCCTATTTTGGAAAGGGAAATATCTTCCCGTAACAACTATGCAGAAGCATTCTCAGAAACTTGTTTGTGATGTGTGCCCTCTACTGACAGAGTTGAACCGTTCTTTTCATAGAGCAGTTTTGAAACACTCTTTTTGTAGAATCTTCAAGAGGATATTTGCATAGCTTTGAGGATTTCGTGGGAAACGGGATTGTCTTCAGGTAAAATCTAGACAGAAGCATTCTCAGAAACTTCTTTGGGATGTTTGCATTCAAGTCACAGAGTAGAACATTCCCTTTGGTAGAGCAGGTTTGAAACACTCTTTTTGTAGTATCTGGAAGTGGACATTTGGAGCGCTTTCAGGCCTATGTTGGAAAGGGAAATATCTTCCCGTAACAACTAGGCAGAAGCATTCTCAGAAACTTATTTGAGATGTGTGTACTCAACTAAGAGAATTGAACCACCGTTTTGAAGGAGCAGTTTTGAAACACTCTTTTTCTGGAATCTGCAAGAGGATATTTGCCTAGCCTTGAGGATTTCGTTGGAAACGGGATTGTCTTCAGATCAAATCTAGACAGAAGCATTCTCAGAAACTTCTTTGGGATGTTTGCATTCAAGTCACAGAGTAGAACATTCCCTTTGGTAGAGCAGGTTTGATACACTCTTTTTTTAGTATATGGAAGTGGACATTTGGAGCGCTTTCAGGTCTACGTTGGAAAAGGAAATATCTTCCCATAACAACTAGACAGAAGCATTCTCAGAAACTAGTTTCTGATGTGTGTCCTCAACTAACACAGTTGAACATTTCTTTAGACAGAACAGTTTTGAAACTCTCTTTTTGTGGAATCTGCAAGTGGCTATTTGGCTAGATTTGAGGATTTCGTTGGAAACGGGATTACATATAAAAAGCAGACAGCAGCATTCTCAGAAAGTTCTTTGTGATGATTGCATTCAAGTCACAGAATTGAGCATTCCCTTTCACAGAGCAGGTTTGAAACACTCTTTTTATAGTGTGTGTAAGTGGACATTTGGAGCACTTTCCGGCCTAAGGTGAAAAAGGAAATATCTTCCCATAAAAACTAGACAGAAGCATTCTCAGAAACTTACTCGTGATGTGTGTCCTCAACTAAAGGAGTAGAACCTTCCTTTTCATAGAGAAGTTTTGAAACGCTCTTTTTGTGGAATCTGCAAGTGGATATTTGGCTAGTTTTGAGGATTTCCGTTGGAAGCGGGAATTCATACAAATTGCAGACTGCAGCGTTCTGAGAAACATCTTTGTGATGTTTGTATTCAGGACACAGAGTTGAACATTCCCTATCATAGAGCAGGTTTGAATCACTCCTTTTGTAGTATCTGGAAGTGGACATTTGGAGCGCTTTCAGGCCTATGTTGGAAAAGGAAATATCTTCCCATAACAACTAGACAGAAGCATTCTCAGAAACTTATTTGAGATGTGTGTACTCAACTAAGAGAATTGAACCACCGTTTTGAAGGAGCAGTTTTGAAACACTCTTTTTCTGGAATCTGCAAGTGGATATTTGGCTAGATTTGGGGATTTCGCTGGAAGCGGGAATACATATAAAAAGCACACAGCAGCGTTCTGAGAAACTGCTTTCTGATGTTTGCATTCAAGTCAAAAGTTGAACACTCCCTTTCATAGAGCAGTCTTGAAACACCCCTTTTGTAGTATCTGGAACTGGACTTTTGGAGCGATTTCAGGGCTAAGGTGAAAAAGGAAATATCTTCCCATAAAAACTGGACAGAAGCATTCTCAGAAACTTGTTTATGCTGTATCTGCTCAACTAACAAAGTTGAACCTTTCTTTTGATAGAGCAGTTTTGAAATGCTCTTTTTGTGGAATCTGCAAGTGGATATTTGGCTAGTTTTGAGGATTTCGTTGGAAGCGGGAATTCATACAAATTGCAGACTGCAGCGTTCTGAGAAACATCTTTGTGATGTTTGTACTCAGGACACAGAGTTGAACATTCCCTATCATAGAGCAGGTTGGGATCACTCCTTTTGTAGTATCTGGAAGTGGACATTTGGAGCGCTTTCAGGCCTATGTTGAAAAAGGAAAAATCTTCCCATAACAACTAGACAGAAGCATTCTCAGAAACTTGTTGGTGATGTGTTTCCTCTACTGACAGAGTTGAACCTTTCTTTTCATAGAGCAGTTTCGAAACACTCTTTTTGTAGAATCTGCAAGAGGATATTTGCATAGCTCTGAGGATTTCGTGGGAAACGGGATTGTCTTCAGGTAAAATCTAGACAGAAGCATTCTCAGAAACTTCTTCGGGATGTTTGCATTCAAGTCACAGAGTAGAACATTCCCTTTGGTAGAGCAGGTTTGAAACACTCTTTTTGTCGTATCTGGAAGTGGACATTTGTTGCGCTTTCAGGCCTATGTTGGAAAGGGAAATATCTTCCCGTAACAACTACGCAGAAGCATTCTCAGAAACTTATTTGAGATGTGTGTACTCAACTAAGAGAATTGAACCACCGTTTTGAAGGAGCAGTTTGGAAACACTCTTTTTCTGGAATCTGCAAGAGGATATTTGCCTAGCTTTGAGGATTTCGTTGGAAAAGGGATTGTCTTCAGATCAAATCTAGACAGAAGCATTCTCAGAAACTTCTTTGGGATGTTTGCATTCAAGTCACAGAGTAGAACATTCCTTTGGTAGAGCAGGTTTGAAACACTCTTTTTTTAGTATATGGAAGTGGACATTTGGAGCGCTTTCAGGCCTACGTTGGAAAAGGAAATATCTTCCCATAACAACTAGACAGAAGCATTCTCAGAAACTAGTTTCTGATGTGTGTCCTCAACTAACACAGTTGAACATTTCTTTAGACAGAATAGTTTTGAAACACTCTTTTTGTGGAATCTGCAAGTGGATATTTGGCTAGATTTCAGGATTTCGTTGGAAACGGGATTACATATAAAAAGCAGACAGCAGCATTCTCAGAAACTTCTTTGTGATGATTGCATTCAAGTCACAGAATTGAACATTCCCTTTCACAGAGCAGGTTTGAAACACTCTTTTTGTAGTGTGTGTAAGTGGACATTTGGAGCGCTTTCCGGCCTAAGGTGAACAAGGAAATATCTTCCCATAAAAACTAGACAGAAGCATTCTCAGAAACTTACTCGTGATGTGTGTCCTCAACTAAAGGAGTAGAACCTTTCTTTTCATAGAGAAGTTTTGAAACGCTCTTTTTGTGGAATCTGCAAGTGGATATTTGGCTAGTTTGGAGGATTTCGTTGGAAGCGGGAATTCATACAAGATGCAGACTGCAGCGTTCTGAGAAACATCTTTGTGATGTTTGTATTCAGGACACAGAGTTGAACATTCCCTATCATAGAGCAGGTTTGAATCACTCCTTTTCTAGTATCTGGAAGTGGACATTTGGAGCGCTTTCAGGCCTATGTTGGAAAAGGAAATATCTTCCCATAACAAATAGACAGAAGCATTCTCAGAAACTTATTTGAGATGTGTGTACTCAACTAAGAGAATTGAACCACCGTTTTGAAGGAGCAGTTTTGAAACACTCTTTTTCTGGAATCTGCAAGTGGATATTTGGCTAGCTTTGGGGATTTCGCTGGAGGCGGGAATACATATAAAAAGCACACAGCAGCGTTCTGAGAAACTGCTTTCTGATGTTTGCATTCAAGTCAAAAGTTGAACACTCCCTTTCATAGAGCAGTCCTGAAACACTCCTTTTGTAGTATCTGGAACTGGACTTTTGGAGCGCTTTCAGGGCTAAGGTGAAAAAGGAAATATCTTCCCATAAAAACTGGACAGAAGCATTCTCAGAAACTTTTTTATGCTGTATCTACTCAACTAACAAAGTTGAACCTTTCTTTTGATAGAGCAGTTTTGAAATGCTCTTTTTGTGGAATCTGCAAGTGGATATTTGGCTAGTTTTGAGGATTTCGTTGGAAGCGGGAATTCATACAAATTGCAGACTGCAGCGTTCTGAGAAACATCTTTGTGATGTTTGTATTCAGGACACAGAGTTGAACATTCCCTATCATAGAGCAGGTTTGAATCACTCCTTTTGTAGTATCTGGAAGTGGACATTTGGAGCGCTTTCAGGCCTATGTTGGAAAAGGAAATATCTTCCCATAACAACTAGACAGAAGCATTCTCAGAAACTTATTTGAGATGTGTGTACTCAACTAAGAGAATTGAACCACCGTTTTGAAGGAGCAGTTTTGAAACACTCTTTTTCTGGAATCTGCAAGTGGATATTTGGCTAGCTTTGGGGATTTCGCTGGAAGCGGGAATACATATAAAAAGCACACAGCAGCGTTCTGAGAAACTGCTTTCTGATGTTTGCATTCAAGTCAAAAGTTGAACACTCCCTTTCATAGAGCAGTCTTGAAACACCCCTTTTGTAGTATCTGGAACTGGACATTTGGAGCGCTTTCAGGGCTAAGGTGAAAAAGGAAATATCTTCCCATAAAAACTGGACAGAAGCATTCTCAGAAACTTGTTTATGCTGTATCTACTCAACTAACAAAGTTGAACCTTTCTTTTGAAAGAGCAGTTTTGAAATGCTCTTTTTGTGGAATCTGCAAGTGGATATTTGGCTAGGTTAGAGGATTTCGTTGGAAGCGGGAATTCATACAAATTGCAGACTGCAGCGTTCTGAGAAACATCTTTGTGATGTTTGTATTCAGGACACAGAGTTGAACATTCCCTATCATCGAGCAGGTTGGAATCACTCCTTTTGTAGTATCTGGAAGTGGACATTTGGAGCGCTTTCAGGCCTATGTTGAAAAAGGAAATATCTTCCTATAACAACTAGGCAGAAGCATTCTCAGAAACTTGTTTGTGATGTGTGCCCTCTACTGACAGAGTTGAACCTTTCTTTTCATAGAGCAGTTTCGAAACACTCTTTTTGTAGAATCTGCAAGAGGATATTTGCATAGCTTTGAGGATTTCGTGGGAAACGGGATTGTCTTCAGGTAAAATCTAGACAGAAGCATTCTCAGAAAATTCTTCGGGATGTTTGCATTCAAGTCACAGAGTAGAACATTCCCTTTGGTAGAGCAGGTTTGAAACACTCTTTTTGTAGTATCTGGAAGTGGACATTTGGAGCGCTTTCAGGCCTATGTTGGAAAGGGAAATATCTTCCCGTAACAACTAGGCAGAAGCATTCTCAGAAACTTATTTGAGATGTGTGTACTCAACTAAGAGAATTGAACCACCGTTTTGAAGGAGCAGTTTTGAAACACTCTTTTTCTGGAATCTGCAAGAGGATATTTGCCTAGCCTTGAGGATTTCGTTGGAAACGGGATTGTCTTCAGATCAAATCTAGACAGAAGCATTCTCAGAAACTTCTTTGGGATGTTTGCATTCAAGTCACAGAGTAGAACATTCCCTTTGGTAGAGCAGGTTTGAAACACTCTTTTTTTAGTATATGGAAGTGGACATTTGGAGCGCTTTCAGGCCTACGTTGGAAAAGGAAATATCTTCCCATAACAACTAGACAGAAGCATTCTCAGAAACTAGTTTCTGATGTGTGTCCTCAACTAACACAGTTGAACATTTCTTTAGACAGAACAGTTTTGAAACACTCTTTTTGTGGTATCTGCAAGTGGCTATTTGGCTAGATTTGAGGATTTCGTTGGAAACGGGATTACATATAAAAAGCAGACAGCAGCATTCTCAGAAAGTTCTTTGTGATGATTGCATTCAAGTCACAGAATTGAACATTCCCTTTCACAGAGCAGGTTTGAAACACTCTTTTTATAGTGTGTGTAAGTGGACATTTGGAGCACTTTCCGGCCTAAGGTGAAAAAGGAAATATCTTCCCATAAAAACTAGACAGAAGCATTCTCAGAAACTTACTCGTGATGTGTGTCCTCAACTAAAGGAGTAGAACCTTTGTTTTCATAGAGAAGTTTTGAAACGCTCTTTTTGTGGAATCTGCAAGTGGATATTTGGCTAGTTTGGAGGATTTCGTTGGAAGCGGGAATTCATACAAATTGCAGACTGCAGCGTTCTGAGAAACATCTTTGTGATGTTTGTATTCAGGACACAGAGTTGAACATTCCCTATCATAGAGCAGGTTTGAATCACTCCTTTTGTAGTATCTGGAAGTGGACATTTGGAGCGCTTTCAGGCCTATGTTGGAAAAGGAAATATCTTCCCATAACAACTAGACAGAAGCATTCTCAGAAACTTATTTGAGATGTGTGTACTCAACTAAGAGAATTGAACCACCGTTTTGAAGGAGCAGTTTTGAAACACTCTTTTTCTGGAATCTGCAAGTGGATATTTGGCTAGCTTTGGGGATTTCGCTGGAAGCGGGAATACATATAAAAAGCACACAGCAGCGTTCTGAGAAACTGCTTTCTGATGTTTGCATTCAAGTCAAAAGTTGAACACTCCCTTTCATAGAGCAGTCTTGAAACACCCCTTTTGTAGTATCTGGAACTGTTCTTTTGGAGCGATTTCAGGGCTAAGGTGAAAAAGGAAATATCTTCCCATAAAAACTGGACAGAAGCATTCTCAGAAACTTGGTTATGCTGTATCTACTCAACTAACAAAGTTGAACCTTTCTTTTGATAGAGCAGTTTTGAAATGGTCTTTTTGTGGAATCTGCAAGTGGATATTTGGCTAGTTTTGAGGATTTCGTTGGAAGCGGGAATTCATACAAATTGCAGACTGCAGCGTTCTGAGAAACATCTTTGTGATGTTTGTATTCAGGACACAGAGTTGAACATTCCCTATCATAGAGCAGGTTGGAATCACTCCTTTTGTAGTATCTGGAAGTGGACATTTGGAGCGCTTTCAGGCCTATGTTGGAAAAGGAAATATCTTCCCATAACAACTAGACAGAAGCATTCTCAGAAACTTATTTGAGATGTGTGTACTCAACTAAGAGAATTGAACCACCGTTTTGAAGGAGCAGTTTTGAAACTCTCTTTTTCTGGAATCTGCAAGTGGATATTTGGCTAGCTTTGGGGATTTCGCTGGAAGCGGGAATACATATAAAAAGCACACAGCAGCGTTCTGAGAAACTGCTTTCTGATGTTTGCATTCAAGTCAAAAGTTGAACACTCCCTTTCATAGAGCAGTCTTGAAACACCCCTTTTGTAGTATCTGGAACTGGACTTTTGGAGCGATTTCAGGGCTAAGGTGAAAAAGGAAATATCTTCCCATAAAAACTGGACAGAAGCATTCTCAGAAACTTGTTTATGCTGTATCTACTCAACTAACAAAGGTGAACCTTTCTTTTGATAGAGCAGTTTTGAAATGGTCTTTTTGTGGAATCTGCAAGTGGATATTTGGCTAGTTTTGAGGATTTCGTTGGAAGCGGGAATTCATACAAATTGCAGACTGCAGCGTTCTGAGAAACATCTTTGTGATGTTTGTATTCAGGACACAGAGTTGAACATTCCCTATCATAGAGCAGGTTGGAATCACTCCTTTTGTAGTATCTGGAAGTGGACATTTGGAGCGCTTTCAGGCCTATTTTGGAAAGGGAAATATCTTCCCGTAACAACTATGCAGAAGCATTCTCAGAAACTTGTTTGTGATGTGTGCCCTCTACTGACAGAGTTGAACCTTTCTTTTCATAGAGCAGTTTTGAAACACTCTTTTTGTAGAATCTGCAAGAGGATATTTGCATAGCTTTGAGGATTTCGTGGGAAACGGGATTGTCTTCAGGTAAAATCTAGACAGAAGCATTCTCAGAAACTTCTTTGGGATGTTTGCATTCAAGTCACAGAGTAGAACATTCCCTTTGGTAGAGCAGGTTTGAAACACTCTTTTTGTAGTATCTGGAAGTGGACATTTGGAGCGCTTTCAGGCCCATGTTGGAAAGGGAAATATCTTCCCGTAACAACTAGGCAGAAGCATTCTCAGAAACTTATTTGAGATGTGTGTACTCAACTAAGAGAATTGAACCACCGTTTTGAAGGAGCAGTTTTGAAACACTCTTTTTCTGGAATCTGCAAGAGTATATTTGCCTAGCCTTGAGGATTTCGTTGGAAACGGGATTGTCTTCAGAGAAAATCTAGACAGAAGCATTCTCAGAAACTTCTTTGGGATGTTTGCATTCAAGTCACAGAGTAGAACATTCCCTTTGGTAGAGCAGGTTTGAAACACTCTTTTTTTAGTATATGGAAGTGGACATTTGGAGCGCTTTCAGGCCTACGTTGGAAAAGGAAATATCTTCCCATAACAACTAGACAGAAGCATTCTCAGAAACTAGTTTCTGATGTGTGTCCTCAACTAACACAGTTGAACATTTCTTTAGACAGAACAGTTTTGAAACACTCTTTTTGTGGAATCTGCAAGTGGCTATTTGGCTAGATTTGAGGATTTCGTTGGAAACGGGATTACATATAAAAAGCAGTCAGCAGCATTCTCAGAAAGTTCTTTGTGATGATTGCATTCAAGTCACAGAATTGAACATTCCCTTTCACAGAGCAGGTTTGAAACACTCTTTTTGTAGTGTGTGTAAGTGGACATTTGGAGCACTTTCCGGCCTAAGGTGAAAAAGGAAATATCTTCCCATAAAAACTAGACACAAGCATTCTCAGAAAGTTACTCGTGATGTGTGTCCTCAACTAAAGGAGTAGAACCTTTCTATTCATAGAGAAGGTTTGAAACGCTCTTTTTGTGGAATCTCCAAGTGGATATTTGGCTAGTTTTGAGGATTTCGTTGGATGCGGGAATTCATACAAATTGCAGACTGCAGCGTTCTGAGAAACTGCTTTCTGATGTTTGCATTCAAGTCAAAAGTTGAACACTCCCTTTCATAGAGCAGTCCTGAAACACTCCTTTTGTAGTATCTGGAACTGGACTTTTGGAGCGCTTCAGGGCTAAGGTGAAAAAGGAAATATCTTCCCATAAAAACTGGACAGAAGCATTCTCAGAAACTTGTTTATGCTGTATCTACTCAACTAACAAAGTTGAACCTTTCTTTTGATAGAGCAGTTTTGAAATGCTCTTTTTGTGGAATCTGCAAGTGGATATTTGGCTAGTTTTGAGGATTTCGCTGGAAGCGGGAATTCATACAAATTGCAGACTGCAGCGTTCTGAGAAACATCTTTGTGATGTTTGTATTCAGGACAGAGAGTTGAACATTCCCTATCATAGAGCAGGTTGGAATCACTCCTTTTGTAGTATCTGGAAGTGGACATTTGGAGCGCTTTCAGGCCTATGTTGAAAAAGGAAATATCTTCCCATAACAACTAGACACAAGCATTCTCAGAAACTTGTTTGTGATGTGTGCCCTCTAGTGACAGAGTTGAACCTTTCTTTTCATAGAGCAGTTTTGAAACACTCTTTTTGTAGAATCTGCAAGAGGATATTTGCATAGCTTTGAGGATTTCGTGGGAAACGGGATTGTCTTCAGGTAAAATCTAGACAGAAGCATTCTCAGAAACTTCTTCGGGATGTTTGCATTCAAGTCACAGAGTAGAACATTACCTTTGGTAGAGCAGGTTTCAAACACTCTTTTTGTAGTATCTGGAAGTGGACATTTGGAGCGCTTTCAGGCCTATGTTGGAAAGGGAAATATCTTCCCGTAACAACTAGGCAGAAGCATTCTCAGAAACTTATTTGAGATGTGTGTACTCAACTAAGAGAATTGAACCACCGTTTTGAAGGAGCAGTTTTGAAACACTCTTTTTCTGGAATCTGCAAGAGGATATTTGCCTAGCCTTGAGGATTTCGTTGGAAACGGGATTGTCTTCAGATCAAATCTAGACAGAAGCATTCTCAGAAACTTCTTTGGGATGTTTGCATTCAAGTCACAGAGTAGAACATTCCCTTTGGTAGAGCAGGTTTGAAACACTCTTTTTTTAGTATATGGAAGTGGACATTTGGAGCGCTTTCAGGCCTACGTTGGAAAAGGAAATATCTTCCCATAACAACTAGACAGAAGCATTCTCAGAAACTAGTTTCTGATGTGTGTCCTCAACTAACACAGTTGAACATTTCTTTAGACAGAACAGTTTTGAAACTCTCTTTTTGTGGAATCTGCAAGTGGCTATTTGGCTAGATTTGAGGATTTCGTTGGAAACGGGATTACATATAAAAAGCAGACAGCAGCATTCTCAGAAAGTTCTTTGTGATGATTGCATTCAAGTCACAGAATTGAACATTCCCTTTCACAGAGCAGGTTTGAAACACTCTTTTTGTAGTGTGTGTAAGTGGACATTTGGAGCACTTTCCGGCCTAAGGTGAAAAAGGAAATATCTTCCCATAAAAACTAGACAGAAGCATTCTCAGAAACTTACTCGTGATGTGTGTCCTCAACTAAAGGAGTAGAACCTTTGTTTTCATAGAGAAGTTTTGAAACGCTCTTTTTGTGGAATCTGCAAGTGGATATTTGGCTAGTTTTGAGGATTTCGTTGGAAGCGGGAATTCATACAAATTGCAGACTGCAGCGTTCTGAGAAACATCTTTGTGATGTTTGTATTCAGGACACAGAGTTGAACATTCCCTATCATAGAGCAGGTTGGAATCACTCCTTTTGTAGTATCTGGAAGTGGACATTTGGAGCGCTTTCAGGCCTATGTTGGAAAAGGAAATATCTTCCCATAACAACTAGACAGAAGCATTCTCAGAAACTTATTTGAGATGTGTGTACTCAACTAAGAGAATTGAACCACCGTTTTGAAGGAGCAGTTTTGAAACACTCTTTTTCTGGAATCTGCAAGTGGATATTTGGCTAGCTTTGGGGATTTCGCTGGAAGCGGGAATACATATAAAAAGCACACAGCAGCGTTCTGAGAAACTGCTTTCTGATGTTTGCATTCAAGTCAAAAGTTGAACACTCCCTTTCATAGAGCAGTCCTGAAACACTCCTTTTGTAGTATCTGGAACTGCACTTTTGGAGCGCTTTCAGGGCTAAGGTGAAAAAGGAAATATCTTCCCATAAAAACTGGACAGAAGCATTCTCAGAAACTTGTTTATGCTGTATCTACTCAACTAACAAAGTTGAACCTTTCTTTTGATAGAGCAGTTTTGAAATGGTCTTTTTGTGGAATCTGCAAGTGGATATTTGGCTAGTTTTGAGGATTTCGTTGGAAGCGGGAATTCATACAAATTGCAGACTGCAGCGTTCTGAGAAACATCTTTGTGATGTTTGTATTCAGGACACAGAGTTGAACATTCCCTATCATAGAGCAGGTTGGAATCACTCCTTTTGTAGTATCTGGAAGTGGACATTTGGAGCGCTTTCAGGCCTATTTTGGAAAGGGAAATATCTTCCCGTAACAACTATGCAGAAGCATTCTCAGAAACTTGTTTGTGATGTGTGCCCTCTACTGACAGAGTTGAACCTTTCTTTTCATAGAGCAGTTTTGAAACACTCTTTTTGTAGAATCTGCAAGAGGATATTTGCATAGCTTTGAGGATTTCGTGGGAAACGGGATTGTCTTCAGGTAAAATCTAGACAGAAGCATTCTCAGAAACTTCTTTGGGATGTTTGCATTCAAGTCACAGAGTAGAACATTCCCTTTGGTAGAGCAGGTTTGAAACACTCTTTTTGTAGTATCTGGAAGTGGACATTTGGAGCGCTTTCAGGCCCATGTTGGAAAGGGAAATATCTTCCCGTAACAACTAGGCAGAAGCATTCTCAGAAACTTATTTGAGATGTGTGTACTCAACTAAGAGAATTGAACCACCGTTTTGAAGGAGCAGTTTTGAAACACTCTTTTTCTGGAATCTGCAAGAGTATATTTGCCTAGCCTTGAGGATTTCGTTGGAAACGGGATTGTCTTCAGAGAAAATCTAGACAGAAGCATTCTCAGAAACTTCTTTGGGATGTTTGCATTCAAGTCACAGAGTAGAACATTCCCTTTGGTAGAGCAGGTTTGAAACACTCTTTTTTTAGTATATGGAAGTGGACATTTGGATCGCTTTCAGGCCTACGTTGGAAAAGGAAATATCTTCCCATAACAACTAGACAGAAGCATTCTCAGAAACTAGTTTCTGATGTGTGTCCTCAACTAACACAGTTGAACATTTCTTTAGACAGAACAGTTTTGAAACACTCTTTTTGTGGAATCTGCAAGTGGCTATTTGGCTAGATTTGAGGATTTCGTTGGAAACGGGATTACATATAAAAAGCAGTCAGCAGCATTCTCAGAAAGTTCTTTGTGATGATTGCATTCAAGTCACAGAATTGAACATTCCCTTTCACAGAGCAGGTTTGAAACACTCTTTTTGTAGTGTGTGTAAGTGGACATTTGGAGCACTTACTGGCCTAAGGTGAAAAGGGAAATATCTTCCCATAAAAACTAGACAGAAGCATTCTCAGAAACTTACTCGTGATGTGTGTCCTCAACTAAAGGAGTAGAACCTTTCTTTTCATAGAGAAGTTTTGAAACGCTCTTTTTGTGGAATCTGCAAGTGGATATTTGGCTAGTTTGGAGGATTTCGTTGGAAGCGGGAATTCATACAAATTGCAGACTGCAGCGTTCTGAGAAACATCTTTGTGATGTTTGTATTCAGGACACAGAGTTGAACATTCCCTATCATAGAGCAGGTTTGAATCACTCCTTTTGTAGTATCTGGAAGTGGACATTTGGAGCGCTTTCAGGCCTATGTTGGAAAAGGAAATATCTTCCCATAACAACTAGACAGAAGCATTCTCAGAAACTTATTTGAGATGTGTGTACTCAACTAAGAGAATTGAACCACCGTTTTGAAGGAGCAGTTTTGAAACACTCTTTTTCTGGAATCTGCAAGTGGATATTTGGCTAGCTTTGGGGATTTCGCTGGATGCGGGAATACATATAAAAAGCACACAGCAGCGTTCTGAGAAACTGCTTTCTGATGTTTGCATTCAAGTCAAAAGTTGAACACTCCCTTTCATAGAGCAGTCCTGAAACACTCCTTTTGTAGTATCTGGAACTGGACTTTTGGAGCGCTTTCAGGGCTAAGGTGAAAAAGGAAATATCTTCCCATAAAAACTGGACAGAAGCATTCTCAGAAACTTACTCGTATTGTGTGTCCTCAACTAAAGGAGTAGAACCTTTCTTTTCATAGAGAAGTTTTGAAACGCTCTTTTTGTGGAATCTGCAAGTGGATATTTGGCTAGTTTTGAGGATTTCGTTGGAAGCGGGAATTCATACAAATTGCAGACTGCAGCGTTCTGAGAAACTGCTTTCTGATGTTTGCATTCAAGTCAAAAGTTGAACACTCCCTTTCATAGAGCAGTCCTGAAACACTCCTTTTGTAGTATCTGGAACTGGACTTTTGGAGCGCTTTCAGGGCTAAGGTGAAAAAGGAAATATCTTCCCATAAAAACTGGACAGAAGAATTCTCAGAAACTTGTTTATGCTGTATCTACTCTACTAAAAAAGTTGAACCTTTCTTTTGATAGAGCAGTTTTGAAATGCTCTTTTTGTGGAATCTGCAATTGGATATTTGGCTAGATTTGAGGATTTCGTTGGAAGCTGGAATACATACAAATTGCAGACTGCAGCGTTCTGAGAAACATCTTTGTGATGTTTGTATTCAGGACACAGAGTTGAACATTCCCTATCATAGAGCAGGTTGGAATCACTCCTTTTGTAGTATCTGGAAGTGGACATTTGGAGCGCTTTCTGGCCTATGTTGAAAAAGGAAATATCTTCCCATAACAACTAGACACAAGCATTCTCAGAAACTTGTTTGTGATGTGTGCCCTCTGCTGACAGAGTTGAACCTTTCTTTTCATAGAGCAGTTTTGAAACACTGTTTTTGTAGAATCTGCAAGAGGATATTTGCATAGCTTTGAGGATTTCGTGGGAAACGGGATTGTCTTCAGGTAAAATCTAGACAGAAGCATTCTCAGAAACTTCTTTGGGATGTTTGCATTCAAGTCACAGAGTAGAACATTCCCTTTGGTAGAGCAGGTTTGAAACCCTCTTTTTGTAGTATCTGGAAGTGGACATTTGGAGCGCTTTCAGGCCCATGTTGGAAAGGGAAATATCTTCCCGTAACAACTAGGCAGAAGCATTCTCAGAAACTTATTTGAGATGTGTGTACTCAACTAAGAGAATTGAACCACCGTTTTGAAGGAGCAGTTTTGAAACCCTCTTTTTCTGGAATCTGCAAGAGTATATTTGCCTAGCCTTGAGGATTTCGTTGGAAACGGGATTGTCTTCAGATAAAATCTAGACAGAAGCATTCTCAGAAACTTCTTTGGGATGTTTGCATTCAAGTCACAGAGTAGAACATTCCCTTTGGTAGAGCAGGTTTGAAACACTCTTTTTTTAGTATATGGAAGTGGACATTTGGAGCGCTTTCAGGCCTACGTTGGAAAAGGAAATATCTTCCCATAACAACTAGACAGAAAGCATTCTCAGAAACTAGTTTCTGATGTGTGTCCTCAACTAACACAGTTGAACTTTTCTTTAGACAGAACAGTTTTGAAACACTCTTTTTGTGGAATCTGCAAGTGGATATTGGGCTAGATTTGAGGATTTCGTTGGAAACGGGATTACATATAAAAAGCAGACAGCAGCATTCTCAGAAAGTTCTTTGTGATGATTGCATTCAAGTCACAGAATTGAACATTCCCTTTCACAGAGCAGGTTTGAAACACTCTTTTTGTAGTGTGTGTAAGTGGACATTTGGAGCGCTTTCCGGCCTAAGGTGAAAAAGGAAATATCTTCCCATAAAAACTAGACAGAAGCATTCTCAGAAACTTACTCGTGATGTGTGTCCTCAACTAAAGGAGTAGAACCTTTCTATTCGTAGAGAAGTTTTGAAATGCTCTTTTTGTGGAATCTCCAAGTGGATATTTGGCTAGTTTTGAGGATTTCGTTGGAAGCGGGAATTCATACAAATTGCAGACTGCAGCGTTCTGAGAAACATCTTTGTGATGTTTGTATTCAGGACACAGAGATGAACATTCCCTATCATAGAGCAGGTTGGAATCACGCCTTTTGTAGTATCTGGAAGTGGACATTTGGAGCGCTTTCAGGCCTATGTTGAAAAAGGAAATATCTTCCCATAACAACTAGACACAAGCATTCTCAGAAACTTGTTTGTGATGTGTGCCCTCTACTGACAGAGTTGAACCTTTCTTTTCATAGAGCAGTTTTGAAACACTCTTTTTGTAGAATCTGCAAGAGGATATTTGCATAGCTTTGAGGATTTCGTGGGAAACGGGATTGTCTTCAGGTAAAATCTAGACAGAAGCATTCTCAGAAACTTCTTTGGGATGTTTGCATTCAAGTCACAGAGTAGAACATTCCCTTTGGTAGAGCAGGTTTGCAACACTCTTTTTGTAGTATCTGGAAGTGGACATTTGGAGCGCTTTCAGGCCTATGTTGGAAAGGGAAATATCTTCCAGTAACAACTAGGCAGAAGCATTCTCAGAAACTTATTTGAGATGTGTGTACTCAACTAAGAGAATTGAAACACCGTTTTGAAGGAGCAGTTTTGAAACACTCTTTTTCTGGAATCTGCAAGAGTATATTTGCCTAGCCTTGAGGATTTCGTTGGAAACGGGATTGTATTCAGATAAAATCTAGACAGAAGCATTCTCAGAAACTTCTTTGGGATGTTTGTATTCAAGTCACAGAGTAGAACATTCCCTTTGGTAGAGCAGGTTTGAAACACTCTTTTTTTAGTATATGGAAGTGGACATTTTGATCGCTTTCAGGCCTACGTTGGAAAGGGAAATATCTTCCCATAACAACTAGACAGAAGCATTCTCAGAAACTAGTTTCTGATGTGTGTCCTCAACTAACACAGTTGAACATTTCTATAGACAGAACAGTTTTGAAACACTCTTTTTGTGGAATCTGCAAGTGGCTATTTGGCTAGATTTGAGGATTTCGTTGGAAACGGGATTACATATAAAAAGCAGTCAGCAGCATTCTCAGAAAGTTCTTTGTGATGATTGCATTCAAGTCACAGAATTGAACATTCCCTTTCACAGAGCAGGTTTGAAACACTCTTTTTGTAGTGTGTGTAAGTGGACATTTGGAGCGCTTTCCGGCCTAAGGTGAAAAAGGACATATCTTCCCATAAAAACTAGACAGAAGCATTCTCAGAAACTTACTCGTGATGTGTGTCCTCAACTAAAGGAGTAGAACCTTTCTATTCATAGAGAAGTTTTGAAACGCTCTTTTTGTGGAATCTCCAAGTGGATATTTGGCTAGTGTTGAGGATTTCGTAGGAAGCGGGAACTCATACAAATTGCAGACTGCAGCGTTCTGAGAAACATCTTTGTGATGTTTGTATTCAGGACACAGAGATGAACATTCCCTATCATAGAGCAGGTTGGAATCACTCCTTTTGTAGTATCTGGAAGTGGACATTTGGAGCGCTTTCAGGCCTATGTTGAAAAAGGAAATATCTTCCCATAACAACTAGACACAAGCATTCTCAGAAACTTATTTGAGATGTGTGTACTCAACTAAGAGAATTGAACCACCGTTTTGAAGGAGCAGTTTTGAAACTCTCTTTTTCTGGAATCTGCAAGTGGATATTTGGCTAGCTTTGGGGATTTCGCTGGAAGCGGGAATACATATAAAAAGCACACAGCAGCGTTCTGAGAAACTGCTTTCTGATGTTTGCATTCAAGTCAAAAGTTGAACACTCCCTTTCATAGAGCAGTCTTGAAACACCCCTTTTGTAGTATCTGGAACTGGACTTTTGGAGCGATTTCAGGGCTAAGGTGAAAAAGGAAATATCTTCCCATAAAAACTGGACAGAAGCATTCTCAGAAACTTGTTTATGCTGTATCTACTCAACTAACAAAGTTGAACCTTTCTTTTGATAGAGCAGTTTTGAAATGGTCTTTTTGTGGAATCTGCAAGTGGATATTTGGCTAGTTTTGAGGATTTCGTTGGAAGCGGGAATTCATACAAATTGCAGACTGCAGCGTTCTGAGAAACATCTTTGTGATGTTTGTATTCAGGACACAGAGTTGAACATTCCCTATCATAGAGCAGGTTGGAATCACTCCTTTTGTAGTATCTGGAAGTGGACATTTGGAGCGCTTTCAGGCCTATTTTGGAAAGGGAAATATCTTCCCGTAACAACTATGCAGAAGCATTCTCAGAAACTTGTTTGTGATGTGTGCCCTCTACTGACAGAGTTGAACCTTTCTTTTCATAGAGCAGTTTTGAAACACTCTTTTTGTAGAATCTGCAAGAGGATATTTGCATAGCTTTGAGGATTTCGTGGGAAACGGGATTGTCTTCAGGTAAAATCTAGACAGAAGCATTCTCAGAAACTTCTTTGGGATGTTTGCATTCAAGTCACAGAGTAGAACATTCCCTTTGGTAGAGCAGGTTTGAAACACTCTTTTTGTAGTATCTGGAAGTGGACATTTGGAGCGCTTTCAGGCCCATGTTGGAAAGGGAAATATCTTCCCGTAACAACTAGGCAGAAGCATTCTCAGAAACTTATTTGAGATGTGTGGACTCAACTAAGAGAATTGAACCACCGTTTTGAAGGAGCAGTTTTGAAACACTCTTTTTCTGGAATCTGCAAGAGTATATTTGCCTAGCCTTGAGGATTTCGTTGGAAACGGGATTGTCTTCAGATAAAATCTAGACAGAAGCATTCTCAGAAACTTCTTTGGGATGTTTGCATTCAAGTCACAGAGTAGAACATTCCCTTTGGTAGAGCAGGTTTGAAACACTCTTTTTTTAGTATATGGAAGTGGACATTTGGAGCGCTTTCAGGCCTACGTTGGAAAAGGAAATATCTTCCCATAACAACTAGACAGAAGCATTCTCAGAAACTAGTTTCTGATGTGTGTCCTCAACTAACACAGTTGAACTTTTCTTTAGACAGAACAGTTTTGAAACACTCTTTTTGTGGAATCTGCAAGTGGATATTGGGCTAGATTTGAGGATTTCATTGGAAACGGGATTACATATAAAAAGCAGACAGCAGCATTCTCAGAAAGTTCTTTGTGATGATTGTATTCAAGTCACAGAATTGAACATTCCCTTTCACAGAGCAGGTTTGAAACACTCTTTTTGTAGTATGTGTAAGTGGACATTTGGAGCCCTTCTGGCCTAAGGTGAAAAAGGAAATATCTTCCCATAAAAACTAGACAGAAGCATTCTCAGAAACTTACTCGTGATGTGTGTCCTCAACTAAAGGAGTAGAACCTTTCTTTTCATAGAGAAGTTTTGAAACGCTCTTTTTGTGGAATCTGCAAGTGGATATTTGGCTAGTTTGGAGGATTTCGTTGGAAGCGGGAATTCATACAAATTGCAGACTGCAGCGTTCTGAGAAACATCTTTGTGATGTTTGTATTCAGGACACAGAGTTGAACATTCCCTATCATAGAGCAGGTTGGAATCACTCCTTTTGTAGTATCTGGAATTGGACATTTGGAGCGCTTTCAGGCCTATGTTGGAAAAGGAAATATCTTCCCATAACAACTAGACAGAAGCATTCTCAGAAACTTATTTGAGATGTGTGTACTCAACTAAGAGAATTGAACCACCGTTTTGAAGGAGCAGTTTTGAAACACTCTTTTTCTGGAATCTGCAAGTGGATATTTGGCTAGCTTTGGGGATTTCGCTGGAGGCGGGAATACATATAAAAAGCACACAGCAGCGTTCTGAGAAACTGCTTTCTGATGTTTGCATTCAAGTCAAAAGTTGAACACTCCCTTTTATAGAGCAGTCCTGAAACACTCCTTTTGTAGTATCTGGAACTGGACTTTTGGAGCGCTTTCAGGGCTAAGGTGAAAAAGGAAATATCTTCCCATAAAAACTGGACAGAAGCATTCTCAGAAACTTGTTTATGCTGTATCTACTCAACTAACAAAGTTGAACCTTTCTTTTGATAGAGCAGTTTTGAAATGCTCTTTTTGTGGAATCTGCAAGTGGATATTTGGCTAGTTTTGAGGATTTCGTTGGAAGCGGGAATTCATACAAATTGCAGACTGCAGCGTTCTGAGAAACATCTTTGTGATGTTTGTATTCAGGACACAGAGTTGAACATTCCCTATCATAGAGCAGGTTGGAATCACTCCTTTTGTAGTATCTGGAAGTGGACATTTGGAGCGCTTTCAGGCCTATGTTGGAAAAGGAAATATCTTCCCATAACAACTAGACAGAAGCATTCTCAGAAACTTATTTGAGATGTGTGTAGTCAACTAAGAGAATTGAACCACCCTTTTGAAGGAGCAGTTTTGAAACACTCTTTTTCTGGAATCTGCAAGTGGATATTTGGCTAGCTTTGGGGATTTCGCTGGAAGCGGGAATACATATAAAAAGCACACAGCAGCGTTCTGAGAAACTGCTTTCTGATGTTTGCATTCAAGTCAAAAGTTGAACACTCCCTTTCATAGAGCAGTCCTGAAACACTCCTTTTGTAGTATCTGGAACTGGACTTTTGGAGCGCTTTCAGGGCTAAGGTGAAAAAGGAAATATCTTCCCATAAAAACTGGACAGAAGCATTCTCAGAAACTTACTCGTATTGTGTGTCCTCAACTAAAGGAGTAGAACCTTTCTTTTCATAGAGAAGTTTTGAAACGCTCTTTTTGTGGAATCTGCAAGTGGATATTTGGCTAGTTTTGAGGATTTCGTTGGAAGCGGGAATTCATACAAATTGCAGACTGCAGCGTTCTGAGAAACATCTTTGTGATGTTTGTATTCAGGACACAGAGTTGAACATTCCCTATCATAGAGCAGGTTTGAATCACTCCTTTTGTAGTATCTGGAAATGGACATTTGGAGCGCTTTCAGGCCTATGTTGGAAAAGGAAATATCTTCCCATAACAAATAGACAGAAGCATTCTCAGAAACTTATTTGAGATGTGTGTACTCAACTAAGAGAATTGAACCACCGTTTTGAAGGAGCAGTTTTGAAACACTCTTTTTCTGGAATCTGCAAGTGGATATCTGGCTAGCTTTGGGGATTTCGCTGGAAGCGGGAATACATATAAAAAGCACACAGCAGCGTTCTGAGAAACTTCTTTCTGATGTTCGCATTCAAGTCAAAAGTTGAACACTCCCTTTCATAGAGCAGTCTTGAAACTCCCCTTTTGTGGTATCTGGAAGTGGACATTTGGAGTGCTTTCAGGGCTAAGGTGAAAAAGGAAATATCTTCCCATAAAAACTGGACAGAAGCATTCTCAGAAACTTGTTTATGCTGTATCTACTCAGCTAACAAAGTTGAACCTTTCTTTTGATAGAGCAGTTTTGAAATGCTCTTTTTGTGGAGTCTGCAAGTGGATATTTGGTTAGTTTTGAGGATTTCTTTGGAAGCGGGAATTCATACAAATTGCAGACTGCAGCGTTCTGAGAAACATCTTTGTGATGTTTGTATTCAGGACAGAGAGATGAACATTCCCTATCATAGAGCATGTTGGAATCACTCCTTTTGTAGTATCTGGAAGTGGACATTTGGAGCGCTTTCAGGCCTATGTTGAAAAAGGAAATATCTTCCCATAACAACTAGACACAAGCATTCTCAGAAACTTGTTTGTGATGTGTGCCCTCTAGTGACAGAGTTGAACCTTTCTTTTCATAGAGCAGTTTTGAAACACTCTTTTTGTAGAATCTGCAAGAGGATATTTGCATAGCTTTGAGGATTTCGTGGGAAACGGGATTGTCTTCAGGTAAAATCTAGACAGAAGCATTCTCAGAAACTTCTTTGGGATGTTTGCATTCAAGTCACAGAGTGGAACATTCCCTTTGGTAGAGCAGGTTTGAAACACTCTTTTTGTAGTATCTGGAAGTGGACATTTGGAGCGCTTTCAGGCCTATGTTGGAAAGGGAAATATCTTCCCGTAACAACTAGGCAGAAGCATTCTCAGAAACTTATTTGAGATGTGTGTACTCAACTAAGAGAATTGAACCACCGTTTTGAAGGAGCAGTTTTGAAACACTCTTTTTCTGGAATCTGCAAGAGGATATTTGCCTAGCCTTGAGGATTTCGTTGGAAACGGGATTGTCTTCAGATCAAATCTAGACAGAAGCATTCTCAGAAACTTCTTTGGGATGTTTGCATTCAAGTCACAGAGTAGAACATTCCCTTTGGTAGAGCAGGTTTGAAACACTCTTTTTTTAGTATATGGAAGTGGACATTTGGAGCGCTTTCAGGCCTACGTTGGAAAAGGAAATATCTTCCCATAACAACTAGACAGAAGCATTCTCAGAAACTAGTTTCTGATGTGTGTCCTCAACTAACACAGTTGAACATTTCTTTAGACAGAACAGTTTTGAAACACTCTTTTTGTGGAATCTGCAAGTGGATATTTGGCTAGATTTGAGGATTTCGATGGAAACGGGATTACATATAAAAAGCAGACAGCAGCATTCTCAGAAAGTTCTTGGTGATGATTGCATTCAAGTCACAGAATTGAACATTCCCTTTCACAGAGCAGGTTTGAAACACTCTTTTTGTAGTGTGTGTAAGTGGACATTTGGAGCACTTTCCGGCCTAAGGTGAAAAAGGAAATATCTTCCCATAAAAACTAGACAGAAGCATTCTCAGAAACTTACTCGTGATGTGTGTCCTCAACTAAAGGAGTAGAACCTTTCTTTTCATAGAGAAGTTTTGAAACGCTCTTTTTGTGGAATCTGCAAGTGGATATTTGGCTAGTTTGGAGGATTTCGTTGGAAGCGGGAACTCATACAAATTGCAGACTGCAGCGTTCTGAGAAACATCTTTGTGATGTTTGTATTCAGGACACAGAGTTGAACATTCCCTATCATAGAGCAGGTTGGAATCACTCCTTTTGTAGTATCTGGAAGTGGACATTTGGAGCGCTTTCAGGCCTATGTTGGAAAAGGAAATATCTTCCCATAACAACTAGACAGAAGCATTCTCAGAAACTTATTTGAGATGTGTGTACTCAACTAAGAGAATTGAACCACCGTTTTGAAGGAGCAGTTTTGAAACACTCTTTTTCTGGAATCTGCAAGTGGATATTTGGCTAGTTTGGAGGATTTCGTTGGAAGCGGGAATTCATACAAATTGCAGACTGCAGCTTTCTGAGAAACATCTTTGTGATGTTTGTATTCAGGACACAGAATTGAACATTCCCTATCATAGAGCAGGTTTGAATCACTCCTTTTGTAGTATCTGGAAGTGGACATTTGGAGCGCTTTCAAGCCTATGTTGGAAAAGGAAATATCTTCCCATAACAACTAGACAGAAGCATTCTCAGAAACTTATTTGAGATGTGTGTACTCAACTAAGAGAATTGAACCACCGTTTTGAAGGAGCAGTTTTGAAACACTCTTTTTCAGGAATCTGCAAGTGGATATTTGGCTAGCTTTGGGGATTTCGCTGGAAGCGGGAATACATATAAAAAGCCCACAGCAGCGTTCTGAGAAACTGCTTTCTGATGTTTGCATTCAAGTCAAAAGTTGAACACTCCCTTTCATAGAGCAGTCCTGAAACACTCCTTTTGTAGTATCTGGAACTGGACTTTTGGAGCGCTTTCAGGGCTAAGGTGAAAAAGGAAATATCTTCCCATAAAAACTGGACAGAAGCATTCTCAGAAACTTGTTTATGCTGTATCTACTCAACTAACAAAGTTGAACCTTTCTTTTGATAGAGCAGTTTTGAAATGCTCTTTTTGTGGAATCTGCAAGTGGATATTTGGCTAGTTTTGAGGATTTCGTTGGAAGCGGGAATTCATACAAATTGCAGACTGCAGCGTTCTGAGAAACACCTTTGTGATGTTTGTATTCAGGACACAGAGTTGAACATTCCCTATCATAGAGCATGTTTGAATCACTCCTTTTGTAGTATCTGGAAGTGGACATTTGGAGCGCTTTCAGGCCTATGTTGAAAAAGGAAAAATCTTCCCATAACAACTAGACAGAAGCATTCTCAGAAACTTGTTGGTGATGTGTTTCCTCTACTGACAGAGTTGAACCTTTCTTTTCATAGAGCAGTTTTGAAACACTCTTTTTGTAGAATCTGCAAGAGGATATTTGCATAGCTCTGAGGATTTCGTGGGAAACGGGATTGTCTTCAGGTAAAATCTAGACAGAAGCATTCTCAGAAACTTCTTCGGGATGTTTGCATTCAAGTCACAGAGTAGAACATTCCCTTCGGTAGAGCAGGTTTGAAACACTCTTTTTGTAGTATCTGGAAGTGGACATTTGTTGCGCTTTCAGGCCTATGTTGGAAAGGGAAATATCTTCCCGTAACAACTAGGCAGAAGCATTCTCAGAAACTTATTTGAGATGTGTGTACTCAACTAAGAGAATTGAACCACCGTTTTGAAGGAGCAGTTTGGAAACACTCTTTTTCTGGAATCTGCAAGAGGATATTTGCCTAGCTTTGAGGATTTCGTTGGAAAAGGGATTGTCTTCAGATCAAATCTAGACAGAAGCATTCTCAGAAACTTCTTTGGGATGTTTGCATTCAAGTCACAGAGTAGAACATTCCTTTGGTAGAGCAGGTTTGAAACACTCTTTTTTTAGTATATGGAAGTGGACATTTGGAGCGCTTTCAGGCCTACGTTGGAAAAGGAAATATCTTCCCATAACAACTAGACAGAAGCATTCTCAGAAACTAGTTTCTGATGTGTGTCCTCAACTAACACAGTTGAACATTTCTTTAGACAGAACAGTTTTGAAACACTCTTTTTGTGGAATCTGCAAGTGGATATTTGGCTAGATTTGAGGATTTCGTTGGAAACGGGATTACATATAAAAAGCAGACAGCAGCATTCTCAGAAACTTCTTTGTGATGATTGCATTCAAGTCACAGAATTGAACATTCCCTTTCACAGAGCAGGTTTGAAACACTCTTTTTGTAGTGTGTGTAAGTGGACATTTGGAGCGCTTTCCGGCCTAAGGTGAACAAGGAAATATCTTCCCATAAAAACTAGACAGAAGCATTCTCAGAAACTTACTCGTGATGTGTGTCCTCAACTAAAGGAGTAGAACCTTTCTTTTCATAGAGAAGTTTTGAAACGCTCTTTTTGTGGAATCTGCAAGTGGATATTTGGCTAGTTTTGAGGATTTCGTTGGAAGCGGGAATTCATACAAATTGCAGACTGCAGCGTTCTGAGAAACATCTTTGTGATGTTTGTATTCAGGACACAGAGTTGAACGTTCCCTATCATAGAGCAGGTTTGAATCACTCCTTTTGTAGTATCTGGAAGTGGACATTTGGAGCGCTTTCCGGCCTCAGGTGAAAAAGGAAATATCTTCCCATAAAAACTAGACAGAAGCATTCTCAGAAACTTATTTGTGATGTGTGTCCTCAACTGACAGAGTTGAACATTTCTTTTGAGAGAGCAGTTTTGAAACACTCTTTTTGTGGAATCTGCAAGTGGATATTTGGCTGGCTTTGAGGATTTCGTTGGAAACGGGAATACATATAAAAAGCAGACAGCAGCATTCTCAGAAACTAGTTTCTGATGTGTGTCCTCAGCTAACACAGTTGAACATTTCTTTAGACAGAACAGTTTTGAAACACTCTTTTTGTGGAATCTGCAAGTGGATATTTGGCTAGATTTGAGCATTTCGTTGGAAACGGGATTACATATAAAAAGCACACAGCAGCATTCTCAGAAACTTACTCGTGATGTGTGTCCTCAACTAAAGGAGTAGAACCTTTCTTTTCATAGAGAAGTTTTGAAACGCTCTTTTTGTGGAATCTGCAAGTGGATATTTGGCTAGTTTTGAGGATTTCGTTGGAAGCGGGAATTCATACAAATTGCAGACTGCAGCGTTCTGAGAAACATCTTTGTGATGTTTGTATTCAGGACACAGAGTTGAACATTCCCTATCATAGAGCAGGTTGGAATCACTCCTTTTGTAGTATCTGGAAGTGGACATTTGGAGCGCTTTCAGGCCTATGTTGGAAAAGGAAATATCTTCCCATAACAACTAGACAGAAGCATTCTCAGAAACTTATTTGAGATGTGTGTACTCAACTAAGAGAATTGAACCACCGTTTTGAAGGAGCAGTTTTGAAACACTCTTTTTCTGGAATCTGCAAGTGGATATTTGGCTAGCTTTGGGGATTTCGCTGGAAGCGGGAATACATATAAAAAGCACACAGCAGCGTTCTGAGAAACTGCTTTCTGATGTTTGCATTCAAGTCAAAAGTTGAACACTCCCTTTCATAGAGCAGTCCTGAAACACTCCTTTTGTAGTATCTGGAACTGGACTTTTGGAGCCCTTTCAGGGCTAAGGTGAAAAAGGAAATATCTTCCCATAAAAACTGGACAGAAGCATTCTCAGAAACTTGTTTATGCTGTATCTACTCAACTAACAAAGTTGAACCTTTCTTTTGATAGAGCAGTTTTGAAATGGTCTTTTTGTGGAATCTGCAAGTGGATATTTGGCTAGTTTTGAGGATTTCGTTGGAAGCGGGAATTCATACAAATTGCAGACTGCAGCGTTCTGAGAAACATCTTTGTGATGTTTGTATTCAGGACACAGAGTTGAACATTCCCTATCATAGAGCAGGTTGGAATCACTCCTTTTGTAGTATCTGGAAGTGGACATTTGGAGCGCTTTCAGGCCTATTTTGGAAAGGGAAATATCTTCCCGTAACAACTATGCAGAAGCATTCTCAGAAACTTGTTTGTGATGTGTGCCCTCTACTGACAGAGTTGAACCTTTCTTTTCATAGAGCAGTTTTGAAACACTCTTTTTGTAGAATCTGCAAGAGGATATTTGCATAGCTTTGAGGATTTCGTGGGAAACGGGATTGTCTTCAGGTAAAATCTAGACAGAAGCATTCTCAGAAACTTCTTTGGGATGTTTGCATTCAAGTCACAGAGTAGAACATTCCCTTTGGTAGAGCAGGTTTGAAACACTCTTTTTGTAGTATCTGGAAGTGGACATTTGGAGCGCTTTCAGGCCCATGTTGGAAAGGGAAATATCTTCCCGTAACAACTAGGCAGAAGCATTCTCAGAAACTTATTTGAGATGTGTGTACTCAACTAAGAGAATTGAACCACCGTTTTGAAGGAGCAGTTTTGAAACACTCTTTTTCTGGAATCTGCAAGAGTATATTTGCCTAGCCTTGAGGATTTCGTTGGAAACGGGATTGTCTTCAGAGAAAATCTAGACAGAAGCATTCTCAGAAACTTCTTTGGGATGTTTGCATTCAAGTCACAGAGTAGAACATTCCCTTTGGTAGAGCAGGTTTGAAACACTCTTTTTGTAGTATCTGGAAGTGGACATTTGGAGCGCTTTCAGGCCTACGTTGGAAAAGGAAATATCTTCCCATAACAACTAGACAGAAGCATTCTCAGAAACTAGTTTCTGATGTGTGTCCTCAACTAACACAGTTGAACATTTCTTTAGACAGAACAGTTTTGAAACACTCTTTTTGTGGAATCTGCAAGTGGCTATTTGGCTAGATTTGAGGATTTCGTTGGAAACGGGATTACATATAAAAAGCAGTCAGCAGCATTCTCAGAAAGTTCTTTGTGATGATTGCATTCAAGTCACAGAATTGAACATTCCCTTTCACAGAGCAGGTTTGAAACACTCTTTTTGTAGTGTGTGTAAGTGGACATTTGGAGCACTTACCGGCCTAAGGTGAAAAAGGAAATATCTTCCCATAAAAACTAGACAGAAGCATTCTCAGAAACTTACTCGTGATGTGTGTCCTCAACTAAAGGAGTAGAACCTTTCTTTTCATAGAGAAGTTTTGAAACGCTCTTTTTGTGGAATCTGCAAGTGGATATTTGGCTAGTTTTGAGGATTTCGTTGGAAGCGGGAATTCATACAAATTGCAGACTGCAGCGTTCTGAGAAACATCTTTGTGATGTTTGTATTCAGGACACAGAGTTGAACATTCCCTATCATAGAGCAGGTTTGAATCACTCCTTTTGTAGTATCTGGAAGTGGACATTTGGAGCGCTTTCAGGCCTATGTTGGAAAAGGAAATATCTTCCCATAACAACTAGACAGAAGCATTCCCAGAAACTTATTTGAGATGTGTGTACTCAACTAAGAGAATTGAACCACCGTTTTGAAGGAGCAGTTTGGAAACACTCTTTTTCTGGAATCTGCAAGTGGATATTTGGCTAGCTTTGGGGATTTCGCTGGAAGCGGGAATACATATAAAAAGCACACAGCAGCGTTCTGAGAAACTGCTTTCTGATGTTTGCATTCAAGTCAAAAGTTGAACACTCCCTTTCATAGAGCAGTCTTGAAACACCCCTTTTGTAGTATCTGGAACTGGACATTTGGAGCGCTTTCAGGGCTAAGGTGAAAAAGGAAATATCTTCCCATAAAAACTGGACAGAAGCATTCTCAGAAACTTGTTTATGCTGTATCTGCTCAACTAACAAAGTTGAACCTTTCTTTTGATAGAGCAGTTTTGAAATGCTCTTTTTGTGGAATCTGCAAGTGGATATTTGGCTAGTTTTGAGGATTTCGTTGGAAGCGGGAATTCATACAAATTGCAGACTGCAGCGTTCTGAGAAACATCTTTGTGATGTTTGTATTCAGGACACAGAGTTGAACATTCCCTATCATAGAGCAGGTTGGAATCACTCCTTTTGTAGTATCTGGAAGTGGACATTTGGAGCGCTTTCAGGCCTATGTTGAAAAAGGAAATATCTTCCCATAACAACTAGACACAAGCATTCTCAGAAACTTGTTTGTGATGTGTGCCCTCTACTGACAGAGTTGAACCTTTCTTTTCATAGAGCAGTTTTGAAACACTCTTTTTGTAGAATCTGCAAGAGGATATTTGCATAGCTTTGAGGATTTCGTGGGAAACGGGATTGTCTTCAGGTAAAATCTAGACAGAAGCATTCTCAGAAACTTCTTTGGGATGTTTGCATTCAAGTCACAGAGTAGAACATTCCCTTTGGTAGAGCAGGTTTGAAACACTCTTTTTGTAGTATCTGGAAGTGGACATTTGGAGCGCTTTCAGGCCTATGTTGGAAAGGGAAATATCTTCCCGTAACAACTAGGCAGAAGCATTCTCAGAAACGTATTTGAGATGTGTGTACTCAACTAAGAGAATTGAACCACCGTTTTGAAGGAGCAGTTTTGAAACACTCTTTTTCTGGAATCTGCAAGAGGATATTTGCCTAGCCTTGAGGATTTCGTAGGAAACGGGATTTTCTTCAGATAAAATCTAGACAGAAGCATTCTCAGAAACTTCTTTGGGATGTTTGCATTCAAGTCACAGAGTAGAACATTCCCTTTGGTAGAGCAGGTTTGAAACACTCTTTTTTTAGTATATGGAAGTGGACATTTGGAGCGCTTTCAGGCCTACGTTGGAAAAGGAAATATCTTCCCATAACAACTAGACAGAAGCATTCTCAGAAACTAGTTTCTGATGTGTGTCCTCAACTAACACAGTTGTACATTTCTTTAGACGGAACAGTTTTGAAACACTCTTTTTGTGGAATCTGCAAGTGGCTATTTGGCTAGATTTGAGGATTTCGTTGGAAACGGGATTACATATAAAAAGCAGTCAGCAGCATTCTCAGAAAGTTCTTTGTGATGATTGCATTCAAGTCACAGAATTGAACATTCCCTTTCACAGAGCAGGTTTGAAACACTCTTTTTGTAGTGTGTGTAAGTGGACATTTGGAGCACTTACCGGCCTAAGGTGAAAAAGGAAATATCTTCCCATAAAAACTAGACAGAAGCATTCTCAGAAACTTACTCGTGATGTGTGTCCTCAACTAAAGGAGTAGAACCTTTCTTTTCATAGAGAAGTTTTGAAACGCTCTTTTTGTGGAATCTGCAAGTGGATATTTGGCTAGTTTTGAGGATTTCGTTGGAAGCGGGAATTCATACAAATTGCAGACTGCAGCGTTCTGAGAAACATCTTTGTGATGTTTGTATTCAGGACACAGAGTTGAACATTCCCTATCATAGAGCAGGTTGGAATCACTCCTTTTGTAGTATCTGGAAGTGGACATTTGGAGCGCTTTCAGGCCTATGTTGGAAAAGGAAATATCTTCCCATAACAACTAGACAGAAGCATTCTCAGAAACTTATTTGAGATGTGTGTACTCAACTAAGAGAATTGAACCACCGTTTTGAAGGAGCAGTTTTGAAACACTCTTTTTCTGGAATCTGCAAGTGGATATTTGGCTAGCTTTGGGGATTTCGCTGGAAGCGGGAATACATATAAAAAGCACACAGCAGCGTTCTGAGAAACTGCTTTCTGATGTTTGCATTCAAGTCAAAAGTTGAACACTCCCTTTCATAGAGCAGTCCTGAAACACTCCTTTTGTAGTATCTGGAACTGGACTTTTGGAGCGCTTTCAGGGCTAAGGTGAAAAAGGAAATATCTTCCCATAAAAACTGGACAGAAGCATTCTCAGAAACTTGTTTATGCTGTATCTACTCAACTAACAAAGTTGAACCTTTCTTTTGATAGAGCAGTTTTGAAATGGTCTTTTTGTGGAATCTGCAAGTGGATATTTGGCTAGTTTTGAGGATTTCGTTGGAAGCGGGAATTCATACAAATTGCAGACTGCAGCGTTCTGAGAAACATCTTTGTGATGTTTGTATTCAGGACACAGAGTTGAACATTCCCTATCATAGAGCAGGTTGGAATCACTCCTTTTGTAGTATCTGGAAGTGGACATTTGGAGCGCTTTCAGGCCTATTTTGGAAAGGGAAATATCTTCCCGTAACAACTATGCAGAAGCATTCTCAGAAACTTGTTTGTGATGTGTGCCCTCTACTGACAGAGTTGAACCTTTCTTTTCATAGAGCAGTTTTGAAACACTCTTTTTGTAGAATCTGCAAGAGGATATTTGCATAGCTTTGAGGATTTCGTGGGAAACGGGATTGTCTTCAGGTAAAATCTAGACAGAAGCATTCTCAGAAACTTCTTTGGGATGTTTGCATTCAAGTCACAGAGTAGAACATTCCCTTTGGTAGAGCAGGTTTGAAACACTCTTTTTGTAGTATCTGGAAGTGGACATTTGGAGCGCTTTCAGGCCCATGTTGGAAAGGGAAATATCTTCCCGTAACAACTAGGCAGAAGCATTCTCAGAAACTTATTTGAGATGTGTGTACTCAACTAAGAGAATTGAACCACCGTTTTGAAGGAGCAGTTTTGAAACACTCTTTTTCTGGAATCTGCAAGAGTATATTTGCCTAGCCTTGAGGATTTCGTTGGAAACGGGATTGTCTTCAGAGAAAATCTAGACAGAAGCATTCTCAGAAACTTCTTTGGGATGTTTGCATTCAAGTCACAGAGTAGAACATTCCCTTTGGTAGAGCAGGTTTGAAACACTCTTTTTTTAGTATATGGAAGTGGACATTTGGAGCACTTTCAGGCCTACGTTGGAAAAGGAAATATCTTCCCATAACAACTAGACAGAGAGCATTCTCAGAAACTAGTTTCTGATGTGTGTCCTCAACTAACACAGTTGAACTTTTCTTTAGACAGAACAGTTTTGAAACACTCTTTTTGTGGAATCTGCAAGTGGATATTTGGCTAGATTTGAGGATTTCGTTGGAAACGGGATTACATATAAAAAGCAGACAGCAGCATTCTCAGAAAGTTCTTTGTGATGATTGCATTCAAGTCACAGAATTGAACATTCCCTTTCACAGAGCAGGTTTGAAACACTCTTTTTGTAGTGTGTGTAAGTGGACATTTGGAGCACTTACCGGCCTAAGGTGAAAAAGGAAATATCTTCCCATAAAAACTAGACAGAAGCATTCTCAGAAACTTACTCGTGATGTGTGTCCTCAACTAAAGGAGTAGAACCTTTCTTTTCATAGAGAAGTTTTGAAACGCTCTTTTTGTGGAATCTGCAAGTGGATATTTGGCTAGTTTTGAGGATTTCGTTGGAAGCGGGAATTCATACAAATTGCAGACTGCAGCGTTCTGAGAAACATCTTTGTGATGTTTGTATTCAGGACACAGAGTTGAACATTCCCTATCATAGAGCAGGTTGGAATCACTCCTTTTGTAGTATCTGGAAGTGGACATTTGGAGCGCTTTCAGGCCTATGTTGGAAAAGGAAATATCTTCCCATAACAACTAGACAGAAGCATTCTCAGAAACTTATTTGAGATGTGTGTACTCAACTAAGAGAATTGAACCACCGTTTTGAAGGAGCAGTTTTGAAACACTCTTTTTCTGGAATCTGCAAGTGGATATTTGGCTAGCTTTGGGGATTTCGCTGGAGGCGGGAATACAAATAAAAAGCACACAGCAGCGTTCTGAGAAACTGCTTTCTGATGTTTGCATTCAAGTCAAAAGTTGAACACTACCTTTCATAGAGCAGTCCTGAAACACCCCTTTTGTAGTATCTGGAACTGGACTTTTGGAGCGATTTCAGGGCTAAGGTGAAAAAGGAAATATCTTCCCATAAAAACTGGACAGAAGCATTCTCAGAAACTTGTTTATGCTGTATCTACTCAACTAACAAAGTTGAACCTTTCTTTTGATAGAGCAGTTTTGAAATGGTCTTTTTGTGGAATCTGCAAGTGGATATTTGGCTAGTTTTGAGGATTTCGTTGGAAGCGGGAATTCATACAAATTGCAGACTGCAGCGTTCTGAGAAACATCTTTGTGATGTTTGTATTCAGGACACAGAGTTGAACATTCCCTATCATAGAGCAGGTTGTAATCACTCCTTTTGTAGTATCTGGAAGTGGACATTTGGAGCGCTTTCAGGCCTATTTTGGAAAGGGAAATATCTTCCCGTAACAACTATGCAGAAGCATTCTCAGAAACTTGTTTGTGATGTGTGCCCTCTACTGACAGAGTTGAACCTTTCTTTTCATAGAGCAGTTTTGAAACACTCTTTTTGTAGAATCTGCAAGAGGATATTTGCATAGCTTTGAGGATTTCGTGGGAAACGGGATTGTCTTCAGGTAAAATCTAGACAGAAGCATTCTCAGAAACTTCTTTGGGATGTTTGCATTCAAGTCACAGAGCAGAACATTCCCTTTGGTAGAGCAGGTTTGAAACACTCTTTTTGTAGTATCTGGAAGTGGACATTTGGAGCGCTTTCAGGCCTATGTTGGAAAGGGAAATATCTTCCCGTAACAACTAGGCAGAAGCATTCTCAGAAACTTATTTGAGATGTGTGTACTCAACTAAGAGAATTGAACCACCGTTTTGAAGGAGCAGTTTTGAAACTCTCTTTTTCTGGAATCTGCAAGAGGATATTTGCCTAGCCTTGAGGATTTCGTTGGAAACGGGATTGTCTTCAGATCAAATCTAGACAGAAAGCATTCTCAGAAACTTCTTTGGGATGTTTGCATTCAAGTCACAGAGTAGAACATTCCCTTTGGTAGAGCAGGTTTGAAACACTCTTTTTTTAGTATATGGAAGTGGACATTTGGATCGCTTTCAGGCCTACGTTGGAAAAGGAAATATCTTCCCATAACAACTAGACAGAGCATTCTCAGAAACTAGTTTCTGATGTGTGTCCTCAACTAACACAGTTGAACATTTCTTTAGACAGAACAGTTTTGAAACACTCTTTTTGTGGAATCTGCAAGTGGCTATTTGGCTAGATTTGAGGATTTCGTTGGAAACGGGATTACATATAAAAAGCAGTCAGCAGCATTCTCAGAAAGTTCTTTGTGATGATTGCATTCAAGTCACAGAATTGAACATTCCCTTTCACAGAGCAGGTTTGAAACACTCTTTTTGTAGTGTGTGTAAGTGGACATTTGGAGCGCTTTCCGGCCTAAGGTGAAAAAGGACATATCTTCCCATAAAAACTAGACAGAAGCATTCTCAGAAACTTACTCGTGATGTGTGTCCTCAACTAAAGGAGTAGAACCTTTCTATTCATAGAGAAGTTTTGAAACGCTCTTTTTGTGGAATCTCCAAGTGGATATTTGGCTAGTTTTGAGGATTTCGTTGGAAGCGGGAATTCATCCAAATTGCAGACTGCAGCGTTCTGAGAAACATCTTTGTGATGTTTGTATTCAGGACACAGAGATGAACATTCCCTATCATAGAGCAGGTTGGAATCACTCCTTTTGTAGTATCTGGAAGTGGACATTTGGAGCGCTTTCAGGCCTATGTTGAAAAAGGAAATATCTTCCCATAACAGCTAGACACAAGCATTCTCAGAAACTTATTTGAGATGTGTGTACTCAACTAAGAGAATTGAACCACCGTTTTGAAGGAGCAGTTTTGAAACACTCTTTTTCTGGAATCTGCAAGTGGATATTTGGCTAGCTTTGGGGATTTCGCTGGAAGCGGGAATACATATAAAAAGCACACAGCAGCGTTCTGAGAAACTGCTTTCTGATGTTTGCATTCAAGTCAAAAGTTGAACACTCCCTTTCATAGTGCAGTCCTGAAACACTCCTTTTGTAGTATCTGGAACTGGACTTTTGGAGCGCTTTCAGGGCTAAGGTGAAAAAGGAAATATCTTCCCATAAAAACTGGACAGAAGCATTCTCAGAAACTTGTTTATGCTGTATCTACTCAACTAACAAAGTTGAACCTTTCTTTTGATAGAGCAGTTTTGAAATGCTCTTTTTGTGGAATCTGCAAGTGGATATTTGGCTAGTTTTGAGGATTTCGTTGGAAGCGGGAATTCATACAAATTGCAGACTGCAGCGTTCTGAGAAACATCTTTGTGATGTTTGTATTCAGGACACAGAGATGAACATTCCCTATCATAGAGCAGGTTGGAATCACTCCTTTTGTAGTATCTGGAAGTGGACATTTGGAGCGCTTTCAGGCCTATGTTGAAAAAGGAAATATCTTCCCATAACAACTAGACACAAGCATTCTCAGAAACTTGTTTGTGATGTGTGCCCTCTACTGACAGAGTTGAACCTTTCTTTTCATAGAGCAGTTTTGAAACACTCTTTTTGTAGAATCTGCAAGAGGATATTTGCATAGCTTTGAGGATTTCGTGGGAAACGGGATTGTCTTCAGGTAAAATCTAGACAGAAGCATTCTCAGAAACTTCTTTGGGATGTTTGCATTCAAGTCACAGAGTAGAACATTCCCTTTGGTAGAGCAGGTTTGAAACCCTCTTTTTGTAGTATCTGGAAGTGGACATTTGGAGCGCTTTCAGGCCCATGTTGGAAAGGGAAATATCTTCCCGTAACAACTAGGCAGAAGCATTCTCAGAAACTTATTTGAGATGTGTGGACTCAACTAAGAGAATTGAACCACCGTTTTGAAGGAGCAGTTTTGAAACACTCTTTTTCTGGAATCTGCAAGAGTATATTTGCCTAGCCTTGAGAATTTCGTTGGAAACGGGATTGTCTTCAGATAAAATCTAGACAGAAGCATTCTCAGCAAACTTCTTTGGGATGTTTGCATTCAAGTCACAGAGTAGAACATTACCTTTGGTAGAGCAGGTTTGAAACACTCTTTTTTTAGTATATGGAAGTGGACATTTTGATCGCTTTCAGGCCTACGTTGGAAAAGGAAATATCTTCCCATAACAACTAGACAGAAGCATTCTCAGAAACTAGTTTCTGATGTGTGTCCTCAACTAACACAGTTGAACATTTCTTTAGACAGAACAGTTTTGAAACACTCTTTTTGTGGAATCTGCAAGTGGCTATTTGGCTAGATTTGAGGATTTCGTTGGAAACGGGATTACATATAAAAAGCAGACAGCAGCATTCTCAGAAAGTTCTTTGTGATGATTGCATTCAAGTCACAGAATTGAACATTCCCTTTCACAGAGCAGGTTTGAAACACTCTTTTTGTAGTGTGTGTAAGTGGACATTTGGAGCACTTACCGGCCTAAGGTGAAAAAGGAAATATCTTCCCATAAAAACTAGACAGAAGCATTCTCAGAAACTTACTCGTGATGTGTGTCCTCAACTATAGGAGTAGAACCTTTCTATTCATAGAGAAGTTTTGAAACGCTCTTTTTGTGGAATCTCCAAGTGGATATTTGGCTAGTTTTGAGGATTTCGTTGGAAGCGGGAATTCATACAAATTGCAGACTGCAGCGTTCTGAGAAACATCTTTGTGATGTTTGTATTCAGGACACAGAGTTGAACATTCCCTATCATAGAGCAGGTTTGAATCACTCCTTTTGTAGTATCTGGAAGTGGACATTTGGAGCGCTTTCAGGCCCTATGTTGGAAAAGGAAATATCTTCCCATAACAAATAGACAGGAAGCATTCTCAGAAACTTATTTGAGATGTGTGTACTCAACTAAGAGAATTGAACCACCGTTTTGAAGGAGCAGTTTTGAAACACTCTTTTTCTGGAATCTGCAAGTGGATATTTAGCTAGATTTGAGGATTTCGTTGGAAACGGGATTACATATAAAAAGCAGACAGCAGCATTCTCAGAAAGTTCTTTGTGATGATTGCATTCAAGTCACAGAATTGAACATTCCCTTTCACAGAGCAGGTTTGAAAGACTCTTTTTGTAGTGTGTGTAAGTGGACATTTGGAGCACTTACCGGCCTAAGGTGAAAAAGGAAATATCTTCCCATAAAAACTAGACAGAAGCATTCTAAGAAACTTACTCGTGATGTGTGTCCTCAACTAAAGGAGTAGAACCTTTCTTTTCATAGAGAAGTTTTGAAACGCTCTTTTTGTGGAATCTGCAAGTGGATATTTGGCTAGTTTTGAGGATTTCGTTGGAAGCGGGAATTCATACAAATTGCAGACTGCAGCGTTCTGAGAAACATCTTTGTGATGTTTGTATTCAGGACACAGAGTTGAACATTCCCTATCATAGAGCAGGTTGGAATCATTCCTTTTGTAGTATCTGGAAGTGGACATTTGGAGCGCTTTCAGGCCTATGTTGGAAAAGGAAATATCTTCCCATAACAACTAGACAGAAGCATTCTCAGAAACTTATTTGAGATGTGTGTACTCAACTAAGAGAATTGAACCACCGTTTTGAAGGAGCAGTTTTGAAACACTCTTTTTCTGGAATCTGCAAGTGGATATTTGGCTAGCTTTGGGGATTTCGCTGGAAGCGGGAATACATATAAAAAGCACACAGCAGCGTTCTGAGAAACTGCTTTCTGATGTTTGCATTCAAGTCAAAAGTTGAACACTCCCTTTCATAGAGCAGTCTTGAAACACCCCTTTTGTAGTATCTGGAACTGGACATTTGGAGCGCTTTCAGGGCTAAGGTGAAAAAGGAAATATCTTCCCATAAAAACTGGACAGGAAGCATTCTCAGAAACTTGTTTATGCTGTATCTACTCAACTAACAAAGTTGAACCTTTCTTTTGATAGAGCAGTTTTGAAATGCTCTTTTTGTGGAATCTGCAAGTGGATATTTGGCTAGGTTAGAGGATTTCGTTGGAAGCGGGAATTCATACAAATTGCAGACTGCAGCGTTCTGAGAAACATCTTTGTGATGTTTGTATTCAGGACACAGAGTTGAACATTCCCTATCATAGAGCAGGTTGGAATCACTCCTTTTGTAGTATCTGGAAGTGGACATTTGGAGCGCTTTCAGGCCTATTTTGGAAAGGGAAATATCTTCCCGTAACAACTATGCAGAAGCATTCTCAGAAACTTGTTTGTGATGTGTGCCCTCTACTGACAGAGTTGAACCTTTCTTTTCATAGAGCAGTTTTGAAACACTCTTTTTGTAGAATCTGCAAGAGGATATTTGCATAGCTTTGAGGATTTCGTGGGAAACGGGATTGTCTTCAGGTAAAATCTAGACAGAAGCATTCTCAGAAACTTCTTTGGGATGTTTGCATTCAAGTCACAGAGTAGAACATTCCCTTTGGTAGAGCAGGTTTGAAACACTCTTTTTGTAGTATCTGGAAGTGGACATTTGGAGCGCTTTCAGGCCCATGTTGGAAAAGGAAATATCTTCCCGTAACAACTAGGCAGAAGCATTCTCAGAAACTTATTTGAGATGTGTGTACTCAACTAAGAGAATTGAACCACCGTTTTGAAGGAGCAGTTTTGAAACACTCTTTTTCTGGAATCTGCAAGAGTATATTTGCCTAGCCTTGAGGATTTCGTTGGAAACGGGATTGTCTTCAGAGAAAATCTAGACAGAAGCATTCTCAGAAACTTCTTTGGGATGTTTGCATTCAAGTCACAGAGTAGAACATTCCCTTTGGTAGAGCAGGTTTGAAACACTCTTTTTTTAGTATATGGAAGTGGACATTTTGATCGCTTTCAGGCCTACGTTGGAAAAGGAAATATCTTCCCATAACAACTAGACAGAAGCATTCTCAGAAACTAGTTTCTGATGTGTGTTCTCAACTAACACAGTTGAACATTTCTTTAGACAGAACAGTTTTGAAACACTCTTTTTGTGGAATCTGCAAGTGGCTATTTGGCTGGATTTGAGGATTTCGTTGGAAACGGGATTACATATAAAAAGCAGTCAGCAGCATTCTCAGAAAGTTCTTTGTGATGATTGCATTCAAGTCACAGAATTGAACATTCCCTTTCACAGAGCAGGTTTGAAACACTCTTTTTGTAGTGTGTGTAAGTGGACATTTGGAGCACTTACCGGCCTAAGGTGAAAAAGGAAATATCTTCCCATAAAAACTAGACAGAAGCATTCTCAGAAACTTACTCGTGATGTGTGTCCTCAACTAAAGGAGTAGAACCTTTCTTTTCATAGAGAAGTTTTGAAACGCTCTTTTTGTGGAATCTGCAAGTGGATATTTGGCTAGTTTTGAGGATTTCGTTGGAAGCGGGAATTCATACAAATTGCAGACTGCAGCGTTCTGAGAAACATCTTTGTGATGTTTGTATTCAGGACACAGAGTTGAACATTCCCTATCATAGAGCAGGTTTGAATCACTCCTTTTGTAGTATCTGGAAGTGGACATTTGGAGCGCTTTCAGGCCTATGTTGGAAAAGGAAATATCTTCCCATAACAACTAGACAGAAGCATTCTCAGAAACTTATTTGAGATGTGTGTACTCAACTAAGAGAATTGAACCACCGTTTTGAAGGAGCAGTTTTGAAACACTCTTTTCCTGGAATCTGCAAGTGGATATTTGGCTAGCTTTGGGGATTTCGCTGGAAGCGGGAATACATATAAAAAGCACACAGCAGCGTTCTGAGAAACTGCTTTCTGATGTTTGCATTCAAGTCAAAAGTTGAACACTCCCTTTCATAGTGCAGTCCTGAAACACTCCTTTTGTAGTATCTGGAACTGGACTTTTGGAGCGCTTTCAGGGCTAAGGTGAGAAAGGAAATATCTTCCCATAAAAACTGGACAGAAGCATTCTCAGAAACTTGTTTATGCTGTATCTACTCAACTAACAAAGTTGAACCTTTCTTTTGATAGAGCAGTTTTGAAATGCTCTTTTTGTGGAATCTGCAAGTGGATATTTGGCTAGTTTTGAGGATTTCGCTGGAAGCGGGAATTCATACAAATTGCAGACTGCAGCGTTCTGAGAAACATCTTTGTGATGTTTGTATTCAGGACAGAGAGTTGAACATTCCCTATCATAGAGCAGGTTGGAATCACTCCTTTTGTAGTATCTGGAAGTGGACATTTGGAGCGCTTTCAGGCCTATGTTGAAAAAGGAAATATCTTCCCATAACAACTAGACACAAGCATTCTCAGAAACTTGTTTGTGATGTGTGCCCTCTACTGACAGAGTTGAACCTTTCTTTTCATAGAGCAGTTTTGAAACACTCTTTTTGTAGAATCTGCAAGAGGATATTTGCATAGCTTTGAGGATTTCGTGGGAAACGGGATTGTCTTCAGGTAAAATCTAGACAGAAGCATTCTCAGAAACTTCTTTGGGATGTTTGCATTCAAGTCACAGAGCAGAACATTCCCTTTGGTAGAGCAGGTTTGAAACACTCTTTTTGTAGTATCTGGAAGTGGACATTTGGAGCGCTTTCAGGCCTATGTTGGAAAGGGAAATATCTTCCCGTAACAACTAGGCAGAAGCATTCTCAGAAACTTATTTGAGATGTGTGTACTCAACTAAGAGAATTGAACCACCGTTTTGAAGGAGCAGTTTTGAAACACTCTTTTTCTGGAATCTGCAAGAGGATATTTGCCTAGCCTTGAGGATTTCGTTGGAAACGGGATTGTCTTCAGATCAAATCTAGACAGAAGCATTCTCAGAAACTTCTTTGGGATGTTTGCATTCATGTCACAGAGTAGAACATTCCCTTTGGTAGAGCAGGTTTGAAACACTCTTTTTTAAGTATATGGAAGTGGACATTTGGAGCGCTTTCAGGCCTACGTTGGAAAAGGAAATATCTTCCCATAACAACTAGACAGAAGCATTCTCAGAAACTAGTTTCTGATGTGTGTCCTCAACTAACACAGTTGAACATTTCTTTAGACAGAACAGTTTTGAAACACTCTTTTTGTGGAATCTGCAAGTGGCTATTTGGCTAGATTTGAGGATTTCGTTGGAAACGGGATTACATATAAAAAGCAGACAGCAGCATTCTCAGAAAGTTCTTTGTGATGATTGCATTCAAGTCACAGAATTGAACATTCCCTTTCACAGAGCAGGTTTGAAACACTCTTTTTGTAGTGTGTGTAAGTGGACATTTGGAGCACTTACCGGCCTAAGGTGAAAAAGGAAATATCTTCCCATAAAAACTAGACAGAAGCATTCTCAGAAACTTACTCGTGATGTGTGTCCTCAACTAAAGGAGTAGAACCTTTCTTTTCATAGAGAAGTTTTGAAACGCTCTTTTTGTGGAATCTGCAAGTGGATATTTGGCTAGTTTTGAGGATTTCGTTGGAAGCGGGAATTCATACAAATTGCAGACTGCAGCGTTCTGAGAAACATCTTTGTGATGTTTGTATTCAGGACACAGAGTTGAACATTCCCTATCATAGAGCAGGTTGGAATCACTCCTTTTGTAGTATCTGGAAGTGGACATTTGGAGCGTTTTCAGGCCTATGTTGGAAAAGGAAATATCTTCCCATAACAACTAGACAGAAGCATTCTCAGAAACTTATTTGAGATGTGTGTACTCAACTAAGAGAATTGAACCACCGTTTTGAAGGAGCAGTTTTGAAACTCTCTTTTTCTGGAATCTGCAAGTGGATATTTGGCTAGCTTTGGGGATTTCGCTGGAAGCGGGAATACATATAAAAAGCACACAGCAGCGTTCTGAGAAACTGCTTTCTGATGTTTGCATTCAAGTCAAAAGTTGAACACTCCCTTTCATAGAGCAGTCTTGAAACACCCCTTTTGTAGTATCTGGAACTGGACTTTTGGAGCGATTTCAGGGCTAAGGTGAAAAAGGAAATATCTTCCCATAAAAACTGGACAGAAGCATTCTCAGAAACTTGGTTATGCTGTATCTACTCAACTAACAAAGTTGAACCTTTCTTTTGATAGAGCAGTTTTGAAATGGTCTTTTTGTGGAATCTGCAAGTGGATATTTGGCTAGTTTTGAGGATTTCGTTGGAAGCGGGAATTCATACAAATTGCAGACTGCAGCGTTCTGAGAAACATCTTGGTGATGTTTGTATTCAGGACACAGAGTTGAACATTCCCTATCATAGAGCAGGTTTGAATCACTCCTTTTGTAGTATCTGGAAGTGGACATTTGGAGTGCTTTCAGGCCTATGTTGGAAAAGGAAATATCTTCCCATAACAACTAGACAGAAGCATTCTCAGAAACTTATTTGAGATGTGTGTACTCAACTAAGAGAATTGAACCACCGTTTTGAAGGAGCAGTTTTGAAACACTCTTTTTCTGGAATCTGCAAGTGGATATTTGGCTAGCTTTGGGGATTTCGCTGGAAGCGGGAATACATATAAAAAGCACACAGCAGCGTTCTGAGAAACTGCTTTCTGATGTTTGCATTCAAGTCAAAAGTTGAACACTCCCTTTCATAGAGCAGTCTTGAAACACCCCTTTTGTAGTATCTGGAACTGGACATTTGGAGCGCTTTCAGGGCTAAGGTGAAAAAGGAAATATCTTCCCATAAAAACTGGACAGAAGCATTCTCAGAAACTTGTTTATGCTGTATCTACTCAACTAACAATGTTGAACCTTTCTTTTGATAGAGCAGTTTTGAAATGCTCTTTTTGTGGAATCTGCAAGTGGATATTTGGCTAGTTTTGAGGATTTCGTTGGAAGCGGGAATTCATACAAATTGCAGACTGCAGCGTTCTGAGAAACATCTTTGTGATGTTTGTATTCAGGACACAGAGATGAACATTCCCTATCATAGAGCAGGTTGGAATCACTCCTTTTGTAGTATCTGGAAGTGGACATTTGGAGCGCTTTCAGGCCTATGTTGAAAAAGGAAATATCTTCCCATAACAACTAGACACAAGCATTCTCAGAAAGTTGTTTGTGATGTGTGCCCTCTACTGACAGAGTTGAACCTTTCTTTTCATAGAGCAGTTTTGAAACACTCTTTTTGTAGAATCCGCAAGAGGATATTTGCATAGCTTTGAGGATTTCGTGGGAAACGGGATTGTCTTCAGGTAAAATCTAGACAGAAGCATTCTCAGAAACTTCTTTGGGATGTTTGCATTCAAGTCACAGAGTAGAACATTCCCTTTGGTAGAGCAGGTTTGAAACACTCTTTTTGTAGTATCTGGAAGTGGACATTTGGAGCGCTTTCAGGCCCATGTTGGAAAGGGAAATATCTTCCCGTAACAACTTGGCAGAAGCATTCTCAGAAACTTATTTGAGATGTGTGTACTCAACTAAGAGAATTGAACCACCGTTTTGAAGGAGCAGTTTTGAAACACTCTTTTTCTGGAATCTGCAAGAGTATATTTGCCTAGCCTTGAGGATTTCGTTGGAAACGGGATTGTCTTCAGATAAAATCTAGACAGAAGCATTCTCAGAAACTTCTTTGGGATGTTTGCATTCAAGTCACAGAGTAGAACATTCCCTTTGGTAGAGCAGGTTTGAAACACTCTTTTTTTAGTATATGGAAGTGGACATTTGGAGCGCTTTCAGGCCTACGTTGGAAAAGGAAATATCTTCCCATAACAACTAGACAGAAGCATTCTCAGAAACTAGTTTCTGATGTGTGTCCTCAAGTAACACAGTTGAACATTTCTTTAGACAGAACAGTTTTGAAACACTCTTTTTGTGGAATCTGCAAGTGGCTATTTGGCTAGATTTGAGGATTTCTTTGGAAACGGGATTACATATAAAAAGCTGACAGCAGCATTCTCAGAAAGTTCTTTGTGATGATTGCATTCAAGTCACAGAATTGAACATTCCCTTTCACAGAGCAGGTTTGAAACACTCTTTTTGTAGTGTGTGTAAGTGGACATTTGGAGCACTTTCCGGCCTAAGGTGAAAAAGGAAATATCTTCCCATAAAAACTAGACAGAAGCATTCTCAGAAACTTACTCGTGATGTGTGTCCTCAACTAAAGGAGTAGAACCTTTCTTTTCATAGAGAAGTTTTGAAACGCTCTTTTTGTGGAATCTGCAAGTGGATATTTGGCTAGTTTGGAGGATTTCGTTGGAAGCGGGAATTCATACAAATTGAAGACTGCAGCATTCTCAGAAACTTGTTTATGCTGTATCTACTCAACTAACAAAGTTGAACCTTTCTTTTGATAGAGCAGTTTTGAAATGCTCTTTTTGTGGAATCTGCAAGTGGATATTTGGCTAGTTTTGAGGATTTCATTGGAAGCGGGAATTCATACAAATTGCAGACTGCAGCGTTCTGAGAAACATCTTTGTGATGTTTGTATTCAGGACAGAGAGTTGAACATTCCCTATCATAGAGCAGGTTGGAATCACTCCTTTTGTAGTATCTGGAAGTGGACATTTGGAGCGCTTTCAGGCCTATGTTGAAAAAGGAAATATCTTCCCATAACAACTAGACACAAGCATTCTCAGAAACTTGTTTGTGATGTGTGCCCTCTAGTGACAGAGTTGAACCTTTCTTTTCATAGAGCAGTTTTGAAACACTCTTTTTGTAGAATCTGCAAGAGGATATTTGAATAGCTTTGAGGATTTCGTGGGAAACGGGATTGTCTTCAGGTAAAATCTAGACAGAAGCATTCTCAGAAACTTCTTTGGGATGTTTGCATTCAAGTCACAGAGTAGAACATTCCCTTTGGTAGAGCAGGTTTGAAACACTCTTTTTGTAGTATCTGGAAGAGGACATTTGGAGCGCTTTCAGGCCTATGTTGGAAAGGGAAATATCTTCCCGTAACAACTAGGCAGAAGCATTCTCTGAAACTTTTTTGAGATGTGTGTACTCAACTAAGAGAATTGAACCACCGTTTTGAAGGAGCAGTTTTGAAACACTCTTTTTCTGGAATCTGCTAGAGGATATTTGCCTAGCTTTGAGGATTTCGTTGGAAACCGCATTGTCTTCAGATAAAATCTAGACAGAAGCATTCTCAGAAACTTCTTTGGGATGTTTGCATTCAAGTCACAGAGTAGAACATTCCCTTTGGTAGAGCAGGTTTGAAACACTCTTTTTTTAGTATATGGAAGTGGACATTTGGAGCGCTTTCAGGCCTACGTTGGAAAAGGAAATATCTTCCCATAACAATTAGACAGAAGCATTCTCAGAAACTAGTTTCTGATGTGTGTCCTCAACTAACACAGTTGAACATTTCTTTAGACAGAACAGTTTTGAAACTCTCTTTTTGTGGAATCTGCAAGTGGCTATTTGGCTAGATGTGAGGATTTCGTTGGAAACGGGATTACATATAAAAAGCAGACAGCAGCATTCTCAGAACGTTCTTTGTGATGATTGCATTCAAGTCACAGAATTGAACATTCCCTTTCACAGAGCAGGTTTGAAACACTCTTTTTGTAGTGTGTGTAAGTGGACATTTGGAGCACTTTCCGGCCTAAGGTGAAAAAGGAAATATCTTCCCATAAAAACTAGACAGAAGCATTCTCAGAAACTTACTCGTGATGTGTGTCCTCAACTAAAGGAGTAGAACCTTTCTTTTCATAGAGAAGTTTTGAAACGCTCTTTTTGTGGAATCTGCAAGTGGATATTTGGCTAGTTTGGAGGATTTCGTTGGAAGCGGGAATTCATACAAATTGCAGACTGCAGCGTTCTGAGAAACATCTTTGTGATGTTTGTATTCAGGACACAGAGTTGAACATTCCCTATCATAGAGCAGGTTTGAATCACTCCTTTTGTAGTATCTGGAAGTGGACATTTGGAGCGCTTTCAGGCCTATGTTGGAAAAGGAAATATCTTCCCATAACAACTAGACAGAAGCATTCTCAGAAACTTATTTGAGATGTGTGTACTCAACTAAGAGAATTGAACCACCGTTTTGAAGGAGCAGTTTTGAAACACTCTTTTTCTGGAATCTGCAAGTGGATATTTGGCTAGCTTTGGGGATTTCGCTGGAAGCGGGAATACATATAAAAAGCACACAGCAGCGTTCTGAGAAACTGCTTTCTGATGTTTGCATTCAAGTCAAAAGTTGAACACTCCCTTTCATAGAGCAGTCCTGAAACACCCCTTTGGTAGTATCTGGAACTGGACTTTTGGAGCGATTTCAGGGCTAAGGTGAAAAAGGAAATATCTTCCCATAAAAACTGGACAGAAGCATTCTCAGAAACTTGTTTATGCTGTATCTACTCAACTAACAAAGTTGAACCTTTCTTTTGATAGAGCAGTTTTGAAATGGTCTTTTTGTGGAATCTGCAAGTGGATATTTGGCTAGTTTTGAGGATTTCGTTGGAAGCGGGAATTCATACAAATTGCAGACTGCAGCGTTCTGAGAAACATCTTTGTGATGTTTGTATTCAGGACACAGAGTTGAACATTCCCTATCATAGAGCAGGTTGGAATCACTCCTTTTGTAGTATCTGGAAGTGGACATTTGGAGCGCTTTCAGGCCTATTTTGGAAAGGGAAATATCTTCCCGTAACAACTATGCAGAAGCATTCTCAGAAACTTGTTTGTGATGTGTGCCCTCTACTGACAGAGTTGAACCTTTCTTTTCATAGAGCAGTTTTGAAACACTCTTTTTGTAGAATCTGCAAGAGGATATTTGCATAGCTTTGAGGATTTCGTGGGAAACGGGATTGTCTTCAGGTAAAATCTAGACAGAAGCATTCTCAGAAACTTCTTTGGGATGTTTGCATTCAAGTCACAGAGTAGAACATTCCCTTTGGTAGAGCAGGTTTGAAACACTCTTTTTGTAGTATCTGGAAGTGGACATTTGGAGCGCTTTCAGGCCCATGTTGGAAAGGGAAATATCTTCCCGTAACAACTAGGCAGAAGCATTCTCAGAAACTTATTTGAGATGTGTGTACTCAACTAAGAGAATTGAACCACCGTTTTGAAGGAGCAGTTTTGAAACACTCTTTTTCTGGAATCTGCAAGAGTATATTTGCCTAGCCTTGAGAATTTCGTTGGAAACGGGATTGTCTTCAGATAAAATCTAGACAGAAGCATTCTCAGAAACTTCTTTGGGATGTTTGCATTCAAGTCACAGAGTAGAACATTCCCTTTGGTAGAGCAGGTTTGAAACACTCTTTTTTTAGTATATGGAAGTGGACATTTGGAGCGCTTTCAGGCCTACGTTGGAAAAGGAAATATCTTCCCATAACAACTAGACAGAAGCATTCTCAGAAACTAGTTTCTGATGTGTGTCCTCAACTAACACAGTTGTACATTTCTTTATACAGAACAGTTTTGAAACACTCTTTTTGTGGAATCTGTAAGTGGATATTGGGCTAGATTTGAGGATTTCGTTGGAAACGGGATTACATATAAAAAGCAGACAGCAGCATTCTCAGAAAGTTCTTTGTGATGATTGCATTCAAGTCACAGAATTGAACATTCCCTTTCACAGAGCAGGTTTGAAACACTCTTTTTGTAGTGTGTGTAAGTGGACATTTGGAGCGCTTTCCGGCCTAAGGTGAAAAAGGACATATCTTCCCATAAAAACTAGACAGAAGCATTCTCAGAAACTTACTCGTGATGTGTGTCCTCAACTAAAGGAGTAGAACCTTTCTATTCATAGAGAAGTTTTGAAACGCTCTTTTTGTGGAATCTGCAAGTGGATATTTGGCTAGTTTTGAGGATTTCGTTGGAAGCGGGAATTCATACAAATTGCAGACTGCAGCGTTCTGAGAAACATCTTTGTGATGTTTGTATTCAGGACACAGAGATGAACATTCCCTATCATAGAGCAGGTTGGAATCACTCCTTTTGTAGTATCTGGAAGTGGACATTTGGAGCGCTTTCAGGCCTATGTTGAAAAAGGAAATATCTTCCCATAACAACTAGACACAAGCATTCTCAGAAACTTATTTGAGATGTGTGTACTCAACTAAGAGAATTGAACCACCGTTTTGAAGGAGCAGTTTTGAAACACTCTTTTTCTGGAATCTGCAAGTGGATATTTGGCTAGCTTTGGGGATTTCGCTGGAAGCGGGAATACATATAAAAAGCACACAGCAGCGTTCTGAGAAACTGCTTTCTGATGTTTGCATTCAAGTCAAAAGTTGAACACTCCCTTTCATAGAGCAGTCCTGAAACACTCCTTTTGTAGTATCTGGAACTGGACTTTTGGAGCGCTTTCAGGGCTAAGGTGAAAAAGGAAATATCTTCCCATAAAAACTGGACAGAAGCATTCTCAGAAACTTGTTTATGCTGTATCTACTCAACTAACAAAGTTGAACCTTTCTTTTGATAGAGCAGTTTTGAAATGCTCTTTTTGTGGAATCTGCAAGTGGATATTTGGCTAGTTTTGAGGATTTCGCTGGAAGCGGGAATTCATACAAATTGCAGACTGCAGCGTTCTGAGAAACATCTTTGTGATGTTTGTATTCAGGACAGAGAGTTGAACATTCCCTATCATAGAGCAGGTTGGAATCACTCCTTTTGTAGTATCTGGAAGTGGACATTTGGAGCGCTTTCAGGCCTATGTTGAAAAAGGAAATATCTTCCCATAACAACTAGACACAAGCATTCTCAGAAACTTGTTTGTGATGTGTGCCCTCTAGTGACAGAGTTGAACCTTTCTTTTCATAGAGCAGTTTTGAAACACTCTTTTTGTAGAATCTGCAAGAGGATATTTGAATAGCTTTGAGGATTTCGTGGGAAACGGGATTGTCTTCAGGTAAAATCTAGACAGAAGCATTCTCAGAAACTTCTTTGGGATGTTTGCATTCAAGTCACAGAGTAGAACATTCCCTTTGGTAGAGCAGGTTTGAAACACTCTTTTTGTAGTATCTGGAAGTGGACATTTGGAGCGCTTTCAGGCCTATGTTGGAAAGGGAAATATCTTCCCGTAACAACTAGGCAGAAGCATTCTCAGAAACTTATTTGAGATGTGTGTACTGAACTAAGAGAATTGAACCACCGTTTTGAAGGAGCAGGTTTGAAACACTCTTTTTGTAGTATCTGGAAGTGGACATTTGGAGCGCTTTCAGGCCTATGTTGGAAAGGGAAATATCTTCCCGTAACAACTAGGCAGAAGCATTCTCAGAAACTTATTTGAGATGTGTGTACTCAACTAAGAGAATTGAACCACCGTTTTGAAGGAGCAGTTTTGAAACACTCTTTTTCTGGAATCTGCAAGAGGATATTTGCATAGATTTGAGGATTTCGTTGGCAACGGGATTGTCTTCAGATCCAATCTAGACAGAAGCATTCTCAGAAACTTCTTTGGGATGTTTGCATTCAAGTCACAGAGTAGAACATTCCCTTTGGTAGAGCAGGTTTGAAACACTCTTTTTTTAGTATATGGAAGTGGACATTTGGAGCGCTTTCAGGCCTACGTTGGAAAAGGAAATATCTTCCCATAACAACTAGACAGAAGCATTCTCAGAAACTAGTTTCTGATGTGTGTCCTCAACTAACACAGTTGAACATTTCTTTAGACAGAACAGTTTTGAAACACTCTCTTTGTGGAATCTGCAAGTGGATATTTGGCTAGATTTGAGGATTTCGTTGGAAACGGGATTACATATAAAAAGCAGACAGCAGCATTCTCAGAAACTTCTTTGTGATGATTGCATTCAAGTCACAGAATTGAACATTCCCTTCCACAGAGCAGGTTTGAAACACTCTTTTTGTAGTGTGTGTAAGTGGACATTTGGAGCGCTTTCCGGCCTAAGGTGAACAAGGAAATATCTTCCCATAAAAACTAGACAGAAGTATTCTCAGAAACTTACTCGTGATGTGTGTCCTCAACTAAAGGAGTAGAACCTTTCTTTTCATAGAGAAGTTTTGAAACGCTCTTTTTGTGGAATCTGCAAGTGGATATTTGGCTAGTTTTGAGGATTTCGTTGGAAGCGGGAATTCATACAAATTGCAGACTGCAGCGTTCTGAGAAACATCTTTGTGATGTTTGTATTCAGGACACAGAGTTGAACGTTCCCTATCATAGAGCAGGTTTGAATCACTCCTTTTGTAGTATCTGGAAGTGGACATTTGGAGCGCTTTCCGGCCTCAGGTGAAAAAGGAAATATCTTCCCATAAAAACTAGACAGAAGCATTCTCAGAAACTTACTCGTGATGTGTGTCCTCAACTAAAGGGGTAGAACCTTTCTTTTCATAGAGCAGTTTTGAAACACTCTTTTTGTAGAATCTGCAAGTGGATATTTCGATAGCTTTGTGGATTTCGTTGGAAACGGGAATATCTTCATATAAAATCTAGAGAGAAGCATTCTCAGAAACTTATTTGTGATGTGTGTCCTCAACTGACAGAGTTGAACATTTCTTTTGAGAGAGCAGTTTTGAAACACTCTTTTTGTGGAATCTGCAAGTGGATATTTGGCTGGCTTTGAGGATTTCGTTGGAAACGGGAATACATATAAAAAGCAGACAGCAGCATTCTCAGAAAGTTCTTTGTGATGATTGCATTCAAGTCACAGAATTGAACATTCCCTTTCACAGAGCAGGTTTGAAACACTCTTTTTGTAGTGTGTGTAAGTGGACATTTGGAGCGCTTTCCGGCCTAAGGTGAAAAAGGACATATCTTCCCATAAAAACTAGACAGAAGCATTCTCAGAAACTTACTCGTGATGTGTGTACTCAACTAAAGGAGTAGAACCTTTCTTTTCATAGAGAAGTTTTGAAACGCTCTTTTTGTGGAATCTGCAAGTGGATATTTGGCTAGTTTTGAGGATTTCGTTGGAAGCGGGAATTCATCCAAATTGCAGACTGCAGCGTTCTGAGAAACATCTTTGTGATGTTTGTATTCAGGACACAGAGTTGAACATTCCCTATCATAGAGCAGGTTTGAATCACTCCTTTTGTAGTATCTGGAAGTGTCCATTTGGAGCCCTTTCAGGCCTATGTTGGAAAAGGAAATATCTTCCCATAACAAATAGACAGAAGCATTCTCAGAAACTTATTTGAGATGTGTGTACTCAACTAAGAGAATTGAACCACCGTTTTGAAGGAGCAGTTTTGAAACACTCTTTTTCTGGAAGCTGCAAGTGGCTATTTGGCTAGCTTTGGGGATTTCGCTGGAAGCGGGAATACATATAAAAAGCACACAGCAGCGTTCTGAGAAACTGCTTTCTGATGTTTGCATTCAAGTCAAAAGTTGAACACTCCCTTTCATAGAGCAGTCTTGAAACACCCCTTTTGTAGTATCTGGAACTGGACTTTTGGAGCGATTTCAGGGCTAAGGTGAAAAAGGAAATATCTTCCCATAAAAACTGGACAGAAGCATTCTCAGAAACTTGTTTATGCTGTATCTACTCAACTAACAAAGTTGAACCTTTCTTTTGATAGAGCAGTTTTGAAATGGTCTTTTTGTGGAATCTGCAAGTGGATATTTGGCTAGTTTTGAGGATTTCGTTGGAAGCGGGAATTCATACGAATTGCAGACTGCAGCGTTCTGAGAAACATCTTTGTGATGTTTGTATTCAGGACACAGAGTTGAACATTCCCTATCATAGAGCAGGTTGGAATCACTCCTTTTGTAGTATCTGGAAGTGGACATTTGGAGCGCTTTCAGGCCTATTTTGGAAAGGGAAATATCTTCCCGTAACAACTATGCAGAAGCATTCTCAGAAACTTGTTTGTGATGTGTGCCCTCTACTGACAGAGTTGAACCTTTCTTTTCATAGAGCAGTTTTGAAACACTCTTTTTGTAGAATCTGCAAGAGGATATTTGCATAGCTTTGAGGATTTCGTGGGAAACGGGATTGTCTTCAGGTAAAATCTAGACAGAAGCGTTCTGAGAAACATCTTTGTGATGTTTGTATTCAGGACACAGAGTTGAACATTCCCTATCATAGAGCAGGTTTGAAACACTCTTTTTGTAGTATCTGGAAGTGGACATTTGGAGCGCTTTCAGGCCTATGTTGGAAAGGGAAATATCTTCCCGTAACAACTAGGCAGAAGCATTCTCAGAAACTTATTTGAGATGTGTGTACTCAACTAAGAGAATTGAACCACCGTTTTGAAGGAGCAGTTTTGAAACACTCTTTTTCTGGAATCTGCAAGAGTATATTTGCCTAGCCTTGAGGATTTCGTTGGAAACGGGATTGTCTTCAGAGAAAATCTAGACAGAAGCATTCTCAGAAACTTCTTTGGGATGTTTGCATTCAAGTCACAGAGTAGAACATTCCCTTTGGTAGAGCAGGTTTGAAACACTCTTTTTTTAGTATATGGAAGTGGACATTTGGAGCGCTTTCAGGCCTACGTTGGAAAAGGAAATATCTTCCCATAACAACTAGACAGAAGCATTCTCAGAAACTAGTTTCTGATGTGTGTCCTCAACTAACACAGTTGAACATTTCTTTAGACAGAACAGTTTTGAAACACTCTTTTTGTGGAATCTGCAAGTGGCTATTTGGCTAGATTTGAGGATTTCGTTGGAAACGGGATTACATATAAAAAGCAGTCAGCAGCATTCTCAGAAAGTTCTTTGTGATGATTGCATTCAAGTCACAGAATTGAACATTCCCTTTCACAGAGCAGGTTTGAAACACTCTTTTTGTAGTGTGTGTAAGTGGACATTTGGAGCGCTTTCCGGCCTAAGGTGAAAAAGGACATATCTTCCCATAAAAACTAGACAGAAGCATTCTCAGAAACTTACTCGTGATGTGTGTCCTCAACTAAAGGAGTAGAACCTTTCTTTTCATAGAGAAGTTTTGAAACGCTCTTTTTGTGGAATCTGCAAGTGGATATTTGGCTAGTTTTGAGGATTTCGTTGGAAGCGGGAATTCATACAAATTGCAGACTGCAGCGTTCTGAGAAACATCTTTGTGATGTTTGTATTCAGGACACAGAGTTGAACGTTCCCTATCATAGAGCAGGTTTGAATCACTCCTTTTGTAGTATCTGGAAGTGGACATTTGGAGCGCTTTCCGGCCTCAGGTGAAAAAGGAAATATCTTCCCATAAAAACTAGACAGAAGCATTCTCAGAAACTTATTTGAGATGTGTGTACTCAACTAAGAGAATTGAACCACCGTTTTGAAGGAGCAGTTTTGAAACACTCTTTTTCTGGAATCTGCAAGTGGATATTTGGCTAGCTTTGGGGATTTCGCTGGAAGCGGGAATACATATAAAAAGCACACAGCAGCGTTCTGAGAAACTGCTTTCTGATGTTTGCATTCAAGTCAAAAGTTGAACACTCCCTTTCATAGAGCAGTCCTGAAACACTCCTTTTGTAGTATCTGGAACTGGACTTTTGGAGCGCTTTCAGGGCTAAGGTGAAAAAGGAAATATCTTCCCATAAAAACTGGACAGAAGCATTCTCAGAAACTTGTTTATGCTGTATCTACTCAACTAACAAAGTTGAACCTTTCTTTTGATAGAGCAGTTTTGAAATGCTCTTTTTGTGGAATCTGCAAGTGGATATTTGGCTAGTTTTGAGGATTTCGTTGGAAGCGGGAATTCATACAAATTGCAGACTGCAGCGTTCTGAGAAACATCTTTGTGATGTTTGTATTCAGGACACAGAGTTGAACATTCCCTATCATAGAGCAGGTTGGGATCACTCCTTTTGTAGTATCTGGAAGTGGACATTTGGAGCGCTTTCAGGCCTATGTTGAAAAAGGAAAAATCTTCCCATAACAACTAGACAGAAGCATTCTCAGAAACTTGTTGGTGATGTGTTTCCTCTACTGACAGAGTTGAACCTTTCTTTTCATAGAGCAGTTTCGAAACACTCTTTTTGTAGAATCTGCAAGAGGATATTTGCATAGCTCTGAGGATTTCGTGGGAAACGGGATTGTCTTCAGGTAAAATCTAGACAGAAGCATTCTCAGAAACTTCTTCGGGATGTTTGCATTCAAGTCACAGAGTAGAACATTCCCTTTGGTAGAGCAGGTTTGAAACACTCTTTTTGTAGTATCTGGAAGTGGACATTTGTTGCGCTTTCAGGCCTATGTTGGAAACGGAAATATCTTCCCGTAACAACTAGGCAGAAGCATTCTCAGAAACTTATTTGAGATGTGTGTACTCAACTAAGAGAATTGAACCACCGTTTTGAAGGAGCAGTTTGGAAACACTCTTTTTCTGGAATCTGCAAGAGGATATTTGCCTAGCTTTGAGGATTTCGTTGGAAAAGGGATTGTCTTCAGATCAAATCTAGACAGAAGCATTCTCAGAAACTTCTTTGGGATGTTTGCATTCAAGTCACAGAGTAGAACATTCCTTTGGTAGAGCAGGTTTGAAACACTCTTTTTTTAGTATATGGAAGTGCACATTTGGAGCGCTTTCAGGCCTACGTTGGAAAAGGAAATATCTTCCCATAACAACTAGACAGAAGCTTTCTCAGAAACTAGTTTCTGATGTGTGTCCTCAACTAACACAGTTGAACATTTCTTTAGACAGAACAGTTTTGAAACACTCTTTTTGTGGAATCTGCAAGTGGATATTTGGCTAGATTTGAGGATTTCGTTGGAAACGGGATTACATATAAAAAGCAGACAGCAGCATTCTCAGAAACTTCTTTTTGATGATTGCATTCAAGTCACAGAATTGAACATTCCCTTTCACAGAGCAGGTTTGAAACACTCTTTTTGTAGTGTGTGTAAGTGGACATTTGGAGCGCTTTCCGGCCTAAGGTGAACAAGGAAATATCTTCCCATAAAAACTAGACAGAAGCATTCTCAGAAACTTACTCGTGATGTGTGTCCTCAACTAAAGGAGTAGAACCTTTCTTTTCATAGAGAAGTTTTGAAACGCTCTTTTTGTGGAATCTGCAAGTGGATATTTGGCTAGTTTGGAGGATTTCGTTGGAAGCGGGAATTCATACAAGATGCAGACTGCAGCGTTCTGAGAAACATCTTTGTGATGTTTGTATTCAGGACACAGAGTTGAACATTCCCTATCATAGAGCAGGTTTGAATCACTCCTTTTGTAGTATCTGGAAGTGGACATTTGGAGCGCTTTCAGGCCTATGTTGGAAAAGGAAATATCTTCCCATAACAACTAGACAGAAGCATTCCCAAAAACTTATTTGAGATGTGTGTACTCAACTATGAGAATTGAACCACCGTTTTGAAGGAGCAGTTTGGAAACACTCTTTTTCTGGAATCTGCAAGTGGATATTTGGCTAGCTTTGGGGATTTCGCTGGAAGCGGGAATATATATAAAAAGCACACAGCAGCGTTCTGAGAAACTGCTTTCTGATGTTTGCATTCAAGTCAAAAGTTGAACACTCCCTTTCATAGAGCAGTCTTGAAACACCCCTTTTGTAGTATCTGGAACTGGACTTTTGGAGCGATTTCAGGGCTAAGGTGAAAAAGGAAATATCTTCCCATAAAAACTGGACAGAAGCATTCTCCTAAACTTGTTTATGCTGTATCTACTCAACTAACAAAGTTGAACCTTTCTTTTGATAGAGCAGTTTTGAAATGCTCTTTTTGTGGAATCTGCAAGTGGATATTTGGCTAGTTTTGAGGATTTCGTTGGAAGCGGGAATTCATACAAATTGCAGACTGCAGCGTTCTGAGAAACATCTTTGTGATGTTTGTATTCAGGACACAGAGTTGAACATTCCCTATCATAGAGCAGGTTGGAATCACTCCTTTTGTAGTATCTGGAAGTGGACATTTGGAGCGCTTTCAGGCCTATTTTGGAAAGGGAAATATCTTCCCGTAACAACTATGCAGAAGCATTCTCAGAAACTTGTTTGTGATGTGTGCCCTCTACTGACAGAGTTGAACCTTTCTTTTCATAGAGCAGTTTTGAAACACTCTTTTTGTAGAATCTGCAAGAGGATATTTGCATAGCTTTGAGGATTTCGTGGGAAACGGGATTGTCTTCAGGTAAAATCTAGACAGAAGCATTCTCAGAAACTAGTTTGGGATGTTTGCATTCAAGTCACAGAGTAGAACATTCCCTTTGGTAGAGCAGGTTTGAAACCCTCTTTTTGTAGTATCTGGAAGTGGACATTTGGAGCGCTTTCAGGCCCATGTTGGAAAGGGAAATATCTTCCCGTAACAACTAGGCAGAAGCATTCTCAGAAACTTATTTGAGATGTGTGTACTCAACTAAGAGAATTGAACCACCGTTTTGAAGGAGCAGTTTTGAAACACTCTTTTTCTGGAATCTGCAAGAGTATATTTGCCTAGCCTTGAGGATTTCGTTGGAAACGGGATTGTCTTCAGAGAAAATCTAGACAGAAGCATTCTCAGAAACTTCTTTGGGATGTTTGCATTCAAGTCACAGAGTAGAACATTCCCTTTGGTAGAGCAGGTTTGAAACACTCTTTTTTTAGTATATGGAAGTGGACATTTGGAGCACTTTCAGGCCTACGTTGGAAAAGGAAATATCTTCCCATAACAACTAGACAGAGAGCATTCTCAGAAACTAGTTTCTGATGTGTGTCCTCAACTAACACAGTTGTACATTTCTTTAGACAGAACAGTTTTGAAACACTCTTTTTGTGGAATCTGCAAGTGGATATTGGGCTAGATTTGAGGATTTCGTTGGAAACGGGATTACATATAAAAAGCAGTCAGCAGCATTCTCAGAATGTTCTTTGTGATGATTGCATTCAAGTCACAGAATTGAACATTCCCTTTCACAGAGCAGGTTTGAAACCCTCTTTTTGTAGTGTGTGTAAGTGGACATTTGGAGCGCTTTCCGGCCTAAGGTGAAAAAGGAAATATCTTCCCATAAAAACTAGACAGAAGCATTCTCAGAAACTTACTCGTGATGTGTGTCCTCAACTAAAGGAGTAGAACCTTTCTATTCATAGAGAAGTTTTGAAACGCTCTTTTTGTGGAATCTCCAAGTGGATATTTGGCTAGTTTTGAGGATTTCGTTGGAAGCGGGAATTCATACAAATTGCAGACTGCAGCGTTCTGAGAAACATCTTTGTGATGTTTGTATTCAGGACACAGAGTTGAACATTCCCTATCATAGAGCAGGTTGGAATCACTCCTTTTGTAGTATCTGGAAGTGGACATTTGGAGCGCTTTCAGGCCTATGTTGATAAAGGAAATATCTTCCCATAACAACTAGACACAAGCATTCTCAGAAACTTGTTTGTGATGTGTGCCCTCTACTGACAGAGTTGAACCTTTCTTTTCATAGAGCAGTTTTGAAACACTCTTTTTGTAGAATCTGCAAGAGGATATTTGCATAGCTTTGAGGATTTCGTGGGAAACGGGATTGTCTTCAGGTAAAATCTAGACAGAAGCATTCTCAGAAACTTCTTTGGGATGTTTGCATTCAAGTCACAGAGTAGAACATTCCCTTTGGTAGAGCAGGTTTGAAACACTCTTTTTGTAGTATCTGGAAGTGGACATTTGGAGCGCTTTCAGGCCTATGTTGGAAAGGGAAATATCTTCCCGTAACAACTAGGCAGAAGCATTCTCAGAAACTTATTTGAGATGTGTGTACTCAACTAAGAGAATTGAACCACCGTTTTGAAGGAGCAGTTTTGAAACACTCTTTTTCTGGAATCTGCAAGAGGATATTTGCCTAGCCTTGAGGATTTCGTTGGAAACGGGATTGTCTTCAGATCAAATCTAGACAGAAGCATTCTCAGAAACTTCTTTGGGATGTTTGCATTCAAGTCACAGAGTAGAACATTCCCTTTGGTAGAGCAGGTTTGAAACACTCTTTTTTTAGTATATGGAAGTGGACATTTGGAGCGCTTTCAGGCCTACGTTGGAAAAGGAAATATCTTCCCATAACAACTAGACAGAAGCATTCTCAGAAACTAGTTTCTGATGTGTGTCCTCAACTAACACAGTTGAACATTTCTTTAGACAGAACAGTTTTGAAACACTCTTTTTGTGGAATCTGCAAGTGGCTATTTGGCTAGATTTGAGGATTTCGTTGGAAACGGGATTACATATAAAAAGCAGACAGCAGCATTCTCAGAAAGTTCTTTGTGATGATTGCATTCAAGTCACAGAATTGAACATTCCCTTTCACAGAGCAGGTTTGAAACACTCTTTTTGTAGTGTGTGTAAGTGGACATTTGGAGCACTTTCCGGCCTAAGGTGAAAAAGGGAAATATCTTCCCATAAAAACTAGACAGAAGCATTCTCAGAAACTTACTCGTGATGTGTGTCCTCAACTAAAGGAGTAGAACCTTTCTTTTCATAGAGAAGTTTTGAAACGCTCTTTTTGTGGAATCTGCAAGTGGATATTTGGCTAGTTTTGAGGATTTCGTTGGAAGCGGGAATTCATACAAATTGCAGACTGCAGCGTTCTGAGAAACATCTTTGTGATGTTTGTATTCAGGACATAGAGTTGAACATTCCCTATCATAGAGCAGGTTGGAATCACTCCTTTTGTAGTATCTGGAAGTGGACATTTGGAGCGCTTTCAGGCCTATGTTGAAAAAGGAAATATCTTCCCATAACAACTAGACACAAGCATTCTCAGAAACTTGTTTGTGATGTGTGCCCTCTACTGACAGAGTTGAACCTTTCTTTTCATAGAGCAGTTTTGAAACACTCTTTTTGTAGAATCTGCAAGAGGATATTTGCATAGCTTTGAGGATTTCGTGGGAAACGGGATTGTCTTCAGGTAAAATCTAGACAGAAGCATTCTCAGAAACTTCTTTGGGATGTTTGCATTCAAGTCACAGAGTAGAACATTCCCTTTGGTAGAGCAGGTTTGAAACACTCTTTTTGTAGTATCTGGAAGTGGACATTAGGAGCGCTTTCAGGCCCATGTTGGAAAGGGAAATATCTTCCCGTAACAACTAGGCAGAAGCATTCTCAGAAACATATTTGAGATGTGTGTACTCAACTAAGAGAATTGAACCACCGTTTTGAAGGAGCAGTTTTGAAACACTCTTTTTCTGGAATCTGCAAGAGTATATTTGCCTAGCCTTGAGGATTTCGTTGGAAACGGGATTGTCTTCAGATAAAATGTAGACAGAAGCATTCTCAGAAACTTCTTTGGGATGTTTGCATTCAAGTCACAGAGTAGAACATTCCCTTTGGTAGAGCAGGTTTGAAACAATCTTTTTTTCGTATATGGAAGTGGACATTTGGAGCGCTTTCAGGCCTACGTTGGAAAAGGAAATATCTTCCCATAACAACTAGACAGAAGCATTCTCAGAAACTAGTTTCTGATGTGTGTCCTCAACTAACACAGTTGAACATTTCTTTAGACAGAACAGTTTTGAAACACTCTTTTTGTGGAATCTGCAAGTGGCTATTTGGCTAGATTTGAGGATTTCGTTGGAAACGGGATTACATATAAAAAGCAGTCAGCAGCATTCTCAGAAAGTTCTTTGTGATGATTGCATTCAAGTCACAGAATTGAACATTCCCTTTCACAGAGCAGGTTTGAAACACTCTTTTTGTAGTGTGTGTAAGTGGACATTTGGAGCGCTTTCCGGCCTAAGGTGAAAAAGGAAATATCTTCCCATAAAAACTAGACAGAAGCATTCTCAGAAACTTACTCGTGATGTGTGTCCTCAACTAAAGGAGTAGAACCTTTCTTTTCATAGAGAAGTTTTGAAACGCTCTTTTTGTGGAATCTGCAAGTGGATATTTGGCTAGTTTTGAGGATTTCGTTGGAAGCGGGAATTCATACAAATTGCAGACTGCAGCGTTCTGAGAAACATCTTTGTGATGTTTGTATTCAGGACACAGAGTTGAACATCCCCTATCATAGAGCAGGTTTGAATCACTCCTTTTGTAGTATCTCGAAGTGGACATTTGGAGCGCTTTCAGGCCTATGTTGGAAAAGGAAATATCTTCCCATAACAACTAGACAGAAGCATTCTCAGAAACTTATTTGAGATGTGTGTACTCAACTAAGAGAATTGAACCACCGTTTTGAAGGAGCAGTTTTGAAACACTCTTTTTCTGGAATCTGCAAGTGGCTATTTGGCTAGCTTTGGGGATTTCGCTGGAAGCGGGAATACATATAAAAAGCACACAGCAGCGTTCTGAGAAACTGCTTTCTGATGTTTGCATTCAAGTCAAAAGTTGAACACTCCCTTTCATAGTGCAGTCCTGAAACACTCCTTTTGTAGTATCTGGAACTGGACTTTTGGAGCGCTTTCAGGGCTAAGGTGAGAAAGGAAATATCTTCCCATAAAAACTGGACAGAAGCATTCTCAGAAACTTGTTTATGCTGTATCTACTCAACTAACAAAGTTGAACCTTTCTTTTGATAGAGCAGTTTTGAAATGCTCTTTTTGTGGAATCTGCAAGTGGATATTTGGCTAGTTTTGAGGATTTCGTTGGAAGCGGGAATTCATACAAATTGCAGACTGCAGCGTTCTGAGAAACATCTTTGTGATGTTTGTATTCAGGACAGAGAGTTGAACATTCCCTATCATAGAGCAGGTTGGAATCACTCCTTTTGTAGTATCTGGAAGTGGACATTTGGAGCGCTTTCAGGCCTATGTTGAAAAAGGAAATATCTTCCCATAACAACTAGACACAAGCATTCTCAGAAACTTGTTTGTGATGTGTGCCCTCTACTGACAGAGTTGAACCTTTCTTTTCATAGAGCAGTTTTGAAACACTCTTTTTGTAGAATCTGCAAGAGGATATTTGCATAGCTTTGAGGATTTCGTGGGAAACGGGATTGTCTTCAGGTAAAATCTAGACAGAAGCATTCTCAGAAACTTCTTTGGGATGTTTGCATTCAAGTCACAGAGTAGAACATTCCCTTTGGTAGAGCAGGTTTGAAACACTCTTTTTGTAGTATCTGGAAGTGGACATTTGGAGTGCTTTCAGGCCTATGTTGGAATGGGAAATATCTTCCCGTAACAACTAGGCAGAAGCATTCTCAGAAACTTATTTGAGATGTGTGTACTCAACTAAGAGAATTGAACCACCGTTTTGAAGGAGCAGTTTTGAAACACTCTTTTTCTGGAATCTGCAAGAGGATATTTGCCTAGCCTTGAGGATTTCGTTGGAAACGGGATTGTCTTCAGATCAAATCTAGACAGAAGCATTCTCAGAAACTTCTTTGGGATGTTTGCATTCAAGTCACAGAGTAGAACATTCCCTTTGGTAGAGCAGGTTTGAAACACTCTTTTTTTAGTATATGGAAGTGGACATTTGGAGCGCTTTCAGGCCTACGTTGGAAAAGGAAATATCTTCCCATAACAACTAGACAGAAGCATTCTCAGAAACTAGTTTCTGATGTGTGTCCTCAACTAACACATTTGAACATTTCTTTAGACAGAACAGTTTTGAAACACTCTTTTTGTGGAATCTGCAAGTGGCTATTTTGCTAGATTTGAGGATTTCGTTGGAAACGGGATTACATATAAAAAGCAGACAGCAGCATTCTCAGAAAGTTCTTTGTGATGATTGCATTCAAGTCACAGAATTGAACATTCCCTTTCACAGAGCAGGTTTGAAACACTCTTTTTGTAGTGTGTGTAAGTGGACATTTGGAGCACTTTCCGGCCTAAGGTGAAAAAGGAAATATCTTCCCATAAAAACTAGACAGAAGCATTCTCAGAAACTTACTCGTGATGTGTGTCCTCAACTAAAGGAGTAGAACCTTTCTTTTCATAGAGAAGTTTTGAAACGCTCTTTTTGTGGAATCTGCAAGTGGATATTTGGCTAGTTTTGAGGATTTCGTTGGAAGCGGGAATTCATACAAATTGCAGACTGCAGCGTTCTGAGAAACATCTTTGTGATGTTTGTATTCAGGACACAGAGTTGAACATTCCCTATCATAGAGCAGGTTTGAATCACTCCTTTTGTAGTATCTGGAAGTGGACATTTGGAGCGCTTTCAGGCCTATGTTGGAAAAGGAAATATCTTCCCATAACAACTAGACAGAAGCATTCTCAGAAACTTATTTGAGATGTGTGTACTCAACTAAGAGAATTGAACCACCGTTTTGAAGGAGCAGTTTTGAAACACTCTTTTTCTGGAATCTGCAAGTGGATATTTGGCTAGCTTTGGGGATTTCGCTGGATGCGGGAATACATATAAAAAGCACACAGCAGCGTTCTGAGAAACTGCTTTCTGATGTTTGCATTCAAGTCAAAAGTTGAACACTCCCTTTCATAGAGCAGTCCTGAAACACTCCTTTTGTAGTATCTGGAACTGGACTTTTGGAGCGCTTTCAGGGCTAAGGTGAAAAAGGAAATATCTTCCCATAAAAACTGGACAGAAGCATTCTCAGAAACTTTTTTATGCTGTATCTACTCAACTAACAAAGTTGAACCTTTCTTTTGATAGAGCAGTTTTGAAATGCTCTTTTTGTGGAATCTGCAAGTGGATATTTGGCTAGTTTTGAGGATTTCGTTGGAAGCGGGAATTCATACAAATTGCAGACTGCAGCGTTCTGAGAAACATCTTTGTGATGTTTGTATTCAGGACACAGAGTTGAACATTCCCTATCATAGAGCAGGTTGGAATCACTCCTTTTGTAGTATCTGGAAGTGGACATTTGGAGCGCTTTCAGGCCTATTTTGGAAAGGGAAATATCTTCCCGTAACAACTATGCAGAAGCATTCTCAGAAACTTGTTTGTGATGTGTGCCCTCTACTGACAGAGTTGAACCTTTCTTTTCATAGAGCAGTTTTGAAACACTCTTTTTGTAGAATCTGCAAGAGGATATTTGCATAGCTTTGAGGATTTCGTGGGAAACGGGATTGTCTTCAGGTAAAATCTAGACAGAAGCATTCTCAGAAACTTCTTTGGGATGTTTGCATTCAAGTCACAGAGTAGAACATTCCCTTTGGTAGAGCAGGTTTGAAACACTCTTTTTGTAGTATCTGGAAGTGGACATTTGGAGCGCTTTCAGGCCCATGTTGGAAAGGGAAATATCTTCCCGTAACAACTAGGCAGAAGCATTCTCAGAAACTTATTTGAGATGTGTGTACTCAACTAAGAGAATTGAACCACCGTTTTGAAGGAGCAGTTTTGAAACACTCTTTTTCTGGAATCTGCAAGAGGATATTTGCCTAGCTTTGAGGATTTCGTTGGAAACGGGATTGTCTTCAGATCAAATCTAGACAGAAGCATTCTCAGAAAATTCTTTGGGATGTTTGCATTCAAGTCACAGAGTAGAACATTCCCTTTGGTAGAGCAGGTTTGAAACACTCTTTTTTTAGTATATGGAAGTGGACATTTGGAGCGCTTTCAGGCCTACGTTGGAAAAGGAAATATCTTCCCATAACAATTAGACAGAAGCATTCTCAGAAACTAGTTTCTGATGTGTGTCCTCAACTAACACAGTTGAACATTTCTTTAGACAGAACAGTTTTGAAACTCTCTTTTTGTGGAATCTGCAAGTGGCTATTTGGCTAGATTTGAGGATTTCGTTGGAAACGGGATTACATATAAAAAGCAGACAGCAGCATTCTCAGAACGTTCTTTGTGATGATTGCATTCAAGTCACAGAATTGAACATTCCCTTTCACAGAGCAGTTTTGAAACACTCTTTTTGTAGTGTGTGTAAGTGGACATTTGGAGCACTTTCCGGCCTAAGGTGAAAAAGGAAATATCTTCCCATAAAAACTAGACAGAAGCATTCTCAGAAACTTACTCGTGATGTGTGTCCTCAACTAAAGGAGTAGAACCTTTCTTTTCATAGAGAAGTTTTGAAACGCTCTTTTTGTGGAATCTGCAAGTGGATATTTGGCTAGTTTTGAGGATTTCGTTGGAAGCGGGAATTCATACAAATTGCAGACTGCAGCGTTCTGAGAAACTGCTTTCTGATGTTTGCATTCAAGTCAAAAGTTGAACACCCCCTTTCATAGAGCAGTCTTGAAACACCCCTTTTGTAGTATCTGGAACTGGACATTTGGAGCGCTTTCAGGGCAAAGGTGAAAAAGGAAATATCTTCCCATAAAAACTGGACAGAAGCATTCTCAGAAACTTATTTGAGATGTGTGTACTCAACTAAGAGAATTGAACAACCGTTTTGAAGGAGCAGTTTTGAAACACTCTTTTTCTGGAATCTGCAAGTGGATATTTGGCTAGCTTTGGGGATTTCGCTGGAAGCGGGAATACATATAAAAAGCACACAGCAGCGTTCTGAGAAACTGCTTTCTGATGTTTGCATTCAAGTCAAAAGTTGAACACTCCCTTTCATAGAGCAGTCCTGAAACACTCCTTTTGTAGTATCTGGAACTGGACTTTTGGAGCGCTTTCAGGGCTAAGGTGAAAAAGGAAATATCTTCCCATAAAAACTGGACAGAAGCATTCTCAGAAACTTGTTTATGCTGTATCTACTCAACTAACAAAGTTGAACCTTTCTTTTGATAGAGCAGTTTTGAAATGCTCTTTTTGTGGAATCTGCAAGTGGATATTTGGCTAGTTTTGAGGATTTCGCTGGAAGCGGGAATTCATACAAATTGCAGACTGCAGCGTTCTGTGAAACATCTTTGTGATGTTTGTATTCAGGACAGAGAGTTGAACATTCCCTATCATAGAGCAGGTTGGAATCACTCCTTTTGTAGTATCTGGAAGTGGACATTTGGAGCGCTTTCAGGCCTATGTTGAAAAAGGAAATATCTTCCCATAACAACTAGACACAAGCATTCTCAGAAACTTATTTGAGATGTGTGTACTCAACTAAGAGAATTGAACCACCGTTTTGAAGGAGCAGTTTTGAAACACTCTTTTTCTGGAATCTGCAAGTGGATATTTGGCTAGCTTTGGGGATTTCGCTGGAAGCGGGAATACATATAAAAAGCACACAGCAGCGTTCTGAGAAACTGCTTTCTGATGTTTGCATTCAAGTCAAAAGTTGAACACTCCCTTTCATAGAGCAGTCCTGAAACACTCCTTTGGTAGTATCTGGAACTGGACTTTTGGAGCGCTTTCAGGGCTAAGGTGAAAAAGGAAATATCTTCCCATAAAAACTGGACAGAAGCATTCTCAGAAACTTGTTTATGCTGTATCTACTCAACTAACAAAGTTGAACCTTTCTTTTGATAGAGCAGTTTTGAAATGCTCTTTTTGTGGAATCTGCAAGTGGATATTTGGCTAGTTTTGAGGATTTCGTTGGAAGCGGGAATTCATACAAATTGCAGACTGCAGCGTTCTGAGAAACGTCTTTGTGATGTTTGTATTCAGGACACAGAGTTGAACATTCCCTATCATAGAGAAGGCTGGAATCACTCCTTTTGTAGTATCTGGAAGTCGACATTTGGAGCGCTTTCAGGCCTATGTTGAAAAAGGAAATATCTTCCCATAACAACTAGGCAGAAGCATTCTCAGAAACTTGTTTGTGATGTGTGCCCTCTACTGACACAGTTGAACCTTTCTTTTCATAGAGCAGTTTCGAAACACTCTTTTTGTAGAATCTGCAAGAGGATATTTGCATAGCTTTGAGGATTTCGTGGGAAACGGGATTGTCTTCAGGTAAAATCTAGACAGAAGCATTCTCAGAAACTTCTTTGGGATGTTTGCATTCAAGTCACAGAGTAGAACATTCCCTTTGGTAGAGCAGGTTTGAAACACTCTTTTTGTAGTGTGTGTAAGTGGACATTTGGAGCGCTTTCTGGCCTACGTTGGAAAAGGAAATATCTTCCCATAACAACTAGACAGAAGCATTCTCAGAAACTAGTTTCTGATGTGTGTCCTCAACTAACACAGTTGAACATTTCTTTAGACAGAACAGTTTTGAAACACTCTTTTTGTGGAATCTGCAAGTGGATATTTGGCTACATTTGAGGATTTCGTTGGAAACGGGATTACATATAAAAAGCAGACAGCAGCATTCTCAGAAACTTCTTTGTGATGATTGCATTCAAGTCACAGAATTGAACATTCCCTTTCACAGAGCAGGTTTGAAACACTCTTTTTGTAGTGTGTGTAAGTGGACATTTGGAGCGCTTTCCGGCCTAAGGTGAACAAGGAAATATCTTCCCATAAAAACTAGACAGAAGCATTCTCAGAAACTTACTCGTGATGTGTGTCCTCAACTAAAGGAGTAGAACCTTTCTTTTCATAGAGAAGTTTTGAAACGCTCTTTTTGTGGAATCTGCAAGTGGATATTTGGCTAGTTTGGAGGATTTCGTTGGAAGCGGGAATTCATACAAGATGCAGACTGCAGCGTTCTGAGAAACATCTTTGTGATGTTTGTATTCAGGACACAGAGTTGAACATTCCCTATCATAGAGCAGGTTTGAATCACTCCTTTTGTAGTATCTGGAAGTGGACATTTGGAGCGCTTTCAGGCCTATGTTGGAAAAGGAAATATCTTCCCATAACAACTAGACAGAAGCATTCCCAGAAACTTATTTGAGATGTGTGTACTCAACTAAGAGAATTGAACCACCGTTTTGAAGGAGCAGTTTGGAAACACTCTTTTTCTGGAATCTGCAAGTGGATATTTGGCTAGCTTTGGGGATTTCGCTGGAAGCGGGAATACATATAAAAAGCACACAGCAGCGTTCTGAGAAACTGCTTTCTGATGTTTGCATTCAAGTCAAAAGTTGAACACTCCCTTTCATAGAGCAGTCTTGAAACACCCCTTTTGTAGTATCTGGAACTGGAAATTTGGAGCGCCTTCAGGGCTAAGGTGAAAAAGGAAATATCTTCCCATAAAAACTGGACAGAAGCATTCTCAGAAACTTGTTTATGCTGTATCTACTCAACTAACAAAGTTGAACCTTTCTTTTGATAGAGCAGTTTTGAAATGCTCTTTTTGTGGAATCTGCAAGTGGATATTTGGCTAGTTTTGAGGATTTCGTTGGAAGCGGGAATTCATACAAATTGCAGACTGCAGCGTTCTGAGAAACATCTTTGTGATGTTTGTATTCAGGACAGAGAGTTGAACATTCCCTATCATAGAGCAGGTTGGAATCACTCCTTTTGTAGTATCTGGAAGTGGACATTTGGAGCGCTTTCAGGCCTATGTTGAAAAAGGAAATATCTTCCCATAACAACTAGACACAAGCATTCTCAGAAACTTGTTTGTGATGTGTGCCCTCTACTGACAGAGTTGAACCTTTCTTTTCATAGAGCAGTTTTGAAACACTCTTTTTGTAGAATCTGCAAGAGGATATTTGCATAGCTTTGAGGATTTCGTGGGAAACGGGATTGTCTTCAGGTAAAATCTAGACAGAAGCATTCTCAGAAACTTCTTTGGGATGTTTGCATTCAAGTCACAGAGTAGAACATTCCCTTTGGTAGAGCAGGTTTGAAACACTCTTTTTGTAGTATCTGGAAGTGGACATTTGGAGCGCTTTCAGGCCTATGTTGGAAAGGGAAATATCTTCCGGTAACAACTAGGCAGAAGCATTCTCAGAAACTTATTTGAGATGTGTGTACTCAACTAAGAGAATTGAACCACCGTTTTGAAGGAGCAGTTTTGAAACACTCTTTTTCTGGAATCTGCAAGAGGATATTTGCCTAGCCTTGAGGATTTCGTTGGAAACGGGATTGTCTTCAGATCAAATCTAGACAGAAGCATTCTCAGAAACTTCTTTGGGATGTTTGCATTCAAGTCACAGAGTAGAACATTCCCTTTGGTAGAGCAGGTTTGAAACACTCTTTTTTTAGTATATGGAAGTGGACATTTGGAGCGCTTTCAGGCCTACGTTGGAAAAGGAAATATCTTCCCATAACAACTAGACAGAAGCATTCTCAGAAACTAGTTTCTGATGTGTGTCCTCAACTAACACAGTTGAACATTTCTTTAGACAGAACAGTTTTGAAACACTCTTTTTGTGGAATCTGCAAGTGGCTATTTGGCTAGATTTGAGGATTTCGTTGGAAACGGGATTACATATAAAAAGCAGTCAGCAGCATTCTCAGAAAGTTCTTTGTGATGATTGCATTCAAGTCACAGAATTGAACATTCCCTTTCACAGAGCAGGTTTGAAACACTCTTTTTGTAGTGTGTGTAAGTGGACATTTGGAGCACTTACCGGCCTAAGGTGAAAAAGGAAATATCTTCCCATAAAAACTAGACAGAAGCATTCTCAGAAACTTACTCGTGATGTGTGTCCTCAACTAAAGGAGTAGAACCTTTCTTTTCATAGAGAAGTTTTGAAACGCTCTTTTTGTGGAATCTGCAAGTGGATATTTGGCTAGTTTTGAGGATTTCGTTGGAAGCGGGAATTCATACAAATTGCAGACTGCAGCGTTCTGAGAAACATCTTTGTGATGTTTGTATTCAGGACACAGAGTTGAACATTCCCTATCATAGAGCAGGTTTGAATCACTCCTTTTGTAGTATCTGGAAGTGGACATTTGGAGCGCTTTCAGGCCTATGTTGGAAAAGGAAATATCTTCCCATAACAACTAGACAGAAGCATTCTCAGAAACTTATTTGAGATGTGTGTACTCAACTAAGAGAATTGAACCACCGTTTTGAAGGAGCAGTTTTGAAACACTCTTTTTCTGGAATCTGCAAGTGGATATTTGGCTAGCTTTGGGGATTTCGCTGGAAGCGGGAATACAGATAAAAAGCACACAGCAGCGTTCTGAGAAACTGCTTTCTGATGTTTGCATTCAAGTCAAAAGTTGAACACTCCCTTTCATAGTGCAGTCCTGAAACACTCCTTTTGTAGTATCTGGAACTGGACTTTTGGAGCGCTTTCAGGGCTAAGGTGAAAAAGGAAATATCTTCCCATAAAAACTGGACAGAAGCATTCTCAGAAACTTGTTTATGCTGTATCTACTCAACTAACAAAGTTGAACCTTTCTTTTGATAGAGCAGTTTTGAAATGCTCTTTTTGTGGAATCTGCAAGTGGATATTTGGCTAGTTTTGAGGATTTCGTTGGAAGCGGGAATTCATACAAATTGCAGACTGCAGCGTTCTGAGAAACATCTTTGTGATGTTTGTATTCAGGACAGAGAGTTGAACATTCCCTATCATAGAGCAGGTTGGAATCACTCCTTTTGTAGTATCTGGAAGTGGACATTTGGAGCGCTTTCTGGCCTATGTTGAAAAAGGAAATATCTTCCCATAACAACTAGACACAAGCATTCTCAGAAACTTGTTTGTGATGTGTGCCCTCTACTGACAGAGTTGAACCTTTCTTTTCATAGAGCAGTTTTGAAACACTCTTTTTGTAGAATCTGCAAGAGGATTTTTGCATAGCTTTGAGGATTTCGTGGGAAACGGGATTGTCTTCAGGTAAAATCTAGACAGAAGCATTCTCAGAAACTTCTTTGGGATGTTTGCATTCAAGTCACAGAGTAGAACATTCCCTTTGGTAGAGCAGGTTTGAAACACTCTTTTTGTAGTATCTGGAAGTGGACATTTGGAGCGCTTTCAGGCCTATGTTGGAAAGGGAAATATCTTCCCGTAACAACTAGGCAGAAGCATTCTCAGAAACTTATTTGAGATGTGTGTACTCAACTAAGAGAATTGAACCACCCTTTTGAAGGAGCAGTTTTGAAACACTCTTTTTCTGGAATCTGCAAGAGGATATTTGCCTAGCCCTGAGGATTTCGTTGGAAACGGGATTGTCTTCAGATCAAATCTAGACAGAAGCATTCTCAGAAACTTCTTTGGGATGTTTGCATTCAAGTCACAGAGTAGAACATTCCCTTTGGTAGAGCAGGTTTGAAACACTCTTTTTTTAGTATATGGAAGTGGACATTTGGATCGCTTTCAGGCCTACGTTGGAAAAGGAAATATCTTCCCATAACAACTAGACAGAAGCATTCTCAGAAACTAGTTTCTGATGTGTGTCCTCAACTAACACAGTTGAACATTTTCTTAGACAGAACAGTTTTGAAACACTCTTTTTGTGGAATCTGCAAGTGGCTATTTGGCTAGATTTGAGGATTTCTTTGGAAACGGGATTACATATAAAAAGCAGTCAGCAGCATTCTCAGAAAGTTCTTTGTGATGATTGCATTCAAGTCACAGAATTGAACATTCCCTTTCACAGAGCAGGTTTGAAACACTCTTTTTGTAGTGTGTGTAAGTGGACATTTGGAGCGCTTTCCGGCCTAAGGTGAAAAAGGAAATATCTTCCCATAGAAACTAGACAGAAGCATTCTCAGAAACTTACTCGTGATGTGTGTCCTCAACTAAAGGAGTAGAACCTTTCTATTCATAGAGAAGTTTTGAAACGCTCTTTTTGTGGAATCTCCAAGTGGATATTTGGCTAGTTTTGAGGATTTCGTTGGAAACGGGAATTCATACAAATTGCAGACTGCAGCGTTCTGAGAAACATCTTTGTGATGTTTGTATTCAAGACACAGAGATGAACATTCCCTATCATAGAGCAGGTTGGAATCACTCCTTTTGTAGTATCTGGAAGTGGACATTTGGAGCGCTTTCAGGCCTATGTTGAAAAAGGAAATATCTTCCCATAACAACTAGACACAAGCATTCTCAGAAACTTGTTTGTGATGTGTGCCCTCTACTGACAGAGTTGAACCTTTCTTTTCATAGAGCAGTTTTGAAACACTCTTTTTGTAGAATCTGCAAGAGGATATTTGCATAGCTTTGAGGATTTCGTGGGAAACGGGATTGTCTTCAGGTAAAATCTAGACAGAAGCATTCTCAGAAACTTCTTTGGGATGTTTGCATTCAAGTCACAGAGTAGAACATTCCCTTTGGTAGAGCAGGTTTCAAACACTCTTTTTGTAGTATCTGGAAGTGGACATTTGGAGCGCTTTCAGGCCTATGTTGGAAAGGGAAATATCTTCCCGTAACAACTAGGCAGAAGCATTCTCAGAAACTTATTTGAGATGTGTGTACTCAACTAAGAGAATTGAACCACCGTTTTGAAGGAGCAGTTTTGAAACACTCTTTTTCTGGAATCTGCAAGAGGATATTTGCCTAGCCTTGAGGATTTCGTTGGAAACGGGATTGTCTTCAGATCAAATCTAGACAGACGCATTCTCAGAAACTTCTTTGGGATGTTTGCATTCAAGTCACAGAGTAGAACATTCCCTTTGGTAGAGCAGGTTTGAAACACTCTTTTTTTAGTATATGGAATTGGACATTTGGAGCGCTTTCAGGCCTACTTTGGAAAAGGAAATATCTTCCCATAACAACTAGACAGAAGCATTCTCAGAAACTAGTTTCTGATGTGTGTCCTCAACTAACACAGTTGAACATTTCTTTAGACAGAACAGTTTTGAAACACTCTTTTTGTGGAATCTGCAAGTGGCTATTTGGCTAGATTTGAGGATTTCGTTGGAAACGGGATTACATATAAAAAGCAGACAGCAGCATTCTCAGAAACTTCTTTGTGATGATTGCATTCAAGTCACAGAATTGAACATTCCCTTTCACAGAGCAGGTTTGAAACACTCTTTTTGTAGTGTGTGTAAGTGGACATTTGGAGCACTTTCCGGCCTAAGGTGAAAAAGGAAATATCTTCCCATAAAAACTAGACAGAAGCATTCTCAGAAACTTACTCGTGATGTGTGCCCTCAACTAAAGGAGTAGAACCTTCCTTTTCATAGAGAAGTTTTGAAACGCTCTTTTTCTGGAATCTGCAAGTGGATATTTGGCTAGTTTTGAGGATTTCGTTGGAAGCGGGAATTCATACAAATTGCAGACTGCAGCGTTCTGAGAAACATCTTTGTGATGTTTGTATTCAGGACACAGAGTTGAACATTCCCTATCATAGAGCAGGTTGGAATCACTCCTTTTGTAGTATCTGGAAGTGGACATTTGGAGCGCTTTCAGGCCTATGTTGGAAAAGGAAATATCTTCCCATAACAACTAGACAGAAGCATTCTCAGAAACTTATTTGAGATGTGTGTACTCAACTAAGAGAATTGAACCACCGTTTTGAAGGAGCAGTTTTGAAACACTCTTTTTCTGGAATCTGCAAGTGGATATTTGGCTAGCTTTGGGGATTTCGCTGGAAGCGGGAATACATATAAAAAGCACACAGCAGCGTTCTGAGAAACTTCTTTCTGATGTTTGCATTCAAGTCAAAAGTTGAACACTCCCTTTCATAGAGCAGTCCTGAAACACTCCTTTTGTAGTATCTGGAACTGGACTTTTGGAGCGCTTTCAGGGCTAAGGTGAAAAAGGAAATATCTTCCCATAAAAACTGGACAGAAGCATTCTCAGAAACTTGTTTATGCTGTATCTACTCAACTAACAAAGTTGAACCTTTCTTTTGATAGAGCAGTTTTGAAATGCTCTTTTTGTGGAATCTGCAAGTGGATATTTGGCTAGTTTTGAGGATTTCGTTGGAAGCGGGAATTCATACAAATTGCAGACTGCAGCGTTCTGAGAAACATCTTTGTGATGTTTGTATTCAGGACAGAGAGTTGAACATTCCCTATCATAGAGCAGGTTGGAATCACTCCTTTTGTAGTATCTGGAAGTGGACATTTGGAGCGCTTTCAGGCCTATGTTGAAAAAGGAAATATCTTCCCATAACAACTAGACACAAGCATTCTCAGAAACTTGTTTGTGATGTGTGCCCTCTACTGACAGAGTTGAACCTTTCTTTTCATAGAGCAGTTTTGAAACACTCTTTTTGTAGAATCTGCAAGAGGATATTTGCATAGCTTTGAGGATTTCGTGGGAAACGGGATTGTCTTCAGGTAAAATATAGACAGAAGCATTCTCAGAAACTTCTTTGGGATGTTTGCATTCAAGTCACAGAGTAGAACATTCCCTTTGGTAGAGGAGGTTTGAAACACTCTTTTTGTAGTATCTGGAAGTGGACATTTGGAGCGCTTTCAGGCCTATGTTGGAAAGGGAAATATCTTCCCGTTACAACTAGGCAGAAGCATTCTCAGAAACTTATTTGAGATGTGTGTACTCAACTAAGAGAATTGAACCACCGTTTTGAAGGAGCAGTTTTGAAACACTCTTTTTCTGGAATCTGCAAGAGTATATTTGCCTAGCCTTGAGGATTTCGTTGGAAACGGGATTGTCTTCAGATCAAATCTAGACAGAAGCATTCTCAGAAACTTCTTTGGGATGTTTGCATTCATGTCACAGAGTAGAACATTCCCTTTGGTAGAGCAGGTTTGAAACACTCTTTTTTAAGTATATGGAAGTGGACATTTGGAGCGCTTTCAGGCCTACGTTGGAAAAGGAAATATCTTCCCATAACAACTAGACAGAAGCATTCTCAGAAACTAGTTTCTGATGTGTGTCCTCAACTAACACAGTTGAACATTTCTTTAGACAGAACAGTTTTGAAACACTCTTTTTGTGGAATCTGCAAGTGGCTATTTGGCTAGATTTGAGGATTTCGTTGGAAACGGGATTACATATAAAAAGCAGACAGCAGCATTCTCAGAAAGTTCTTTGTGATGATTGCATTCAAGTCACAGAATTGAACATTCCCTTTCACAGAGCAGGTTTGAAACACTCTTTTTGCAGTGTGTGTAAGTGGACATTTGGAGCACTTTCCGGCCTAAGGTGAAAAAGGAAATATCTTCCCATAAAAACTAGACAGAAGCATTCTCAGAAACTTACTCGTGATGTGTGTCCTCAACTAAAGGAGTAGAACCTTTCTTTTCATAGAGAAGTTTTGAAACGCTCTTTTTGTGGAATCTGCAAGTGGATATTTGGCTAGTTTGGAGGATTTCGTTGGAAGCGGGAATTCATACAAGATGCAGACTGCAGCGTTCTGAGAAACATCTTTGTGATGTTTGTATTCAGGACACAGAGTTGAACATTCCCTATCATAGAGCAGGTTTGAATCACTCCTTTTGTAGTATCTGGAAGTGGACATTTGGAGCGCTTTCAGGCCTATGTTGGAAAAGGAAATATCTTCCCATAACAACTAGACAGAAGCATTCCCAGAAACTTATTTGAGATGTGTGTACTCAACTAAGAGAATTGAACCACCGTTTTGAAGGAGCAGTTTGGAAACACTCTTTTTCTGGAATCTGCAAGTGGATATTTGGCTAGCTTTGGGGATTTCGCTGGAAGCGGGAATACATATAAAAAGCACACAGCAGCGTTCTGAGAAACTGCTTTCTGATGTTTGCATTCAAGTCAAAAGTTGAACACTCCCTTTCATAGAGCAGTCTTGAAACACCCCTTTTGTAGTATCTGGAACTGGAAATTTGGAGCGCTTTCAGGGCTAAGGTGAAAAAGGAAATATCTTCCCATAAAAACTGGACAGAAGCATTCTCAGAAACTTGTTTATGCTGTATCTACTCAACTAACAAAGTTGAACCTTTCTTTTGATAGAGCAGTTTTGAAATGCTCTTTTTGTGGAATCTGCAAGTGGATATTTGGCTAGTTTTGAGGATTTCGTTGGAAGCGGGAATTCATACAAATTGCAGACTGCAGCGTTCTGAGAAACATCTTTGTGATGTTTGTATTCAGGACACAGAGATGAACATTCCCTATCATAGAGCAGGTTGGAATCACTCCTTTTGTAGTATCTGGAAGTGGACATTTGGAGCGCTTTCAGGCCTATGTTGAAAAAGGAAATATCTTCCCATAACAACTAGACACAAGCATTCTCAGAAACTTACTCGTGATGTGTGTCCTCCACTAAATGAGTAGAACCTTTCTTTTCATAGAGAAGATTTGAAACGCTCTTTTTGTAGAATCTGCAAGAGGATATTTGCATAGCTTTGAGGATTTCGTGGGAAACGGGATTGTCTTCAGGTAAAATCTAGACAGAAGCATTCTCAGAAACTTCTTTGGGATGTTTGCATTCAAGTCACAGAGTAGAACATTCCCTTTGGTAGAGCAGGTTTGAAACACTCTTTTTGTAGTATCTGGAAGTGGACATTTGGAGCGCTTTCAGGCCTATGTTGGAAAGGGAAATATCTTCCCGTAACAACTAGGCAGAAGCATTCTCAGAAACTTATTTGAGATGTGTGTACTCAACTAAGAGAATTGAACCACCGTTTTGAAGGAGCAGTTTTGAAACACTCTTTTTCTGGAATCTGCAAGAGGATATTTGCCTAGCCTTGAGGATTTCGTTGGAAACGGGATTGTCTTCAGATCAAATCTAGACAGAAGCATTCTCAGAAACTTCTTTGGGATGTTAGCATTCATGTCACAGAGTAGAACATTCCCTTTGGTAGAGCAGGTTTGAAACACTCTTTTTTTAGTATATGGAAGTGGACATTTGGAGCGCTTTCAGGCCTACGTTGGAAAAGGAAATATCTTCCCATAACAACTAGACAGAAGCATTCTCAGAAACTAGTTTCTGATGTGTGTCCTCAACTAACACAGTTGAACTTTTCTTCAGACAGAACAGTTTTGAAACACTCTTTTTGTGGAATCTGCAAGTGGATATTGGGCTAGATTTGAGGATTTCGTTGGAAACGGGATTACATATAAAAAGCAGACAGCAGCATTCTCAGAAACTTCTTTGTGATGATTGCATTCAAGTCACAGAATTGAACATTCCCTTTCACAGAGCAGGTTTGAAACACTCTTTTTGTAGTGTGTGTAAGTGGACATTTGGAGCGCTTTCCGGCCTAAGGTGAACAAGGAAATATCTTCCCATAACAACTAGACAGAAGCATTCTCAGAAACTTACTCGTGATGTGTGTCCTCAACTAAAGGAGTAGAACCTTTCTTTTCATAGAGAAGTTTTGAAACGCTCTTTTTGTGGAATCTGCAAGTGGATATTTGGCTAGTTTTGAGGATTTCGTTGGAAGCGGGAATTCATACAAGATGCAGACTGCAGCGTTCTGAGAAACATCTTTGTGATGTTTGTATTCAGGACACAGAGTTGAACATTCCCTATCATAGAGCAGGGTTGAATCACTCCTTTTGTAGTATCTGGAAGTGGACATTTGGAGCGCTTTCAGGCTTATGTTGAAAAAGGAAAAATCTTCCCATAACAACTAGACAGAAGCATTCTCAGAAACTTGTTGGTGATGTGTTTCCTCTACTGACAGAGTTGAACCTTTCTTTTCATAGAGCAGTTTCGAAACACTCTTTTTGTAGAATCTGCAAGAGGATATTTGCATAGCTCTGAGGATTTCGTGGGAAACGGGATTGTCTTCAGGTAAAATCTAGACAGAAGCATTCTCAGAAACTTCTTCGGGATGTTTGCATTCAAGTCACAGAGTAGAACATTCCCTTTGGTAGAGCAGGTTTGAAACACTCTTTTTGTCGTATCCGGAAGTGGACATTTGTTGCGCTTTCAGGCCTATGTTGGAAAGGGAAATATCTTCCCGTAACAACTAGGCAGAAGCATTCTCAGAAACTTATTTGAGATGTGTGTACTCAACTAAGAGAATTGAACCACCGTTTTGAAGGAGCAGTTTGGAAACACTCTTTTTCTGGAATCTGCAAGAGGATATTTGCCTAGCTTTGAGGATTTCGTTGGAAAAGGGATTGTCTTCAGATCAAATCTAGACAGAAGCATTCTCAGAAACTTCTTTGGGATGTTTGCATTCAAGTCACAGAGTAGAACATTCCCTTTGGTAGAGCAGGTTTGAAACACTCTTTTTGTAGTGTGTGTAAGTGGACATTTGGATCGCTTTCTGGCCTACGTTGGAAAAGGAAATATCTTCCCATAACAACTAGACAGAAGCATTCTCAGAAACTAGTTTCTGATGTGTGTCCTCAACTAACACAGTTGAACATTTCTTTAGACAGAACAGTTTTGAAACACTCTTTTTGTGGAATCTGCAAGTGGATATTTGGCTAGATTTGAGGATTTCGTTGGAAACGGGATTACATATAAAAAGCAGACAGCAGCATTCTCAGAAACTTCTTTGTGATGATTGCATTCAAGTCACAGAATTGAACATTCCCTTTCACAGAGCAGGTTTGAAACACTCTTTTTGTAGTGTGTGTAAGTGGACATTTGGAGCACTTTCCGGCCTAAGGTGAAAAAGGAAATATCTTCCCATAAAAACTAGACAGAAGCATTCTCAGAAACTTACTCGTGATGTGTGTCCTCAACTAAAGGAGTAGAACCTTTCTTTTCATAGAGAAGTTTTGAAACGCTCTTTTTGTGGAATCTGCAAGTGGATATTTGGCTAGTTTTGAGGATTTCGTTGGAAGCGGGAATTCATACAAATTGCAGACTGCAGCGTTCTGAGAAACATCTTTGTGATGTTTGTATTCAGGACACAGAGTTGAACATTCCCTATCATAGAGCAGGTTTGAATCACTCCTTTTGTAGTATCTGGAAGTGGACATTTGGAGCGCTTTCAGGCCTATGTTGGAAAAGGAAATATCTTCCCATAACAACTAGACAGAAGCATTCTCAGAAACTTATTTGAGATGTGTGTACTCAACTAAGAGAATTGAACCACCGTTTTGAAGGAGCAGTTTTGAAACACTCTTTTTCTGGAATCTGCAAGTGGATATTTGGCTAGCTTTGGGGATTTCGCTGGAAGCGGGAATACATATAAAAAGCACACAGCAGCGTTCTGAGAAACGGCTTTCTGATGTTTGCATTCAAGTCAAAAGTTGAACACTCCCTTTCATAGAGCAGTCCTGAAACACTCCTTTTGTAGTATCTGGAACTGGACTTTTGGAGCGCTTTCAGGGCTAAGGTGAAAAAGGAAATATCTTCCCATAAAAACTGGACAGAAGCATTCTCAGAAACTTGTTTATGCTGTATCTACTCAACTAACAAAGTTGAACCTTTCTTTTGATAGAGCAGTTTTGAAATGCTCTTTTTGTGGAATCTGCAAGTGGATATTTGGCTAGTTTTGAGGATTTCGTTGGAAGCGGGAATTCATACAAATTGCAGACTGCAGCGTTCTGAGAAACATCTTTGTGATGTTTGTATTCAGGACACAGAGATGAACATTCCCTATCATAGAGCAGGTTGGAATCACTCCTTTTGTAGTATCTGGAAGTGGACATTTGGAGCGCTTTCAGGCCTATGTTGAAAAAGGAAATATCTTCCCATAACAACTAGACACAAGCATTCTCAGAAACTTGTTTGTGATGTGTGCCCTCTACTGACAGAGTTGAACCTTTCTTTTCATAGAGCAGTTTTGAAACACTCTTTTTGTAGAATCTGCAAGAGGATATTTGCATAGCTTTGAGGATTTCGTGGGAAACGGGATTGTCTTCAGGTAAAATCTAGACAGAAGCATTCTCAGAAACTTCTTTGGGATGTTTGCATTCAAGTCACAGAGTAGAACATTCCCTTTGGTAGAGCAGGTTTGAAACCCTCTTTTTGTAGTATCTGGAAGTGGACATTTGGAGCGCTTTCAGGCCCATGTTGGAAAGGGAAATATCTTCCCGTAACAACTAGGCAGAAGCATTCTCAGAAACTTATTTGAGATGTGTGTACTCAACTGAGAGAATTGAACCACCGTTTTGAAGGAGCAGTTTTGAAACACTCTTTTTCTGGAATCTGCAAGAGTATATTTGCCTAGCCTTGAAGATTTCGTTGGAAACGGGATTGTCTTCAGATAAAATCTAGACAGAAGCATTCTCAGAAACTTCTTTGGGATGTTTGCATTCAAGTCACAGAGTAGAACATTCCTTTGGTAGAGCAGGTTTGAAACACTCTTTTTTTAGTATATGGAAGTGGACATTTGGAGCGCTTTCAGGCCTACGTTGGAAAAGGAAATATCTTCCCATAACAACTAGACAGAAGCATTCTCAGAAACTAGTTTCTGATGTGTGTCCTCAACTAACACAGTTGAACATTTCTTTAGACAGAACAGTTTTGAAACACTCTTTTTGTGGAATCTGCAAGTGGATATTTGGCTAGATTTGAGGATTTCGTTGGAAACGGGATTACATATAAAAAGCAGACAGCAGCATTCTCAGAAACTTCTTTGTGATGATTGCATTCAAGTCACAGAATTGAACATTCCCTTTCACAGAGCAGGTTTGAAACACTCTTTTTGTAGTGTGTGTAAGTGGACATTTGGAGCGCTTTCCGGCCTAAGGTGAACAAGGAAATATCTTCCCATAAAAACTAGACAGAAGCATTCTCAGAAACTTACTCGTGATGTGTGTCCTCAACTAAAGGAGTAGAACCTTTCTTTTCATAGAGAAGTTTTGAAACGCTCTTTTTGTGGAATCTGCAAGTGGATATTTGGCTAGTTTGGAGGATTTCGTTGGAAGCCGGAATTCATACAAATTGCAGACCGCAGCGTTCTGAGAAACATCTTTGTGATGTTTGTATTCAGGACACAGAGTTGAACATTCCCTATCATAGAGCAGGTTGGAATCACTCCTTTTGTAGTATCTGGAAGTGGACATTTGGAGCGCTTTCAGGCCTATGTTGGAAAAGGAAATATCTTCCCATAACAACTAGACAGAAGCATTCTCAGAAACTTATTTGAGATGTGTGTACTCAACTAAGAGAATTGAACCACCGTTTTGAAGGAGCAGTTTTGAAACTCTCTTTTTCTGGAATCTGCAAGTGGATATTTGGCTAGCTTTGGGGATTTCGCTGGAAGCGGGAATACATATAAAAAGCACACAGCAGCGTTCGGAGAAACTGCTTTCTGATGTTTGCATTCAAGTCAAAAGTTGAACACTCCCTTTCATAGAGCAGTCTTGAAACACCCCTTTTGTAGTATCTGGAACTGGACTTTTGGAGCGATTTCAGGGCTAAGGTGAAAAAGGAAATATCTTCCCATAAAAACTGGACAGAAGCATTCTCAGAAACTTGTTTATGCTGTATCTACTCAACTAACAAAGTTGAACCTTTCTTTTGATAGAGCAGTTTTGAAATGGTCTTTTTGTGGAATCTGCAAGTGGATATTTGGCTAGTTTTGAGGATTTCGTTGGAAGCGGGAATTCATACAAATTGCAGACTGCAGCGTTATGAGAAACATCTTTGTGATGTTTGTATTCAGGACACAGAGTTGAACATTCCCTATCATAGAGCAGGTTTGAATCACTCCTTTTGTAGTATCTGGAAGTGGACATTTGGAGCGCTTTCAGGCCTATGTTGGAAAAGGAAATATCTTCCCATAACAACTAGACAGAAGCATTCTCAGAAACTTATTTGAGATGTGTGTACTCAACTAAGAGAATTGAACCACCGTTTTGAAGGAGCAGTTTTGAAACACTCTTTTTCTGGAATCTGCAAGTGGATATTTGGCTAGCTTTGGGGATTTCGCTGGAAGCGGGAATACATATAAAAAGCACACAGCAGCGTTCTGAGAAACTGCTTTCTGATGTTTGCATTCAAGTCAAAAGTTGAACACTCCCTTTCATAGTGCAGTCTGAAACACTCCTTTTGTAGTATCTGGAACTGGACTTTTGGAGCGCTTTCAGGGCTAAGGTGAAAAAGGAAATATCTTCCCATAAAAACTGGACAGAAGCATTCTCAGAAACTTGTTTATGCTGTATCTACTCAACTAACAAAGTTGAACCTTTCTTTTGATAGAGCAGTTTTGAAATGCTCTTTTTGTGGAATCTGCAAGTGGATATTTGGCTAGTTTTGAGGATTTCGCTGGAAGCGGGAATTCATACAAATTGCAGACTGCAGCGTTCTGAGAAACATCTTTGTGATGTTTGTATTCAGGACAGAGAGTTGAACATTCCCTATCATAGAGCAGGTTGGAATCACTCCTTTTGTAGTATCTGGAAGTGGACATTTGGAGCGCTTTCAGGCCTATGTTGAAAAAGGAAATATCTTCCCATAACAACTAGACACAAGCATTCTCAGAAACTTGTTTGTGATGTGTGCCCTCTAGTGACAGAGTTGAACCTTTCTTTTCATAGAGCAGTTTTGAAACACTCTTTTTGTAGAATCTGCAAGAGGATATTTGAATAGCTTTGAGGATTTCGTGGGAAACGGGATTGTCTTCAGGTAAAATCTAGACAGAAGCATTCTCAGAAAATTCTTCGGGATGTTTGCATTCAAGTCACAGAGTAGAACATTCCCTTTGGTAGAGCAGGTTTGAAACACTCTTTTTGTAGTATCTGGAAGTGGACATTTGGAGCGCTTTCAGGCCTATGTTGGAAAGGGAAATATCTTCCCGTAACAACTAGGCAGAAGCATTCTCAGAAACTTATTTGAGATGTGTGTACTGAACTAAGAGAATTGAACCACCGTTTTGAAGGAGCAGGTTTGAAACACTCTTTTTGTAGTATCTGGAAGTGGACATTTGGAGCGCTTTCAGGCCTATGTTGGAAAGGGAAATATCTTCCCGTAACAACTAGGCAGAAGCATTCTCAGAAACTTATTTGAGATGTGTGTACTCAACTAAGAGAATTGAACCACCGTTTTGAAGGAGCAGTTTTGAAACACTCTTTTTCTGGAATCTGCAAGAGGATATTTGCATAGATTTGAGGATTTCGTTGGCAACGGGATTGTCTTCAGATCAAATCTAGACAGAAGCATTCTCAGAAACTTCTTTGGGATGTTTGCATTCAAGTCACAGAGTAGAACATTCCCTTTGGTAGAGCAGGTTTGAAACACTCTTTTTTTAGTATATGGAAGTGGACATTTGGAGCGCTTTCAGGCCTACGTTGGAAAAGGAAATATCTTCCCATAACAACTAGACAGAAGCATTCTCAGAAACTAGTTTCTGATGTGTGTCCTCAACTAACACAGTTGAACATTTCTTTAGACAGAACAGTTTTGAAACACTCTCTTTGTGGAATCTGCAAGTGGATATTTGGCTAGATTTGAGGATTTCGTTGGAAACGGGATTACATATAAAAAGCAGACAGCAGCATTCTCAGAAACTTCTTTGTGATGATTGCATTCAAGTCACAGAATTGAACATTCCCTTTCACAGAGCAGGTTTGAAACACTCTTTTTGTAGTGTGTGTAAGTGGACATTTGGAGCGCTTTCCGGCCTAAGGTGAACAAGGAAATATCTTCCCATAAAAACTAGACAGAAACATTCTCAGAAACTTACTCGTGATGTGTGTCCTCAACTAAAGGAGTAGAACCTTTCTTTTCATAGAGAAGTTTTGAAACGCTCTTTTTGTGGAATCTGCAAGTGGATATTTGGCTAGTTTTGAGGATTTCGTTGGAAGCGGGAATTCATACAAATTGCAGACTGCAGCGTTCTGAGAAACAGCTTTGTGATGTTTGTATTCAGGACACAGAGTTGAACGTTCCCTCTCATATAGCAGGTTTGAATACCTCCTTTTGTAGTATCTGGAAGTGGACATTTGGAGCGCTTTCAGGCCTATGTTGGAAAAGGAAATATCTTCCCATAAAAACTAGACAGAAGCATTCTCAGAAACTTATTTGAGATGTGTGTACTCAACTAAGAGAATTGAACCACCGTTTTGAAGGAGCAGTTTTGAAACTCTCTTTTTCTGGAATCTGCAAGTGGATATTTGGCTAGCTTTGGGGATTTCGCTGGAAGCGGGAATACATATAAAAAGCACACAGCAGCGTTCTGAGAAACTGCTTTCTGATGTTTGCATTCAAGTCAAAAGTTGAACACTCCCTTTCATAGAGCAGTCCTGAAACACCCCTTTTGTAGTATCTGGAACTGGACTTTTGGAGCGATTTCAGGGCTAAGGTGAAAAAGGAAATATCTTCCCATAAAAACTGGACAGAAGCATTCTCAGAAACTTGTTTATGCTGTATCTACTCAACTAACAAAGTTGAACCTTTCTTTTGATAGAGCAGTTTTGAAATGGTCTTTTTGTGGAATCTGCAAGTGGATATTTGGCTAGTTTTGAGGATTTCGTTGGAAGCGGGAATTCATACAAATTGCAGACTGCAGCGTTCTGAGAAACATCTTTGTGATGTTTGTATTCAGGACACAGAGTTGAACATTCCCTATCATAGAGCAGGTTGGAATCACTCCTTTTGTAGTATCTGGAAGTGGACATTTGGAGCGCTTTCAGGCCTATTTTGGAAAGGGAAATATCTTCCCGTAACAACTATGCAGAAGCATTCTCAGAAACTTGTTTGTGATGTGTGCCCTCTACTGACAGAGTTGAACCTTTCTTTTCATAGAGCAGTTTTGAAACACTCTTTTTGTAGAATCTGCAAGAGGATATTTGCATAGCTTTGAGGATTTCGTGGGAAACGGGATTGTCTTCAGGTAAAATCTAGACAGAAGCATTCTCAGAAACTTCTTTGGGATGTTTGCATTCAAGTCACAGAGTAGAACATTCCCTTTGGTAGAGCAGGTTTGAAACACTCTTTTTGTAGTATCTGGAAGTGGACATTTGGAGCGCTTTCAGGCCCATGTTGGAAAGGGAAATATCTTCCCGTAACAACTAGGCAGAAGCATTCTCAGAAACTTATTTGAGATGTGTGTACTCAACTAAGAGAATTGAACCACCGTTTTGAAGGAGCAGTTTTGAAACACTCTTTTTCTGGAATCTGCAAGAGTATATTTGCCTAGCCTTGAGGATTTCGTTGGAAACGGGATTGTCTTCAGAGAAAATCTAGACAGAAGCATTCTCAGAAACTTCTTTGGGATGTTTGCATTCAAGTCACAGAGTAGAACATTCCCTTTGGTAGAGCAGGTTTGAAACACTCTTTTTTTAGTATATGGAAGTGGACATTTGGATCGCTTTCAGGCCTACGTTGGAAAAGGAAATATCTTCCCATAACAACTAGACAGAAGCATTCTCAGAAACTAGTTTCTGATGTGTGTCCTCAACTAACACAGTTGAACATTTCTTTAGACAGAACAGTTTTGAAACACTCTTTTTGTGGAATCTGCAAGTGGCTATTTGGCTAGATTTGAGGATTTCGTTGGAAACGGGATTACATATAAAAAGCAGTCAGCAGCATTCTCAGAAAGTTCTTTGTGATGATTGCATTCAAGTCACAGTAATTGAACATTCCCTTTCACAGAGCAGGTTTGAAACACTCTTTTTGTAGTGTGTGTAAGTGGACATTTGGAGCACTTACCGGCCTAAGGTGAAAAAGGAAATAATCTTCCCATAAAAACTAGACAGAAGCATTCTCAGAAACTTACTCGTGATGTGTGTCCTCAACTAAAGGAGTAGAACCTTTCTATTCATAGAGAAGTTTTGAAACGCTCTTTTTGTGGAATCTCCAAGTGGATATTTGGCTAGTGTTGAGGATTTCGTTGGAAGCGGGAATTCATACAAATTGCAGACTGCAGCGTTCTGAGAAACATCGTTGTGATGTTTGTATTCAGGACACAGAGTTGAACATTCCCTATCATAGAGCAGGTTTGAATCACTCCTTTTGTAGTATCTGGAAGTGGACATTTGGAGCGCTTTCAGGCCTATGTTGGAAAAGGAAATATCTTCCCATAACAACTAGACAGAAGCATTCTCAGAAACTTATTTGAGATGTGTGTACTCAACTAAGAGAATTGAACCACCGTTTTGAAGGAGCAGTTTTGAAACACTCTTTTTCTGGAATCTGCAAGTGGATATTTGGCTAGCTTTGGGGATTTCGCTGGAAGCGGGAATACATATAAAAAGCACACAGCAGCGTTCTGAGAAACTGCTTTCTGATGTTTGCATTCAAGTCAAAAGTTGAACACTCCCTTTCATAGTGCAGTCCTGAAACACTCCTTTTGTAGTATCTGGAACTGGACTTTTGGAGCGCTTTCAGGGCTAAGGTGAAAAAGGAAATATCTTCCCATAAAACCTGACAGAAGCATTCTCAGAAACTTATTTGAGATGTGTGTACTCAACTAAGAGAATTGAACCACCGTTTTGAAGGAGCAGTTTTGAAACACTCTTTTTCTGGAATCTGCAAGTGGATATTTGGCTAGCTTTGGGGATTTCGCTGGAAGCGGGAATACATATAAAAAGCACACAGCAGCGTTCTGAGAAACTGCTTTCTGATGTTTGCATTCAAGTCAAAAGTTGAACACTCCCTTTCATAGAGCAGTCCTGAAACACTCCTTTTGTAGTATCTGGAACTGGACTTTTGGAGCGCTTTCAGGGCTAAGGTGAAAAAGGAAATATCTTCCCATAAAAACTGGACAGAAGCATTCTCAGAAACTTGTTTATGCTGTATCTACTCAACTAACAAAGTTGAACCTTTCTTTTGATAGAGCAGTTTTGAAATGCTCTTTTTGTGGAATCTGCAAGTGGATATTTGGCTAGTTGTGAGGATTTCGTTGGAAGCTGGAATTCATACAAATTGCAGACTGCAGCGTTCTGAGAAACATCTTTGTGATGTTTGTATTCAGGACAGAGAGTTGAACATTCCCTATCATAGAGCAGGTTGGAATCACTCCTTTTGTAGTATCTGGAAGTGGACATTTGGAGCGCTTTCAGGCCTATGTTGAAAAAGGAAATATCTTCCCATAACAACTAGACACAAGCATTCTCAGAAACTTGTTTGTGATGTGTGCCCTCTACTGACAGAGTTGAACCTTTCTTTTCATAGAGCAGTTTTGAAACACTCTTTTTGTAGAATCTGCAAGAGGATATTTGCATAGCTTTGAGGATTTCGTGGGAAACGGGATTGTCTTCAGGTAAAATCTAGACAGAAGCATTCTCAGAAACTTCTTTGGGATGTTTGCATTCAAGTCACAGAGTAGAACATTCCCTTTGGTAGAGCAGGTTTAAAACACTCTTTTTGTAGTATCTGGAAGTGGACATTTGGAGTGCTTTCAGGCCCATGTTGGAAAGGGAAATATCTTCCCGTAACAACTAGGCAGAAGGATTCTCAGAAACTTATTTGAGATGTGTGTACTCAACTAAGAGAATTGAACCACCGTTTTGAAGGAGCAGTTTTGAAACACTCTTTTTCTGGAATCTGCAAGAGTATATTTGCCTAGCCTTGAGGATTTCGTTAGAAACGGGATTGTCTTCAGATAAAATCTAGACAGAAGCATTCTCAGAAACTTCTTTGGGATGTTTGCATTCAAGTCACAGAGTAGAACATTCCCTTTGGTAGAGCAGGTTTGAAACACTCTTTTTTTAGTATATGGAAGTGGACATTTGGAGCGCTTTCAGGCCTACGTTGGAAAAGGAAATATCTTCCCATAACAACTAGACAGAAGCATTCTCAGAAACTAGTTTCTGATGTGTTTCCTCAACTAACACAGTTGAACATTTCTTTAGACAGAACAGTTTTGAAACACTCTTTTTGTGGAATCTGCAAGTGGCTATTTGGCTAGATTTGAGGATTTCGTTGGAAACGGGATTACATATAAAAAGCAGACAGCAGCATTCTCAGAAAGTTCTTTGTGATGATTGCATTCAAGTCACAGAATTGAACATTCCCTTTCACAGAGCAGGTTTGAAACACTCTTTTTGTAGTGTGTGTAAGTGGACATTTGGAGCACTTTCCGGCCTAAGGTGAAAAAGGAAATATCTTCCCATAAAAACTAGACAGAAGCATTCTCAGAAACTTACTCGTGATGTGTGTCCTCAACTAAAGGAGTAGAACCTTTCTTTTCATAGAGAAGTTTTGAAACGCTCTTTTTGTGGAATCTGCAAGTGGATATTTGGCTAGTTTTGAGGATTTCGTTGGAAGCGGGAATTCATACAAATTGCAGACTGCAGCGTTCTGAGAAACATCTTTGTGATGTTTGTATTCAGGACACAGAGTTGAACATTCCCTATCATAGAGCAGGTTTGAATCACTCCTTTTGTAGTATCTGGAAGTGGACATTTGGAGCGCTTTCAGGCCTATGTTGGAAAAGGAAATATCTTCCCATAACAACTAGACAGAAGCATTCTCAGAAACTTATTTGAGATGTGTGTACTCAACTAAGAGAATTGAACCACCGTTTTGAAGGAGCAGTTTTGAAACTCTCTTTTTCTGGAATCTGCAAGTGGATATTTGGCTAGCTTTGGGGATTTCGCTGGAAGCGGGAATACATATAAAAAGCACACAGCAGCGTTCTGAGAAACTGCTTTCTGATGTTTGCATTCAAGTCAAAAGTTGAACACTCCCTTTCATAGAGCAGTCTTGAAACACCCCTTTTGTAGTATCTGGAACTGGACTTTTGGAGCGATTTCAGGGCTAAGGTGAAAAAGGAAATATCTTCCCATAAAAACTGGACAGAAGCATTCTCAGAAACTTGTTTATGCTGTATCTACTCAACTAACAAAGTTGAACCTTTCTTTTGATAGAGCAGTTTTGAAATGCTCTTTTTGTGGAATCTGCAAGTGGATATTTGGCTAGTTTTGAGGATTTCGTTGGAAGCGGGAATTCATACAAATTGCAGACTGCAGCGTTCTGAGAAACATCTTTGTGATGTTTGTATTCAGGACACAGAGTTGAACATTCCCTATCATAGAGCAGGTTGGAATCACTCCTTTTGTAGTATCTGGAAGTGGACATTTGGAGCGCTTTCAGGCCTATGTTGGAAAAGGAAATATCTTCCCATAACAAGTAGACACAAGCATTCTCAGAAACTTGTTTGTGATGTGTGCCCTCTACTGACAGAGTTGAACCTTTCTTTTCATAGAGCAGTTTCGAAACACTCTTTTTGTAGAATCTGCAAGAGGATATTTGCATAGCTTTGAGGATTTCGTGGGAAACGGGATTGTCTTCAGGTAAAATCTAGACAGAAGCATTCTCAGAAAATTCTTCGGGATGTTTGCATTCAAGTCACAGAGTAGAACATTCCCTTTGGTAGAGCAGGTTTGAAACACTCTTTTTGTAGTATCTGGAAGTGGACATTTGGAGCGCTTTCAGGCCTATGTTAGAAAGGGAAATATCTTCCCCTAACAACTAGGCAGAAGCATTCTCAGAAACTTATTTGAGATGTGTGTACTGAACTAAGAGAATTGAACCACCGTTTTGAAGGAGCAGGTTTGAAACACTCTTTTTGTAGTATCTGGAAGTGGACATTTGGAGCGCTTTCAGGCCTATGTTGGAAAGGGAAATATCTTCCCGTAACAACTAGGCAGAAGCATTCTCAGAAACTTATTTGAGATGTGTGTACTCAACTAAGAGAATTGAACCACCGTTTTGAAGGAGCAGTTTTGAAACACTCTTTTTCTGGAATCTGCAAGAGGATATTTGCATAGATTTGAGGATTTCGTTGGAAACGGGATTGTCTTCAGATCAAATCTAGACAGAAGCATTCTCAGAAACTTCTTTGGGATGTTTGCATTCAAGTCACAGAGTAGAACATTCCCTTTGGTAGAGCAGGTTTGAAACACTCTTTTTTTAGTATATGGAAGTGGACATTTGGAGCGCTTTCAGGCCTACGTTGGAAAAGGAAATATCTTCCCATAACAACCAGACAGAAGCATTCTCAGAAACTAGTTTCTGATGTGTGTCCTCAACTAACACAGTTGAACATTTCTTTAGACAGAACAGTTTTGAAACACTCTCTTTGTGGAATCTGCAAGTGGATATTTGGCTAGATTTGAGGATTTCGTTGGAAACGGGATTACATATAAAAAGCAGACAGCAGCATTCTCAGAAACTTCTTTGTGATGATTGCATTCAAGTCACAGAATTGAACATTCCGTTTCACAGAGCAGGTTTGAAACACTCTTTTTGTAGTGTGTGTAAGTGGACATTTGGAGCGCTTTCCGGCCTAAGGTGAACAAGGAAATATCTTCCCATAAAAACTAGACAGAAGCATTCTGAGAAACTTACTCGTGATGTGTGTCCTCAACTAAAGGAGTAGAACCTTTCTTTTCATAGAGAAGTTTTGAAACGCTCTTTTTGTGGAATCTGCAAGTGGATATTTGGCTAGTTTGGAGGATTTCGTTGGAAGCGGGAATTCATACAAATTGCAGACTGCAGCGTTCTGAGAAACATCTTTGTGATGTTTGTATTCAGGACACAGAGTTGAACATTCCCTATCATAGAGCAGGTTTGAATCACTCCTTTTGTAGTATCTGGAAGTGGACATTTGGAGCGCTTTCCGGCCTCAGGTGAAAAAGGAAATATCTTCCCATAAAAACTAGACAGAAGCATTCTCAGAAACTTACTCGTGATGTGTGTCCTCAACTAAAGGGGTAGAACCTTTCTTTTCATAGAGCAGTTTTGAAACACTCTTTTTGTAGAATCTGCAAGTGGATATTTCGATAGCTTTGTGGATTTCGTTGGAAACGGGAATATCTTCATATAAAATCTAGAGAGAAGCATTCTCAGAAACTTATTTGAGATGTGTGTACTCAACTAAGAGAATTGAACCACCGTTTTGAAGGAGCAGTTTTGAAACTCTCTTTTTCTGGAATCTGCAAGTGGATATTTGGCTAGCTTTGGGGATTTCGCTGGAAGCGGGAATACATATAAAAAGCACACAGCAGCGTTCTGAGAAACTGCTTTCTGATGTTTGCATTCAAGTCAAAAGTTGAACACTCCCTTTCATAGAGCAGTCCTGAAACACCCCTTTTGTAGTATCTGGAACTGGACTTTTGGAGCGATTTCAGGGCTAAGGTGAAAAAGGAAATATCTTCCCATAAAAACTGGACAGAAGCATTCTCAGAAACTTGTTTATGCTGTATCTACTCAACTAACAAAGTTGAACCTTTCTTTTGATAGAGCAGTTTTGAAATGCTCTTTTTGTGGAATCTGCAAGTGGATATTTGGCTAGTTTTGAGGATTTCGTTGGAAGCGGGAATTCATACAAATTGCAGACTGCAGCGTTCTGAGAAACATCTTTGTGATGTTTGTATTCAGGACAGAGAGTTGAACATTCCCTATCATAGAGCAGGTTGGAATCACTCCTTTTGTAGTATCTGGAAGTGGACATTTGGAGCGCTTTCAGGCCTATGTTGAAAAAGGAAATATCTTCCCATAACAACTAGACACAAGCATTCTCAGAAACTTGTTTGTGATGTGTGCCCTCTACTGACAGAGTTGAACCTTTCTTTTCATAGAGCAGTTTTGAAACACTCTTTTTGTAGAATCTGCAAGAGGATATTTGCATAGCTTTGAGGATTTCGTGGGAAACGGGATTGTCTTCAGGTAAAATCTAGACAGAAGCATTCTCAGAAACTTCTTTGGGATGTTTGCATTCAAGTCACAGAGTAGAACATTCCCTTTGGTAGAGCAGGTTTGAAACACTCTTTTTGTAGTATCTGGAAGTGGACATTTGGAGCGCTTTCAGGCCTATGTTGGAAAGGGAAATATCTTCCCGTAACAACTAGGCAGAAGCATTCTCAGAAACTTATTTGAGATGTGTGTACTCAACTAAGAGAATTGAACCACCGTTTTGAAGGAGCAGTTTTGAAACACTCTTTTTCTGGAATCTGCAAGAGGATATTTGCCTAGCCTTGAGGATTTCGTTGGAACGGGATTGTCTTCAGATCAAATCTAGACAGAAGCATTCTCAGAAACTGCTTTGTGATGTCTGCATTCACGTCACAGAGTTGAACATTCGCTTTCATAGAGCAGGTTTGAAACACTCTATTTTTAGTATATGGTAGTGGACATTTGGAGCGTTTTCAGGCCTGCGTTGGAAAAGGAAATATCTTCCCATAACAACTAGACAGAAGCCTTCTCAGAAACTAGTTTCTGATGTGTGTCCTCAACTAACACAGTTGAACATTTCTTTTGACAGAACAGTTTTGAAACACTCTTTTTGTGGAATCTGCAAGTGGATATTTGGCTACATTTGAGGATTTCGTTGGAAACGGGATTACATATAAAAAGCAGACAGCACCATTCTCAGAAACTTCTTTGTGATGATTGCATTCAAGTCACAGAATTGAACATTCCCTTTCACAGACCAGGTTTGAAACACTCTTTTGCAGTGTCTGTAAGTGGACATTTGGAGCGCTTTCTGGCCTAAGGTGAAAAAGGAAATATCTTCCCATAAAAACTAGACAGAAGCATTCTCAGAAACTTACTCGTGATGTGTGTCCTCAACTAAAGGAGTAGAACCTTTCTTTTCATAGAGAAGTTTTGAAACGCTCTTTTTGTGGAATCTGCAAGTGGATATTTGGCTAGTTTTGAGGATTTCGTTGGAAGCGGGAATTCATACAAATTGAAGACTGCAGCGTTCTGAGAAACATCTTTGTGATGTTTGTATTCAGGACACAGAGTTGAACATTCCCTATCATAGAGCAGGTTTGAATCACTCCTTTTGTAGTATCTGGAAGTGGACATTTGGAGCGCTTTCAGGCCCTATGTTGGAAAAGGAAATATCTTCCCATAACAACTAGACAGAAGCATTCTCAGAAACTTATTTGAGATGTGTGTACTCAACTAAGAGAATTGAACCACCGTTTTGAAGGAGCAGTTTTGAAACACTCTTTTTCTGGAATCTGCAAGTGGATATTTGGCTAGCTTTGGGGATTTCGCTGGAAGCGGGAATACATATAAAAAGCACACAGCAGCGTTCTGAGAAACTGCTTTCTGATGTTTGCATTCAAGTCAAAAGTTGAACACTCCCTTTCATAGAGCAGTCTTGAAACACCCCTTTTGTAGTATCTGGAACTGGACATTTGGACCGCTTTCAGGGCTAAGGTGAAAAAGGAAATATCTTCCCATAAAAACTGGACAGAAGCATTCTCAGAAACTTGTTTATGCTGTATCTACTCTACTAACAAAGTTGAACCTTTCTTTTGATAGAGCAGTTTTGAAATGCTCTTTTTGTGGAATCTGCAAGTGGATATTTGGCTAGTTTTGAGGATTTTGTTGGAAGCTGGAATTCATGCAAATTGCAGACTGCAGCGTTCTGAGAAACATCTTTGTGATGTTTGTATTCAGGACACAGAGTTGAACTTTCCCTATCATAGAGCAGGTTGGAATCACTCCTTTTGCAGTATCTGGAAGTGGACATTTGGAGCGCTTTCAGGCCTATTTTGGAAAGGGAAATATCTTCCCGTAACAACTAGGCAGAAGCATTCTCTGAAACTTATTTGAGATGTGTGTACTCAACTAAGAGAATTGAACCACCGTTTTGAAGGAGCAGTTTTGAAACACTCTTTTTCTGGAATCTGCTAGAGGATATTTGCCTAGCTTTGAGGATTTCGTTGGAAACGGGATTGTCTTCAGATAAAATCTAGACAGAAGCATTCTCAGAAACTTCTTTGGGATGTTTGCATTCAAGTCACAGAGTAGAACATTCCCTTTGGTAGAGCAGGTTTGAAACACTCTTTTTTTAGTATATGGAAGTGGACATTTGGAGCGCTTTCAGGCCTACGTTGGAAAAGGAAATATCTTCCCATAACAACTAGACAGAAGCATTCTCAGAAACTAGTTTCTGATGTGTGTCCTCAACTAACACAGTTGAACATTTCTTTAGACAGAACAGTTTTGAAACACTCTTTTTGTGGAATCTGCAAGTGGCTATTTGGCTAGATTTGAGGATTTCGTTGGAAACGGGATTACATATAAAAAGCAGACAGCAGCATTCTCAGAAACTTCTTTGTGATGATTGCATTCAAGTCACAGAATTGAACATTCCCTTTCACAGAGCAGGTTTGAAACACTCTTTTTGTAGTGTGTGTAAGTGGACATTTGGAGCGCTTTCCGGCCTAAGGTGAACAAGGAAATATCTTCCCATAAAAACTAGACAGAAGCATTCTCAGAAACTTACTCGTGATGTGTGTCCTCAACTAAAGGAGTAGAACCTTTCTTTTCATAGAGAAGTTTTGAAACGCTCTTTTTGTGGAATCTGCAAGTGGATATTTGGCTAGTTTGGAGGATTTCGTTGGAAGCGGGAATTCATACAAATTGCAGACTGCAGCGTTCTGAGAAACATCTTTGTGATGTTTGTATTCAGGACACAGAGTTGAACATTCCCTATCATAGAGCAGGTTGGAATCACTCCTTTTGTAGTATCTGGAAGTGGACATTTGGAGCGCTTTCAGGCCTATGTTGAAAAAGGAAATATCTTCCCATAACAACTAGACAGAAGCATTCTCAGAAACTTGTTTGTGATGTGTGCCCTCTACTGACAGAGTTGAACCTTTCTTTTCATAGAGCAGTTTTGAAACACTCTTTTTGTAGAATCTGCAAGAGGATATTTGCATAGCTTTGAGGATTTCGTGGGAAACGGGATTGTCTTCAGGTAAAATCTAGACAGAAGCATTCTCAGAAACTTCTTTGGGATGTTTGCATTCAAGTCACAGAGCAGAACATTCCCTTTGGTAGAGCAGGTTTGAAACACTCTTTTTGTAGTATCTGGAAGTGGACATTTGGAGCGCTTTCAGGCCTATGTTGGAAAGGGAAATATCTTCCCGTAACAACTAGGCAGAAGCATTCTCAGAAACTTATTTGAGATGTGTGTACTCAACTAAGAGAATTGAACCACCGTTTTGAAGGAGCAGTTTTGAAACACTCTTTTTCTGGAATCTGCAAGAGGATATTTGCCTAGCCTTGAGGATTTCGTTGGAAACGGGATTGTCTTCAGATCAAATCTAGACAGAAGCATTCTCAGAAAATTCTTTGGGATGTTTGCATTCAAGTCACAGAGTAGAACATTCCCTTTGGTAGAGCAGGTTTGAAACACTCTTTTTTTAGTATATGGAAGTGGACATTTGGAGCGCTTTCAGGCCTACGTTGGAAAAGGAAATATCTTCCCATAACAACTAGACAGAAGCATTCTCAGAAACTAGTTTCTGATGTGTGTCCTCAACTAACACAGTTGAACATTTCTTTAGACAGAACAGTTTTGAAACACTCTTTTTGTGGAATCTGCAAGTGGCTATTTGGCTAGATTTGAGGATTTCGTTGGAAACGGGATTACATATAAAAAAACAGACAGCAGCATTCTCAGAACGTTCTTTGTGATGATTGCATTCAAGTCACAGAATTGAACATTCCCTTTCACAGAGCAGGTTTGAAACACTCTTTTTGTAGTGTGTGTAAGTGGACATTTGGAGCACTTTCCGGCCTAAGGTGAAAAAGGAAATATCTTCCCATAAAAACTAGACAGAAGCATTCTCAGAAACTTACTCGTGATGTGTGTCCTCAACTAAAGGAGTAGAACCTTTCTTTTCATAGAGAAGTTTTGAAACGCTCTTTTTGTGGAATCTGCAAGTGGATATTTGGCTAGTTTGGAGGATTTCGTTGGAAGCGGGAATTCATACAAATTGCAGACTGCAGCGTTCTGAGAAACATCTTTGTGATGTTTGTATTCAGGACACAGAGTTGAACATTCCCTATCATAGAGCAGGTTTGAATCACTCCTTTTGTAGTATCTGGAAGTGGACATTTGGAGCGCTTTCAGGCCTATGTTGGAAAAGGAAATATCTTCCCATAACAACTAGACAGAAGCATTCTCAGAAACTTATTTGAGATGTGTGTACTCAACTAAGAGAATTGAACCACCGTTTTGAAGGAGCAGTTTTGAAACTCTCTTTTTCTGGAATCTGCAAGTGGATATTTGGCTAGCTTTGGGGATTTCGCTGGAAGCGGGAATACATATAAAAAGCACACAGCAGCGTTCTGAGAAACTGCTTTCTGATGTTTGCATTCAAGTCAAAAGTTGAACACTCCCTTTCATAGAGCAGTCTTGAAACACCCCTTTTGTAGTATCTGGAACTGGACTTTTGGAGCGATTTCAGGGCTAAGGTGAAAAAGGAAATATCTTCCCATAAAAACTGGACAGAAGCATTCTCAGAAACTTGGTTATGCTGTATCTACTCAACTAACAAAGTTGAACCTTTCTTTTGATAGAGCAGTTTTGAAATGGTCTTTTTGTGGAATCTGCAAGTGGATATTTGGCTAGTTTTGAGGATTTCGTTGGAAGCGGGAATTCATACAAATTGCAGACTGCAGCGTTCTGAGAAACATCTTTGTGATGTTTGTATTCAGGACACAGAGTTGAACATTCCCTATCATAGAGCAGGTTGGAATCACTCCTTTTGTAGTATCTGGAAGTGGACATTTGGAGCGCTTTCAGGCCTATTTTGGAAAGGGAAATATCTTCCCGTAACAACTATGCAGAAGCATTCTCAGAAACTTGTTTGTGATGTGTGCCCTATACTGACAGAGTTGAACCTTTCTTTTCATAGAGAAGTTTTGAAACACTCTTTTTGTAGAATCTGCAAGAGGATATTTACATAGCTTTGAGGATTTCGTGGGAAACCGGATTGTCTTCAGGTAAAATCTAGACAGAAGCATTCTCAGAAACTTCTTTGGGATGTTTGCATTCAAGTCACAGAGTAGAACATTCCCTTTGGTAGAGCAGGTTTGAAACACTCTTTTTGTAGTATCTGGAAGTGGACATTTGGAGCGCTTTCAGGCCTATGTTGGAAAGGGAAATATCTTCCCGTAACAACTAGGCAGAAGCATTCTCAGAAACTTATTTGAGATGTGTGTACTCAACTAAGAGAATTGAACCACCGTTTTGAAGGAGCAGTTTTGAAACACTCTTTTTCTGGAATCTGCAAGAGGATATTTGCCTAGCCTTGAGGATTTCGTAGGAAACGGGATTGTCTTCAGATCAAATCTAGACAGAAGCATTCTCAGAAACTTCTTTGGGATGTTTGCATTCAAGTCACAGAGTAGAACATTCCCTTTGGTAGAGCAGGTTTGAAACACTCTTTTTTTAGTATATGGAAGTGGACATTTGGAGCGCTTTCAGGCCTACGTTGGAAAAGGAAATATCTTCCCATAACAACTAGACAGAAGCATTCTCAGCAACTAGTTTCTGATGTGTGTCCTCAACTAACACAGTTGAACATTTCTTTAGACAGAACAGTTTTGAAACACTCTTTTTGTGGAATCTGCAAGTGGCTATTTGGCTAGATTTGAGGATTTCGTTGGAAACGGGATTACATATAAAAAGCAGACAGCAGCATTCTCAGAAAGTTCTTTGTGATGATTGCATTCAAGTCACAGAATTGAACATTCCCTTTCACAGAGCAGGTTTGAAACACTCTTTTTGAAGTGTGTGTAAGTGGACATTTGGAGCACTTTCCCGCCTAAGGTGAAAAAGGAAATATCTTCCCATAAAAACTAGACAGAAGCATTCTCAGAAACTTACTCGTGATGTGTGTCCTCAACTAAAGGAGTAGAACCTTTCTTTTCATAGAGAAGTTTTGAAACGCTCTTTTTGTGGAATCTGCAAGTGGATATTTGGCTAGTTTGGAGGATTTCGTTGGAAGCGGGAATTCATACAAATTGCAGACTGCAGCGTTCTGAGAAACATCTTTGTGATGTTTGTATTCAGGACACAGAGTTGAACATTCCCTATCATAGAGCAGGTTTGAATCACTCCTTTTGTAGTATCTGGAAGTGGACATTTGGAGCGCTTTCAGGCCTATGTTGGAAAAGGAAATATCTTCCCATAACAACTAGACAGAAGCATTCTCAGAAACTTATTTGAGATGTGTGTACTCAACTAAGAGAATTGAACCACCGTTTTGAAGGAGCAGTTTTGAAACACTCTTTTTCTGGAATCTGCAAGTGGATATTTGGCTAGCTTTGGGGATTTCGCTGGAGGCCGGAATACATATAAAAAGCACACAGCAGCGTTCTGAGAAACTGCTTTCTGATGTTTGCATTCAAGTCAAAAGTTGAACACTCCCTTTCATAGAGCAGTCCTGAAACACTCCTTTTGTAGTATCTGGAACTGGACTTTTGGAGCGCTTTCAGGGCTAAGGTGAAAATGGAAATATCTTCCCATAAAAACTGGACAGAAGCATTCTCAGAAACTTGTTTATGCTGTATCTACTCAACTAACAAAGTTGAACCTTTCTTTTGATAGAGCAGTTTTGAAATGCTCTTTTTGTGGAATCTGCAAGTGGATATTTGGCTAGTTTTGAGGATTTCGCTGGAAGCGGGAATTCATACAAATTGCAGACTGCAGCGTTCTGAGAAACATCTTTGTGATGTTTGTATTCAGGACACAGAGTTGAACATTCCCTATCATAGAGCAGGTTTGAATCACTCCTTTTGTAGTATCTGGAAGTGGACATTTGGAGCGCTTTCAGGCCTATGTTGGAAAAGGAAATATCTTCCCATAACAACTAGACAGAAGCATTCTCAGAAACTTATTTGAGATGTGTGTACTCAACTAAGAGAATTGAACCACCGTTTTGAAGGAGCAGTTTTGAAACACTCTTTTTCTGGAATCTGCAAGTGGATATTTGGCTAGCTTTGGGGATTTCGCTGGAAGCGGGAATACATATAAAAAGCACACAGCAGCGTTCTGAGAAACTGCTTTCTGATGTTTGCATTCAAGTCAAAAGTTGAACACTCCCTTTCATAGAGCAGTCCTGAAACACTCCTTTTGTAGTATCTGGAACTGGACTTTTGGAGCGCTTTCAGGGCTAAGGTGAAAAAGGAAATATCTTCCCATAAAAACTGGACAGAAGCATTCTCAGAAACTTACTCGTATTGTGTGTCCTCAACTAAAGGAGTAGAACCTTTCTTTTCATAGAGAAGTTTTGAAACGCTCTTTTTGTGGAATCTGCAAGTGGATATTTGGCTAGTTTTGAGGATTTCGTTGGAAGCGGGAATTCATACAAATTGCAGACTGCAGCGTTCTGAGAAACTGCTTTCTGATGTTTGCATTCAAGTCAAAAGTTGAACACTCCCTTTCATAGAGCAGTCTTGAAACACCCCTTTTGTAGTATCTGGAACTGGACATTTGGAGCGCTTTCAGGGCTCAAGTGAAAAAGGAAATATCTTCCCATAAAAACTGGACAGAAGCATTCTCAGAAACTTGTTTATGCTGTATCTACTCAACTAACAAAGTTGAACCTTTCTTTTGATAGAGCAGTTTTGAAATGCTCTTTTTGTGGAATCTGCAAGTGGATATTTGGCTAGGTTAGAGGATTTCGTTGGAAGCGGGAATTCATACAAATTGCAGACTGCAGCGTTCTGAGAAACATCTTTGTGATGTTTGTATTCAGGACACAGAGTTGAACATTCCCTATCATCGAGCAGGTTGGAATCACTCCTTTTGTAGTATCTCGAAGTGGACATTTGGAGCGCTTTCAGGCCTATGTTGAAAAAGGAAATATCTTCCTATAACAACTAGGCAGAAGCATTCTCAGAAACTTGTTTGTGATGTGTGCCCTCTACTGACACAGTTGAACCTTTCTTTTCATAGAGCAGTTTCGAAACACTCTTTTTGTACAATCTGCAAGAGGATATTTGCATAGCTTTGAGGATTTCGTGGGAAACGGGATTGTCTTCAGGTAAAATCTAGACAGAAGCATTCTCAGAAACTTCTTTGGGATGTTTGCATTCAAGTCACAGAGTAGAACATTCCCTTTGGTAGAGCAGGTTTGAAACACTCTTTTTGTAGTGTGTGTAAGTGGACATTTGGAGCGCTTTCAGGCCTACGTTGGAAAAGGAAATATCTTCCCATAACAACTAGACAGAAGCATTCTCAGAAACTAGTTTCTGATGTGTGTCCTCAACTAACACAGTTGAACATTTCTTTAGACAGAACAGTTTTGAAACCCTCTTTTTGTGGAATCTACAAGTGGATATTTGGCTAGATTTGAGGATTTCGTTGGAAACGGGATTACATATAAAAAGCAGACAGCAGCATTCTCAGAAACTTCTTTGTGATGATTGCATTCAAGTCACAGAATTGAACATTCCCTTTCACAGAGCAGGTTTGAAACACTCTTTTTGTAGTGTGTGTAAGTGGACATTTGGAGCACTTTCCGGCCTAAGGTGAAAAAGGAAATATCTTCCCATAAAAACTAGACAGAAGCATTCTCAGAAACTTACTCGTGATGTGTGTCCTCAACTAAAGGAGTAGAACCTTTCTTTTCATAGAGAAGTTTTGAAACGCTCTTTTTGTGGAATCTGCAAGTGGATATTTGGCTAGTTTTGAGGATTTCGTTGGAAGCGGGAATTCATACAAATTGCAGACTGCAGCGTTCTGAGAAACATCTTTGTGATGTTTGTATTCAGGACACAGAGTTGAACATTCCCTATCATAGAGCAGGTTTGAATCACTCCTTTTGTAGTATCTGGAAGTGGACATTTGGAGCGCTTTCAGGCCTATGTTGGAAAAGGAAATATCTTCCCATAACAACTAGACAGAAGCATTCTCAGAAACTTATTTGAGATGGGTGTACTCAACTAAGAGAATTGAACCACCGTTTTCAAGGAGCAGTTTTGAAACGCTCTTTTTCTGGAATCTGCAAGTGGATATTTGGCTAGCTTTGGGGATTTCGCTGGAAGCGGGAATACATATAAAAAACACACAGCAGCGTTCTGAGAAACTGCTTTCTGATGTTTGCATTCAAGTCAAAAGTTGAACACTCCCTTTCATAGAGCAGTCCTGAAACACCCCTTTTGTAGTATCTGGAACTGGACTTTTGGAGCGATTTCAGGGCTAAGGTGAAAAAGGAAATATCTTCCCATAAAAACTGGACAGAAGCATTCTCAGAAACTTGTTTATGCTGTATCTACTCAACTAACAAAGTTGAACCTTTCTTTTGATAGAGCAGTTTTGAAATGGTCTTTTTGTGGAATCTGCAAGTGGATATTTGGCTAGTTTTGAGGATTTCGTTGGAAGCGGGAATTCATACAAATTGCAGACTGCAGCGTTCTGAGAAACATCTTTGTGATGTTTGTATTCAGGACACAGAGTTGAACATTCCCTATCATAGAGCAGGTTGGAATCACTCCTTTTGTAGTATCTGGAAGTGGACATTTGGAGCGCTTTCAGGCCTATTTTGGAAAGGGAAATATCTTCCCGTAACAACTATGCAGAAGCATTCTCAGAAACTTGTTTGTGATGTGTGCCCTCTACTGACAGAGTTGAACCTTTCTTTTCATAGAGCAGTTTTGAAACACTCTTTTTGTAGAATCTGCAAGAGGATATTTGCATAGCTTTGAGGATTTCGTGGGAAACGGGATTGTCTTCAGGTAAAATCTAGACAGAAGCATTCTCAGAAACTTCTTTGGGATGTTTGCATTCAAGTCACAGAGTAGAACATTCCCTTTGGTAGAGCAGGTTTGAAACACTCTTTTTGTAGTATCTGGAAGTGGACATTTGGAGCGCTTTCAGGCCCATGTTGGAAAGGGAAATATCTTCCCGTAACAACTAGGCAGAAGCATTCTCAGAAACTTATTTGAGATGTGTGTACTCAACTAAGAGAATTGAACCACCGTTTTGAAGGAGCAGTTTTGAAACCCTCTTTTTCTTGGAATCTGCAAGAGTATATTTGCCTAGCCTTGAGGATTTTGTTGGAAACGGGATTGTCTTCAGATAAAATCTAGACAGAAGCATTCTCAGAAACTTCTTTGGGATGTTTGCATTCAAGTCACAGAGTAGAACATTCCCTTTGGTAGAGCAGGTTTGAAACACTCTTTTTTTAGTATATGGAAGTGGACATTTGGAGCGCTTTCAGGCCTACGTTGGAAAAGGAAATATCTTCCCATAACAACTAGACAGAAGCATTCTCAGAAACTAGTTTCTGATGTGTGTCCTCAACTAACACAGTTGAACTTTTCTTTAGACAGAACAGTTTTGAAACACTCTTTTTGTGGAATCTGCAAGTGGCTATTTGGCTAGATTTGAGGATTTCGTTGGAAACGGGATTACATATAAAAAGCAGACAGCAGCATTCTCAGAAAGTTCTTTGTGATGATTGCATTCAAGTCACAGAATTGAACATTCCCTTTCACAGAGCAGGTTTGAAACCCTCTTTTTGTAGTGTGTGTAAGTGGACATTTGGAGCGCTTTCCGGCCTAAGGTGAAAAAGGAAATATCTTCCCATAAAAACTAGACAGAAGCATTCTCAGAAACTTACTCGTGATGTGTGTCCTCAACTAAAGGAGTAGAACCTTTCTATTCATAGAGAAGTTTTGAAATGCTCTTTTTGTGGAATCTCCAAGTGGATATTTGGCTAGTTTTGAGGATTTCGTTGGAAGCGGGAATTCATACAAATTGCAGACTGCAGCGTTCTGAGAAACATCTTTGTGATGTTTGTATTCAGGACACAGAGATGAACATTCCCTATGATAGAGCAGGTTGGAATCACTCCTTTTGTAGTATCTGGAAGTGGACATTTGGAGCGCTTTCAGGCCTATGTTGAAAAAGGAAATATCTTCCCATAACAACTAGACACAAGCATTCTCAGAAACTTATTTGAGATGTGTGTACTCAACTAAGAGAATTGAACCACCGTTTTGAAGGAGCAGTTTTGAAACACTCTTTTTCTGGAATCTGCAAGTGGATATTTGGCTAGCTTTGGGGATTTCGCTGGAAGCGGGAATACATATAAAAAGCACACAGCAGCGTTCTGAGAAACTGCTTTCTGATGTTTGCATTCAAGTCAAAAGTTGAACACTCCCTTTCATAGAGCAGTACTGAAACACCCCTTTTGTGGTATCTGGAACTGGACTTTTGGAGCGCTTTCAGGGCTAAGGTGAAAAAGGAAATATCTTCCCATAAAAACTGGACAGAAGCATTCTCAGAAACTTGTTTATGCTGTATCTACTCAACTAACAAAGTTGAACCTTTCTTTTGATAGAGCAGTTTTGAAATGCTCTTTTTGTGGAATCTGCAAGTGGATATTTGGCTAGTTTTGAGGATTTCGTTGGAAGCGGGAATTCATACAAATTGCAGACTGCAGCGTTCTGAGAAACATCTTTGTGATGTTTGTATTCAGGACACAGAGTTGAACATTCCCTATCATAGAGCAGGTTGGAATCACTCCTTTTGTAGTATCTGGAAGTGGACATTTGGAGCGCTTTCAGGCCTATTTTGGAAAGGGAAATATCTTCCCGTAACAACTATGCAGAAGCATTCTCAGAAACTTGTTTGTGATGTGTGCCCTCTACTGACAGAGTTGAACCTTTCTTTTCATAGAGCACTTTTGAAACACTCTTTTTGTAGAATCTGCAAGAGGATATTTGCATAGCTTTGAGGATTTCGTGGGAAACGGGATTGTCTTCAGGTAAAATCTAGACAGAAGCATTCTCAGAAACTTCTTTGGGATGTTTGCATTCAAGTCACAGAGTAGAACATTCCCTTTGGTAGAGCAGGTTTGAAACACTCTTTTTGTAGTATCTGGAAGTGGACATTTGGAGCGCTTTCAGGCCCATGTTGGAAAGGGAAATATCTTCCCGTAACAACTAGGCAGAAGCATTCTCAGAAACTTATTTGAGATGTGTGTACTCAACTAAGAGAATTGAACCACCGTTTTGAAGGAGCAGTTTTGAAACACTCTTTTTCTGGAATCTGCAAGAGTATATTTGCCTAGCCTTGAGGATTTCGTTGGAAACGGGACTGTCTTCAGATAAAATCTAGACAGAAGCATTCTCAGAAACTTCTTTGGGATGTTTGCATTCAAGTCACAGAGTAGAACATTCCCTTTGGTAGAGCAGGTTTGAAACACTCTTTTTTTAGTATATGGAAGTGGACATTTGGAGCGCTTTCAGGCCTACGTTGGAAAAGGAAATATCTTCCCATAACAACTAGACAGAAGCATTCTCAGAAACTAGTTTCTGATGTGTGTCCTCAACTAACACAGTTGTACATTTCTTTAGACAGAACAGTTTTGAAACACTCTTTTTGTGGAATCTGCAAGTGGATATTGGGCTAGATTTGAGGATTTCGTTGGAAACAGGATTACATATAAAAAGCAGACAGCAGCATTCTCAGAAAGTTCTTTGTGATGATTGCATTCAAGTCACAGAATTGAACATTCCCTTTCACAGAGCAGGTTTGAAACACTCTTTTTGTAGTGTGTGTAAGTGGACATTTGGAGCGCTTTCCGGCCTAAGGTGAAAAAGGAAATATCTTCCCATAAAAACTAGACAGAAGCATTCTCAGAAACTTACTCGTGATGTGTGTCCTCAACTAAAGGAGTAGAACCTTTCTATTCATAGAGAAGTTTTGAAACGCTCTTTTTGTGGAATCTCCAAGTGGATATTTGGCTAGTTTTGAGGATTTCGTTGGAAGCGGGAATTCATACAAATTGCAGACTGCAGCGTTCTGAGAAACATCTTTGTGATGTTTGTATTCAGGACAGAGAGTTGAACATTCCCTATCATAGAGCAGGTTGGAATCACTCCTTTTGTAGTATCTGGAAGTGGACATTTGGAGCGCTTACAGGCCTATGTTGAAAAAGGAAATATCTTCCCATAACAACTAGACACAAGCATTCTCAGAAACTTATTTGAGATGTGTGTACTCAACTAAGAGAATTGAACCACCGTTTTGAAGGAGCAGTTTTGAAACACTCTTTTTCTGGAATCTGCAAGTGGATATTTGGCTAGCTTTGGGGATTTCGCTGGAAGCGGGAATACATATAAAAAGCACACAGCAGCGTTCTGAGAAACTGCTTTCTGATGTTTGCATTCAAGTCAAAAGTTGAACACTCCCTTTCATAGAGCAGTCCTGAAACACTCCTTTTGTAGTATCTGGAACTGGACTTTTGGAGCGCTTTCAGGGCTAAGGTGAAAAAGGAAATATCTTCCCATAAAAAGTGGACAGAAGCATTCTCAGAAACTTGTTTATGCTGTATCTACTCAACTAACAAAGTTGAACCTTTCTTTTGATAGAGCAGTTTTGAAATGCTCTTTTTGTGGAATCTGCAAGTGGATATTTGGCTAGTTTTGAGGATTTCGTTGGAAGCGGGAATTCATACAAATTGCAGACTGCAGCGTTCTGAGAAACATCTTTGTGATGTTTGTATTCAGGACACAGAGATGAACATTCCCTATCATAGAGCATGTTGGAATCACTCCTTTTGTAGTATCTGGAAGTGGACATTTGGAGCGCTTTCAGGCCTATGTTGAAAAAGGAAATATCTTCCCATAACAACTAGACACAAGCATTCTCAGAAACTTGTTTGTGATGTGTGCCCTCTACTGACAGAGTTGAACCTTTCTTTTCATAGAGCAGTTTTGAAACACTCTTTTTGTAGAATCCGCAAGAGGATATTTGCATAGCTTTGAGGATTTCGTGGGAAACGGGATTGTCTTCAGGTAAAATCTAGACAGAAGCATTCTCAGAAACTTCTTTGGGATGTTTGCATTCAAGTCACAGAGTAGAACATTCCCTTTGGTAGAGCAGGTTTGAAACACTCTTTTTGTAGTATCTGGAAGTGGACATTTGGAGCGCTTTCAGGCCCATGTTGGAAAGGGAAATATCTTCCCGTAACAACTAGGCAGAAGCATTCTCAGAAACTTATTTGAGATGTGTGTACTCAACTAAGAGAATTGAACCACCGTTTTGAAGGAGCAGTTTTGAAACACTCTTTTTCTGGAATCTGCAAGAGTATATTTGCCTAGCCTTGAGGATTTCGTTGGAAACGGGATTGTCTTCAGATCAAATCTAGACAGAAGCATTCTCAGAAACTTCTTTGGGATGTTTGCATTCAAGTCACAGAGTAGAACATTCCCTTTGGTAGAGCAGGTTTGAAACACTCTCTTTTTAGTATATGGAAGTGGACATTTGGAGCGCTTTCAGGCCTACGTTGGAAAAGGAAATATCTTCCCATAACAACTAGACAGAAGCATTCTCAGAAACTAGTTTCTGATGTGTGTCCTCAACTAACACAGTTGAACTTTTCTTTAGACAGAACAGTTTTGAAACACTCTTTTTGTGGAATCTGCAAGTGGATATTTGGCTAGATTTGAGGATTTCGTTGGAAACGGGATTACATATAAAAAGCAGACAGCAGCATTCTCAGAAAGTTCTTTGTGATGATTGCATTCAAGTCACAGAATTGAACATTCCCTTTCACAGAGCAGGTTTGAAACACTCTTTTTGTAGTGTGTGTAAGTGGACATTTGGAGCGCTTTCCGGCCTAAGGTGAAAAAGGAAATATCTTCCCATAAAAACTAGACAGAAGCATTCTCAGAAACTTACTCGTGATGTGTGTCCTCAACTAAAGGAGTAGAACCTTTCTATTCATAGAGAAGTTTTGAAACCCTCTTTTTGTGGAATCTCCAAGTGGATATTTGGCTAGTTTTGAGGATTTCGTTGGAAGCGGGAATTCATCCAAATTGCAGACTGCAGCGTTCTGAGGAACATCTTTGTGATGTTTGTATTCAGGACACAGAGATGAACATTCCCTATCATAGAGCAGGTTGGAATCACTCCTTTTGTAGTATCTGGAAGTGGACATTTGGAGCGCTTTCAGGCCTATGTTGAAAAAGGAAATATCTTCCCATAACAACTAGACACAAGCATTCTCAGAAACTTATTTGAGATGTGTGTACTCAACTAAGAGAATTGAACCACCGTTTTGAAGGAGCAGTTTTGAAACTCTCTTTTTCTGGAATCTGCAAGTGGATATTTGGCTAGCTTTGGGGATTTCGCTGGAAGCGGGAATACATATAAAAAGCACACAGCAGCGTTCTGAGAAACTGCTTTCTGATGTTTGCATTCAAGTCAAAAGTTGAACACTCCCTTTCATAGAGCAGTCTTGAAACACCCCTTTTGTAGTATCTGGAACTGGACTTTTGGAGCGATTTCAGGGCTAAGGTGAAAAAGGAAATATCTTCCCATAAAAACTGGACAGAAGCATTCTCAGAAACTTGGTTATGCTGTATCTACTCAACTAACAAAGTTGAACCTTTCTTTTGATAGAGCAGTTTTGAAATGGTCTTTTTGTGGAATCTGCAAGTGGATATTTTGCTAGTTTTGAGGATTTCGTTGGAAGCGGGAATTCATACAAATTGCAGACTGCAGCGTTCTGAGAAACATCTTTGTGATGTTTGTATTCAGGACACAGAGTTGAACATTCCCTATCATAGAGCAGGTTGGAATCACTCCTTTTGTAGTATCTGGAAGTGGACATTTGGAGCGCTTTCAGGCCTATTTTGGAAAGGGAAATATCTTCCCGTAACAACTATGCAGAAGCATTCTCAGAAACTTGTTTGTGATGTGTGCCCTCTACTGACAGAGTTGAACCTTTCTTTTCATAGAGCAGTTTTGAAACACTCTTTTTGTAGAATCTGCAAGAGGATATTTGCATAGCTTTGAGGATTTCGTGGGAAACGGGATTGTCTTCAGGTAAAATCTAGACAGAAGCATTCTCAGAAACTTCTTTGGGATGTTTGCATTCAAGTCACAGAGTAGAACATTCCCTTTGGTAGAGCAGGTTTGAAACACTCTTTTTGTAGTATCTGGAAGTGGACATTTGGAGCGCTTTCAGGCCTATGTTGGAAAGGGAAATATCTTCCCGTAACAACTAGGCAGAAGCATTCTCAGAAACTTATTTGAGATGTGTGTACTCAACTAAGAGAATTGAACCACCGTTTTGAAGGAGCAGTTTTGAAACACTCTTTTTCTGGAATCTGCAAGAGGATATTTGCCTAGCCTTGAGGATTTCGTTGGAAACGGGATTGTCTTCAGATCAAATCTAGACAGAAGCATTCTCAGAAACTTCTTTGGGATGTTTGCATTCAAGTCACAGAGTAGAACATTCCCTTTGGTAGAGCAGGTTTGAAACACTCTTTTTTTAGTATATGGAAGTGGACATTTGGAGCGCTTTCAGGCCTACGTTGGAAAAGGAAATATCTTCCCATAACAACTAGACAGAAGCATTCTCAGAAACTAGTTTCTGATGTGTGTCCTCAACTAACACAGTTGAACATTTCTTTAGACAGAACAGTTTTGAAACACTCTTTTTGTGGTATCTGCAAGTGGCTATTTGGCTAGATTTGAGGATTTCGTTGGAAACGGGATTACATATAAAAAGCAGACAGCAGCATTCTCAGAAACTTCTTTGTGATGATTGCATTCAAGTCACAGTATTGAATATTCCCTTTCACAGAGCAGGTTTGAAACACTCTTTGTATAGTGTGTGTAAGTGGACATTTGGAGCACTTTCCGGCCTAAGGTGAAAAAGGAAATATCTTCCCATAAAAACTAGACAGAAGCATTCTCAGAAACTTACTCGTGATGTGTGTCCTCAACTAAAGGAGTAGAACCTTTGTTTTCATAGAGAAGTTTTGAAACGCTCTTTTTGTGGAATCTGCAAGTGGATATTTGGCTAGTTTTGAGGATTTCGTTGGAAGCGGGAATTCATACAAATTGCAGACTGCAGCGTTCTGAGAAACATCTTTGTGATGTTTGTATTCAGGACACAGAGTTGAACATTCCCTATCATAGAGCAGGTTGGAATCACTCCTTTTGTAGTATCTGGAAGTGGACATTTGGAGCGCTTTCAGGCCTATGTTGGAAAAGGAAATATCTTCCCATAACAACTAGACAGAAGCATTCTCAGAAACTTATTTGAGATGTGTGTACTCAACTAAGAGAATTGAACCACCGTTTTGAAGGAGCAGTTTTGAAACACTCTTTTTCTGGAATCTGCAAGTGGATATTTGGCTAGCTTTGGGGATTTCGCTGGAAGCGGGAATACATATAAAAAGCACACAGCAGCGTTCTGAGAAACTGCTTTCTGATGTTTGCATTCAAGTCAAAAGTTGAACACTCCCTTTCATAGTGCAGTCTGAAACACTCCTTTTGTAGTATCTGGAACTGGACTTTTGGAGCGCTTTCAGGGCTAAGGTGAAAAAGGAAATATCTTCCCATAAAAACTGGACAGAAGCATTCTCAGAAACTTGTTTATGCTGTATCTACTCAACTAACAAAGTTGAACCTTTCTTTTGATAGAGCAGTTTTGAAATGCTCTTTTTGTGGAATCTGCAAGTGGATATTTGGCTAGTTTTGAGGATTTCGTTGGAAGCGGGAATTCATACAAATTGCAGACTGCAGCGTTCTGAGAAACATCTTTGTGATGTTTGTATTCAGGACACAGAGATGAACATTCCCTATCATAGAGCATGTTGGAATCACTCCTTTTGTAGTATCTGGAAGTGGACATTTGGAGCGCTTTCAGGCCTATGTTGAAAAAGGAAATATCTTCCCATAACAACTAGACACAAGCATTCTCAGAAACTTGTTGGTGATGTGTTTCCTCTACTGACAGAGTTGAACCTTTCTTTTCATAGAGCAGTTTCGAAACACTCTTTTTGTAGAATCTGCAAGAGGATATTTGCATAGCTCTGAGGATTTCGTGGGAAACGGGATTGTCTTCAGGTAAAATCTAGACAGAAGCATTCTCAGAAACTTCTTCGGGATGTTTGCATTCAAGTCACAGAGTAGAACATTCCCTTCGGTAGAGCAGGTTTGAAACACTCTTTTTGTCGTATCTGGAAGTGGACATTTGTTGCGCTTTCAGGCCTATGTTGGAAAGGGAAATATCTTCCCGTAACAACTACGCAGAAGCATTCTCAGAAACTTATTTGACATGTGTGTACTCAACTAAGAGAATTGAACCACCGTTTTGAAGGAGCAGTTTGGAAACACTCTTTTTCTGGAATCTGCAAGAGGATATTTGCCTAGCTTTGAGGATTTCGTTGGAAAAGGGATTGTCTTCAGATCAAATCTAGACAGAAGCATTCTCAGAAACTTCTTTGGGATGTTTGCATTCAAGTCACAGAGTAGAACATTCCTTTGGTAGAGCAGGTTTGAAACACTCTTTTTTTAGTATATGGAAGTGGACATTTGGAGCGCTTTCAGGCCTACGTTGGAAAAGGAAATATCTTCCCATAACAACTAGACGGAAGCATTCTCAGAAACTAGTTTCTGATGTGTGTCCTCAACTAACACAGTTGAACATTTCTTTAGACAGAACAGTTTTGAAACACTCTTTTTGTGGAATCTGCAAGTGGATATTTGGCTAGATATGAGGATTTCGTTGGAAACGGGATTACATATAAAAAGCAGAAAGCAGCATTCTCAGAAACTTCTTTGTGATGATTGCATTCAAGTCACAGAATTGAACATTCCCTTTCACAGAGCAGGTTTGAAACACTCTTTTTGTAGTGTGTGTAAGTGGACATTTGGAGCGCTTTCCGGCCTAAGGTGAACAAGGAAATATCTTCCCATAAAAACTAGACAGAAGCATTCTCAGAAACTTACTCGTGATGTGTGTCCTCAACTAAAGGAGTAGAACCTTTCTTTTCATAGAGAAGTTTTGAAACGCTCTTTTTGTGGACTCTGCAAGTGGATATTTGGCTAGTTTGGAGGATTTCGTTGGAAGCGGGAATTCATACAAATTGCATACTGCAGCGTTCTGAGAAACTGCTTTCTGATGTTTGCATTCAAGTCAAAAGTTGAACACTCCCTTTCATAGAGCAGTCTTGAAACACCCCTTTTGTAGTATCTGGAACTGGACTTTTGGAGCGATTTCAGGGCTAAGGTGAAAAAGGAAATATCTTCCCATAAAAACTGGACAGAAGCATTCTCAGAAACTTGTTTATGCTGTATCTACTCAACTAACAAAGTTGAACCTTTCTTTTGATAGAGCAGTTTTGAAATGCTCTTTTTGTGGAATCTGCAAGTGGATATTTGGCTAGTTTTGAGGATTTCGTTGGAAGCGGGAATTCATACAAATTGCAGACTGCAGCGTTCTGAGAAACATCTTTGTGATGTTTGTATTCAGGACACAGAGTTGAACATTCCCTATCATAGAGCAGGTTGGAATCACTCCTTTTGTAGTATCTGGAAGTGGACATTTGGAGCGCTTTCAGGCCTATGTTGAAAAAGGAAATGTCTTCCCATAACAACTAGACACA